>NC_000011.10:44605454-44908484 GCF_000001405.40 Homo sapiens | reverse complement strand
TGGGATTACAGGTGTGAGCCACTGCGCCCAGCCTATTCCATTTTTCTTGGGCACAGATAAGTATTAGAAGCAGATCTGTTGTGGGAAGAACCAAAGTTTGGCACCATGGGATTTGCGGGCTGTAAAGTATTTGAAATCCCTTTGTGTGGTGGGAGGACCGGAGGCCCAAGAGGCCTGTGTGAGGGTTGACAGCTGGGCGACAGGAAAACTGCTGGGCTTTGGCTTGGCTGAGCAGGACTGCAAGCTGAAGAGAGCTGATGGCTTTGGGCAAGGGGCATTTGTAGGCGACCTTAGGGCAGGAGTCCAGTGGAGAGGCCTGAAGGACCCAGCAGGGGAAAGAGAAGGAAAGACTTAACAGGCATGGCCAGCGACAGGGTTTCCATTTTTGCCATCTGCTGTGCAGTGTCTCTCTCCTTTTTTTTTTTTTTCTGAGACGGAGTTTCACTCTGTTGCCCAGGCTGGAGTGCAGTGGCACGATCTCGGCTCACCACAACCTCTGCCTCGCAGGTACAAACGATTCTCCTGCCTCAGCCTCCCGAGTAGCTGGGATTACAGGCACCCGCTACCACGCATGGCTACTTTTTGTATTTTTAGTAGAGATGGGGTTTCAACATGTTGGCCAGGTTGGTCTCGAACTCCTGACCTCAGGTGATCCACCCGCCTCTGCCTCCCAAAGTGCTGGGATTACAGATGTGAGCCACTGCACCCAGCCTGTGTCTCTCTCGTTGGTCTCCCGCACAACCTCCAGGAAAATCTGTGCCTCCTTATTGCTGTTGGAGATTTGGGGATTCAGCAACTGCATGCTAAACACTTCAAGGAGGGCCCAGCTCCATTTCGGGTGGGAACACTGGGGCTGGAGGAAGGATGAGCTGGCTCAGGGTCACCCGGCTTGGAAGGTGGTGACCTTGGGTCTAGAATTCAAGTCTGCAAGGCTTGAGGCTTTTTAGGATTATAAGGCAGGGAAGAGAAGCTAAGAGAGTTGCTGAAGTGTATATTTTTTAAAAAGACACAAAGATATAGAGGTAGAGATAGAGAGGGAAAGATAGACACTGAGAGAGACAGACGGTCAGTCCTGGCCAGAAAGAGGACCCCTCTTTCAAGAGCCTGCCCTGAAGGACATGAGTGGAGGTTTATTCACCCAGGTCTTGGCTGTACTAAGATCAAAGCCTGAGGCTGGACCAGGAAAGCCTGTGGGGGCCCAAGAATCCAGGGCCACAGCTCTACTCCTGGGAGGGGCCATGAGTCTGAGCAGAGCCTTCAGTGGGTCACCAGCAGGTGGGTGGGCTCAGCATGTGGGTGGGCCGCCAGCAGGTGGGCCGGCCACCTGAATGTCCGGGGCTGTCCCTTCATATACAGAATCCATAGGCTAGATGGAAATGGAGCTAAGCTATTGAGGACTGCCCACATCCAGGGTACTTTGTAAACTAATCTTGCTTAATTTTCAAAAAGCCTGTTGAGGAAGGTCATTAAGAGATGAAGATACTGAGGTTCAGAGAGGTGAAATGTGTCTCAAATCACAAGCTGCTAAGATGCAGCACTGGAATTTGAATGCAGGTCTTGCATTCCCAGAGAGGTTTCTGATTATATCCGGTGGCTACATGGACTCGGCCCCTCCAGGTCTGAAGTCCGTCAACTGCTCAGGGAGATAAGGTTGGGTGGGGCTCCCTCTTGCTGCCCTCTGATCACCCCCATCCCCTCCTTTCCCACTCTCCACGAGGGGTCAGATCCCAAGACAGTGGCCGGACCTAGGTCCCCTCCACCTTTTTGAGAGGGGCTGACCCACCCCAGGGCCTGTGTAAAATGTCTCTCCTAAGAAGGTGGGCTCTTCAGAGTGGGGTGGGCACTGCTGGGGGCCCCCTTCCATGAAAGCCTGGCTGGCAGGTACCCCTGCCTCTAGCGCCGGCCCCTGTGCTCGCCCCAGGGACTCAGCCCAGTGTGACTATTTCAAAGCAGCAGCCAGTTCTGCCCACCCAGCAGAGGCCTGGGAAGACCCAGGAATACTTACAAATATGAAGAAATTGAATACAAACATCAGATACTTCATGCAGCTCAGACAGTCGCCTTCCATGGTGCTCCACCTAGAAATACAAGGCCACCTCAGTCTTCCCGATGGGGGACCCCACCCAGGAAGAACCCCAGCCCCTCCCCAGGGGTTCCCCGCAGCCAGCCCCACCCTTGCAAAGGCTGGAAGAAGATGGAGGCCGATGATAGAGATGAGCATGCTGGAGCCAGCCTGCCTGGGTTTCAGCCTTGGCTCTAGCTTTCATTCGCTATGTGACCTTGGGCAAATTACTCTACCTCTCTGAGTCTTGCTCTCTCTGACTTTAAAGCGGAGATTAGGAACAGAACCTTCCTCCTAGCAGTGTTGTGAAGATGAACTGAAATCCCACAGTAACATGCTTAGCACATCGTCGGGCACGTGGTAAGTGCTCAGCAGTCCCGCTTCACGTTGTTGCTCTACTGCAGGTGTGAGCTGGCCATTTCATAGATGAGAAAACCAAGGCCCAGAGCCTGGACCAGAAGCCAGGCCTGACAAACTTCCCACCAACCCACACACCCTCCAGCCACAGAACAGACCAGGGCGGTTGCTTGGTGCCAGCGAGATGGGGTGTTGCAGGGAAAAGGAGAGCAGCCTACCTGGGGATCTAAAACCTGCTTCTGGGGCCAAAGCCTCCCTGAGCCTTGGCTACCTCTACTCTGAGACCTCTAGCATCCCACCTCCCTGGGAGCCCTTCCTGTCTTCACCTAAAAGTATACCCATGGCAGCAAGTCATTGAACACAATTCCATTCAGCCAACATTGATTGAGCATCCGCTGCTTGCCAGGCACAGCCGGGGCTGCACTGAGATGCAAATGTCCCCCATCCCCCAGGGGAAACTGACAGCATCTGCTCTCATGAGTCAGACCTCAAGGTGCACAAGACATGTTTACATTCCATATTCGTTATTTTCACATTTTCTTCATAACGGCTCTGAGGAGAGACTCAGGGCAGGGATTAGAGATCCATGAGACAGGTGGGGAAACCGAGACTCAGAATGAAAACGACATGTCCGATGTCCCACAGCTAGTAAGGGGAAGGGCCAGAACTCAAGCCAGTCCTGAGCTGCCGGCACTGCAGGTGCTTCCAGCAGGGGGTTTGTACCTCCATGACAGGACTCAGTGCAAAGGGTTCTGGGAATATGTGTTGGGGTGTGGATGGATGTAGGGGAGATGGTGTCTGATTACTTTCTGCAGCTCCCGCTTCCTCCCACAGGACATGGCTGTACTCTATCTTCTTCTTCCACAAAATAAGGTTGCTAAGTCTGACTCAAAGGGTTTCTGGGAGGCTTATTATTAATATTAATAATAGTAAAATGTGTATCAAAGCATCACATTGGACTCCATAAACATATACAATTATTATTCATCAATTTAAAATGAAGTCAGGAAAACAGTAATAATCGTAGCCACTGTTTGGGGATCCAGCACTGTGCCCAGGGTTTTGCGCATATTATCTCGTTTAATCCTTGTAACCACCAAGGAGGTATGTACTCTGATGACCACACATCCTTCCATCAGCCCAGCCCTCAGAAGGGTTAAGGGATTTGTCCAAGGCCACACAGCTTGTAGGAAGCACTGACAAGGCCCATGGCACATAATAGGCCTCAGCAACTCTGTCCCCTCCTCGCCCTCGCCCAAAACCACAATCCAACACTCTCCTCAGCAGCCAGACCAGCACCCTCGTATCATAAGGAACAGATGGAGCAGAGCGGTGCCTGCCTCTCACCTGCTGGGCCACTCCACCCCTCTCCTAATCAGTGATGACAGCACCACTCCAGGCTGCATTTTGGTCTGAGCTAGAGGTGTTTTTGTTTGTTTGTTTGTTTGTTTTTAAGTGCATTTGAATCCATGGAGAGAGGAGCACAGACAGAGCCAGCTGGTGGGGAGTCGACACAGGAAAGGTTCCTGGTCTCAGGGGTGGTGCCTTGCGTCCCTCCTCTCGTTGTTTCTGCCAAGGTGCCAGATGTCTGTCCACCAGCTGAGCTTGGCCAGGCAGACATGGCTAAGGTGCCTGGAGCCCAAGAGGAAGGTCTGACAGGCACATCGGCTTTGGATTTGGCACTGGCCCTGGGGCCGGAGGGCTTTCCTCCCTAAAGGGACACCTCCTCCTTGCTGCTCTACTGGTCCCTATTGCAACTTGGAAAAATGCTGAGCAGGGGAGGCACAGGCGGGGCCACTCAGCATCAAAGTCAGGAGGGGAAGACACTCAGAGCCCACCTGGGACATCCTCCTTCTTCTCTTACTAGGAAGGGGAAACTGAGGCACCAAGTTACCTGGTGAGGAATGCAAGGGAAAAAATCATGGGGTGAACCTGACCCAGGGACTCCAGGCTCCAAGCCTTTGTCCTTCCAACAGTGCCCCAAGGGTTTCTCTTAAATTGTGTTGGGGTAATGGGAAATCAGGGTTTTCCTGAGATCATCCACCCAAGTCTCCACCCCTACAAATAATACTATTTATTGAGCATTTACTATGTGCCAGCTCCGTCCTGATACTTTACATTTACTAACTCATAACAACCCATGAGATTAATACTCTTATTATCCTTATTTTCCAGAGGTGGAAACTGAGTCAGACAGAGGCGAGGTGACTTGTCTGAGGTCACAGCTAGTGAGTGGTGAAGCCAAGATTGGAACCCAGGCAATCCAGCTTGGAAGGACAAAGGATGGTGTGTGTGTGATGGGGTGGGGGGCGGATTTGTCTTTACTTCAGTGAGCATGGCCTGAATTCAAGACATGCCATCTGCCTTTGGAGGTAAAATCGGATGACATCATCCTCTCTATCACAGGGGTCTCTGAAACATCTCCAGCCTCAGCCCTGCTCCTGGCCTTCTCTCTCATCCAGACATGGCTGCAGCCTCTGGGCTGGGACTGGCCTCCCTACCTCCCCTTCAATCCAGTGCTTCCCTGCTGCCAGAAGGAGCTTTCCAGAAAGCACATGTCACCACAGCCCTCTCTTGCTGGAACCCAACCTCTACAGGAGACCAAGCTGCCTCCTACAGACCACAGGACCTCCAAGACTCACCATCGCCACCTCTTGTTATTCCTGCCCTGACTTTCCTATCACCACCATCAAAGGAGAGTCCCCCAGAGGTATGTCCCTGACGCTTACTTGGTGCCTCTGCTCATGCTGATCCCTTCTGTTTGGATTGCCTTTCCAACTATGCCAGTCCCACTTAATTCCTATTCATCCTTTAAGACTCGTCACAGGCATCACCTCCGCCAGGAAGCCTTCCCTGATTCCCCCCTCCTGCCCCCATCAAGCCAAGCTCAGTGCCTTCCCCTAGTATAATATCCCACGGCTTCTGCTGACATCTACCACTGCCCCCACCAAAATATATACCATAACATCATCAGCCAGCGTTCCTGGTGAATCCCAGAGGAGCAGAGTCGTGGCTGTGCCCTCCTGGGACACAGTAGGGTTGCACTTGGTTTGGACTGAGTAAAACCCTCCACATAGGGAGTGTTAATTCAGCAGTGTGAAGGAAGCCTGGTGCTGGGCTAAGGCATGCTTCCAGTCATTCGTATCCTCCTCGCCTCCAACAGCTAGAAAGTGGAGCAACAAGGATTCAAACCCACAGTCGTGTTCTCCTGTGCTCCGTTTCCTCTCTCTGTTGTACCCTCTCCTGGGTGAGGACAGCCCAGGACAGGCCCCCCTAATGCCCCGCTTGCTCACCCTTCTCTCCTCAGGTCTTCCTGAGGCCTGAAAGCCTAGAGCTGCCTGCTTTGGTGCCTGCCTGGGATGGGAGGCACCAGGACAACCTATCCCTTCCTTTTCTCCAGGCCCTGCCCTCCCAGAGGGCAGTGGGCAGGGCTGAGATTCAGTGGGGACCCATAGGGATGGCTGTCCTGCTGTCTGGCCAGCATCTCTTCTGGTTGGTTCATGCCAGTGCATACTGGCTGTTAAGCATCTCAACCATCATCACTGACTGTGGGGCCTTTGGCTCTTCCTTCGTCACCAAGCCCAGGCTCTCTTCCTACAGAACGGTCCCCCAGGATACCATTTCCAGGCCAGCTTGCCAGCTACATCCCTCACATCATCCCTGACTTTCTAGAAGGAACATCTAACCTGCATCCAACCAGCATGGTCCTAAGCATGGGCTCTGAAGTCAGACACAACTGGGTTCGAATCCCAGCCCATCACCTTTTCTACCTCTGTGTCTTTGGGCAAGTGACTTAGCCTCTTGGAACTTCAGTTTCTTCACCTATAAAAACATCCAGTGTAAAGGGCTCCCCGCTGTACCTGCACAGAGCAGGATGGACAGCTCTTATCACGTCTACACCTAACTCTGCCTTCATAGGTTACTCATAGGCCTGCTGTTCCCTGTTAGACCATAAACCCAGGACAATGCCTTGCACCCCGGAGCTTTCTATTCTGACCCATCTCTCCTTTCAGCTCTTGGCTGACTTCAGCTCCGTGCATCTTCAGTCACCCTGTGCCCTTTGGAAAGGGAAAAGAGGATAGGAAAGAACATTTATTGAGCACTGACTCATGGCCAGTCACATGCCAACTCCGCAGAACTGACTGCCTTTAATCTCTCAACAAGCCCCTAAAGCAGGACGTACTATGCCCATTTTACAGAAGAGGACACTGAAGCTCAGAGGGGTCAAGTAACCTGGCCAGTATCACACAGCTTGTATGCACAGACTGGGCTTCAAAAACACCACTCACCCAACTCCACATCCTGTGCTCTACCTGATCCAGGAGCAGATGTTCAAGCAGAGAGTTGGGCACAAGGAGCACTGGCCTAGGAGTCTGGAGCCCAGGCTTCTGCTCTGTAAGTCACTGTTGTGTGACCTTGGGCAAATCACTTTCTGTCTCTGGCCTCAGTGCCTTCTTGTGTCAAATGGCAGAGCAGGAATCTGATGGCCTGACTGTTTCCTCTGCCAGGCCCTGACTTGGATGAATGGGCCTTTGGAGGCAGAGCAGCCACAACAGCGAGAGGCTGAGTAGTCCTGTGCAGGAGGCCAGGCTCTGCCATCCCTCCCTCTGCCCACCCAGGCAGAGCTTCTCTCCAGGGTAGGATCCAGCTTCAGCCGGCTCTGGCTCTTTAGCAATTAAGGGGTGTAATAAATATGGCAGCTCATAAACGGACTACCTGTATTTATTGTGTACCACATTCATTGCAGATTACATCTCATGGCCCGGGCTTGCGGAGTGCTGGGCTCCCAGACAAATGCAATCAAAGGAGACATGTCTCCTGGGAAGAGCCTCCCACAACCTCAAAGGTGAGTCAGGTAGGAAAATAGATGATGTGAGCCTGGGGGCCGGTGAAGAATATGGAGGCCCGGGTTCCAGTTTCAGAGCAGGGTGGATGAGTAAAAAGAGGGCTTTGGTGCCCAACAGGGGATTGTGTCCCAGCTCTGCCAAGCTTAGCTGGTGGGGCAAGTTACTAAACTGCATACAACTGAATTCCTTCTCTGTAAAGTCAGGATAAAAACAATGCCTTCCTCGGCCGGGCGCGGTGGCTCACGCTTGTAATCCCAGCACTTTGGGAGGCTGAGGCGGGCAGATCACCTGAGGTCAGGAGTTTGAGACCAACTTGGCCAACATGGCAAAACCCTGTCTCTACTAAAAATAACAAAAATTAGCTGGGGGTGGTGGCAGGAACCTGTAATCCCAGCAACTCGGGAGGCTGAGGCAGGAGAATTGCTTGAACCCAGGAGGAAGAGGTGGCAGTGAGCCGAGATCATGCCATTGCACTCAGCCTGGGCAACAAGAGTGAAATTCCATCTCAAAAAAAAAAAAAAAAAAAAAAAAAAAAAAAGCCTTCCTCAAGTTGTATGGAAAATACTGAGCACAGGGCTTGGCACATGGTAGCTAATAATAGTAACCACTGGCATACACTGAGTTCTTACTATGTGCCAGGGAACACACACAATTTCATTGAATCCTTGTAAAGCTCTGGGAAGTAGGTAATGTCATTCTATTTTTCAGAGGAGGGAACTGAGGCTCGGAGAGGTGGAATCACTTGTCTAAGGTCACACAGTACAGAAGTGCCTGAGCCAGAATTTGAACCCACGCCTGTCTTAATCTGGGGCCACAACTCCTAATCAGCATTCTCAATGAATGAGAATTCCCTTGCCCCATTCATCCATCCTCCTCCAAAGTGCAGACCTGTCTTCACACCACCTATGCCATTTGATCTCCCATTATTCTCCAGCAGGGACAGCCTCCCAGGCCATCACCCACCGCCAGGCTGAAGCCTAGAGACCAGGGCTTGCCTGCTCCATCCCCTATAGAGGCCTACTGAATGTGGGGACACACCTCCACAGCCAATTGGTCAGACTAGAGTGACAGACACATGGGACCTCCAATCCCTGCCTGGCTGTTAGCTCCACCCATCCA
Organism: Homo sapiens; assembly: GCF_000001405.40. NCBI lineage: Eukaryota > Metazoa > Chordata > Mammalia > Primates > Hominidae > Homo > Homo sapiens. The sequence goes on along the minus strand of NC_000011.10, from coordinate 44,900,099 downwards.
TGGATGACTTCTAGAAGTTAACTTCACGGCACAGTTTCCTAACTTACTTCTAAAGGGAGGGAAACCATGGAGAATCTCTGGAGGGTGGGGCGAGAAGAAAATTGAGACTATGAGGTCCAAGAGCTTTGTTATTGCTCAAAAAAGCGGCACTTAGAAAGGAGATGGTGGGCCTGTCTGCTGTGGGACATGATGCCCTCCCTGGGGCCAGTGGTGGGAGGCCCATCAAAGTCTCCCAATTTCCCTGAGCTAAAGGGTCCCTGAAGGGAGAGTAGCAGTGTGGGTGGGGCCTGTAGGGTCAGGTGGGACCCGGCCTATCACTTTCTTGCCTCATGACTATGGGTGAACTACATAACCTTTCCAGGCCTTTGCTTTCATGCCTGCAAAATGGGGACAGGAATGCTGACTTCCTCTAGAAATTGTGCTGAGCATGAAATGGTATCATAGAGGTACAGTCCCTCATACAGCACTTGACACATGGTGGCTCCATCCTGGCTCTGGGCTCTGTTCCTCCCTCCTGCCCCGCCACAAGGTGGCTCCTCCCAGCTGCTCTCCTAGACACCAGGCACATCAGCTTCAGCCTCAGGAGAGGGGAGGACTCTGGGGTGGAGGATTTTGAAGCAGGGAGAGTGACTGTGTTCAATGGTGCTCAAACTGGGTTCCTGAGACTAGCAACATCCTAAAGTTATTTTCAATATTTCAAATAACATCTCAGACATCAACCTCTCACCATGGGCTGACTCAAGGGGCAAGTGTCTTGGGTTTTGGAGCAATTAGACTACCCCCAGGTGGGGACCTTGTTTATTGGGTTGTTCAGAATATCTGGCCACCATGTCTGTATGACTTTGCAGAACAAAAACGAACATGCTATTTGGTGCATAAAATTCTTTAAATCCTGGGGCTCAGAGGGATGAAATGCAGGAGTCAGCATCAGAGGCAAGCTTGACTTAGTGGGAATTCCACTCCCTGTTTGTACCCGGAAAGCACTGGAGAGCAGTTTAGGTGCTGTGGTCTCCCTGTCCTTCCATGTGACGTCTGCCTCAGGATCTGCTCTGTGGATCCTGTGGTCTGAAGGTTCATGTGCCTGTCACAGCAACCCTCATCTGGCCATGGGAAGGTCCTGTGCTTACAGATGGGTGTCTAATACAACATGACCCTCAGATGCAGCCAACTGTTTCGTGTAAAACAAAACCAGGTGTTTAAGGATGCTATGGTTTGAATGTGACACACATTCAAAAGTCATATTGAAACTTAATACCAGATGTAACATAATGAAGAGGTGGGGCCTTTAAGAGGTGATCGGATCTCAAGGGTTCTGCCCTCATGACTGGATCAATCCACTCATGGATTAATGGGTTATCACAGGAGTGGGTTGGTCATCCTGAGAGTGGGTCTGTTATAAAAGCCACTTTGGCATTCTCAGCCCCCTCGCCATGTGATGCCCTGCACCGCCTTAGAACTCTGCAAAGAGTCCCCCGGCAGCAAGATGGCCTTCATCAGGTGCAGCTGCTTGACCTTGGGCTTCCCAGCCTCCAGAACTGTAAGAAATAAATGCCTTTTCTTTATAAATTATCCAGTCTCAGGTGTTCAGTCATAGCAACAGAAAACACACTAAGACAAAGGATTTCAAGGGAACTTCAGGTAAACTTCTGACACTACTGTTTGTGTAAGTGCTGACTTAGATCCAGCTCTTGTGTAACTTACATCACCAGCATATCAATAAAAGAAGTTCTTAATCGTCAAAGGTTGGGAAGCACGATCTAGCCCAATACCCTCATTTTGGAAATGAGAAAACTGAGGCCGAGAGAGGGAAAAGGAGCTTGGCCAAGTTCCAAAACCAATTAATTAGTCATGGATATGAACTTGGAAGCCCAGCCCAGTGCCCTGTGGGTACAGCACATACGCTATGTGCTACTTATTTATTTTGGGAGCATGCATCTGCCTTTATTAGAATGCATGTTTCATAAAGGCATGGACTTGTTTTGTTCACTGGCTTATTTCTAGTGTCTGGAGCAGTGCCTGGCACATAGTGGGTCCTCAATTATATATCTGGATGAATAGATGAATGAATGTATAGTGGGAAAAGAGCAAAAAGAGACAGTGGAGTCAGCAAATCAGAGAAATACACAAAGCCAAGTCAGAAAGAGAGGGAAAGACCGAAGGAGACACAGAGGCAAACAGGCAGATTGGAAAGGATCAGAGTGGAGATGGGACCGTGTCAGGTGATGGGGCAGAGGTACACTGAGAAGGGAGAGGCTATTGCCAATGTGTCACCTGGGCAGTTCTTCGGGCATCAGCAGGACAGACTCTCCCGTCAGCGAGGCTTGTGTATATTTCTTTTATCGGCCCAGCTTGTCCAATAAGAGAAAATATTCAATTACTACAGGAAGTCAATAAAGAGCAGCCCCATGAAAGGAGCTGTTTATGAAAACCCGCCCTCCAGATACACACACTCGGGGCAACTGTCCTGCTAATCTGGGCCCATTAGAGCTCATGAAAAGCTCTCAGCACCTGAGGCCACTCCAGCGGGGGAGTGGCCTTCTGCCCAGATGGCAGCTCCTGGGTGCCTTTGCAGGTGCTGCCTTGGAAGGCACATCTTTAATAGACTTGCAGATTCTAGCATGGGCTTCATGTATGCTGACACGGCTGCACATGAGGCTGATGGCCTGGGAGGAGATGATGGGTGTGAGTAACCTGCATCCATGGATGCCACCCAGGCATCCACAATACTTCAGCAGAGAGAGTGCCAGCAGGGCCCTGTTCATCAACTTCCTCCCCCAAAACCCAGACTCCCAGGAGAGAGAGATTTGATGCTGGAAAGTGTTTCTTGGCTTTGCATAAGGATTTGTGAGAAGGTTCCTTCAGAGGGCCAGCTCCCAGCAGTGGAAATGAGGGTTCGATTTCAGAAGTCAAAACAGGCCCATATGGAGACTCCTGTTCTATCACTCCTGCGGGGAATTCCACAGCCAGCTCCTGCTCAAACTTTGGGTTAGAGGACAGTCCCAGGAAGACCTGGGACCTGGGGAAGCCTGGGCTGTGGGGGTGTTCCTAGGGAAGGAAGGGAGAGATATCCATGTCTATCCAAAATCCCTCCAAGTACGAGCCTGCCTGGGGTCAGTGAAGGGGTGGTGGGTGAAAGATTCCTCCCCATTTACCCATCCCTCCCTTCCTCCCTCAACCCACCCACTCACCCACCTACCATCCACTCAGTAGACGTACACTGAGTTGCTACTATGTGCCAGGGGCTGTGCCAGAGAGTGTGAGGTGCAAATAAGCATGGGCACACAAGTGAGTGGTGGTAGTGGTGGTGGTGGTGGTGGCAGCGTGGAGGAGACAAGGAGGCAGATAACAGCAGGGCTGGGGAACCCACAGTGGGGAGGACTAACTCCACCGGCATAACTCTGGGCAGAGGGGAGAGGAACTGTGGGGAAGGGGATGGTGAAGGCTAGTCTTGGGGGAGTGCAGAGGTAGAGATGGGAAGATGGAAAGGCAGGAGAAGAGGCCTCCCTCCTGAGACATGGCCACAGCCCCGGGAGCTGGCACCCCTATTTGGCCTAAACATACCTATGTGACAGGCCCTTCAACTGCCTGCCCCATCTGTGTGCACCAGCTTCAGGTACTCCGTGCACTTGGGGTACAGTGCTGGCATGCGTGAGCCCATGAAATGCTCAGAACAACCCTATGAAGTAGGTATCACACCATCATCCCCACAGTACAATGGGGAAACTGAGTCCAATGGGAAAAGAGAGAGAATTGACTTGTCCAACATCACACTGTTGGTAAGTGATGGGGCTGGAATCCAAACTCAGGGGTCAGAGTCAAAAGTGGCGTTTACAGAAAGTGCTTTCTCTTCCTGTGTGATCACAATGAATCCTCACAATAGCCCACGAGGCAGGCTACCACAGGTTCACTGGGGTCAGTGAAGGGGTGGTGGGTGAAAGATTCCTCCCCATTTACCCATCCCTCCCTTCCTCCCTCAATCCACCCAGTCAGCCATCTACCATCCACTGAGTAGATGTACATTGAGTTGCTACTATGTGCCGGGGAAGTGCCAGGGAGTGCAAGGTGCAAATAACCATGGGCACACAGGTGAGTGGTTTTTACAGAATGAAATTGAGGCTTGGAGATGCCAGTGACAAGGCCAAGCATCCTCGGGAGATTTCAAGCTGTTTCCAGCTTTGTAGTTCAGGGCCTGCACCCCATGCCCAGCCCCAGGGCTCAGGGAAACAAGGACGGGGTGATGGGTTTCCTGCCGCTTCTCTTCTCCTGCTGCATCCCAGTCCTGGTCCCCTGTATCACCATTCCCTGCCTCATCTCCGTCTGGACACTGAGGCTGATATGAGAAACATGGATGACATAGGCCAACCCAGAGACAAGGAGGAGATGCTGAACTCTGGGGAATGTCTGGCGGTTGCCTGCCTCCTCCCCACCAGGGAGCTCCAGCCCCTTTGAATGCTGTACCCTGGCTGGGAATGGGCTCACCCCTTGTGGTGTCCCAACTTCCCTGAACTAACTTCATTTCCCTTTTTTTCTTTGTCCTCTGTGAGCCCCCATCCTATTGACTGGCTCATTTGTCCTGGAAGAGGACAGCCCAGTGACACCTGCCATGCTCACCCCATCACTGATGCTTCTGCAGAGGCTGGGTTGGTTTCTGCCTTGGCCAGCTCCCTGGAGACCTTGGGAAAGTCACCCCCCTCTCCAAGGTGCTAGGTTCTCCTTGGAAAACTGTGATGATGAATTTGGAAGCCAAAGGTGGTTGTAAGAATTCACAGTACCATGGGAGCTATTATTATCAGCAGCATCAGATATTGGAAATAAGTGGATGCCCAGCCCACATTCACCAGTTATGAATGGAGCAGGGTATAGGGGAGAACCATGGACACATGGCTTGGGTAGCGTGGATACAAACATCTTTCCCCTAAACAGACCCAAATTCTAACAAATTGCCACAATTTTGTGGTAACTGAGCCTAATAACTACTAGGATTGAGGTTTTACCATGTACCAGACTCCACTATACCTTTCTCCTACCTGTCCTCTTATTTAATCCTTACCTAGGAGGTGGGTATTATTATTATCCCATTTTACAGATGAGGAAACTGAAGCGTGGGCAGGGTAACTAACTCGTCTGAGTTCATTTACCTGGTTAGCAAAACATGGCTATGATTTAGCCCCAAGTCAGCTGGACCCCAAACCAGAGCTCCTGATACGACACCTATCCGTGGGGTGTGGCACCAGAGACAGGAAGCGCCGTGCCCCAGTCTGCAAAGTCTCCAGCCCAGTGCTGCTCTTCCCTGAACCAGGCAGCGAGGCACAGAGGCCCAGGAAGTTGGCTAAACTTCTTCCCTGAGCCAGCTGGAGGCCCTTGGGGATGGCCCAGGCCGGCCATCCCTTGACAGATGGGAGCCCTGAGGCCCAGAAAGGCACAGAGATGGGACCGAGGTCACGCAGTGCCTCGGGGCTTTCCTCGGCGGACCCCTGCCCGGGCCAGACAGCTTTATTAATCTCGCCCCTCCTGTCGCCCAGATGGCGGCTCAGCCCCATCTGCACGGAGCAGGGGCCCAGGAGGGGCTCTCTGATTAAGAAGAACAGCTCAGTTCATAAATCACTCCTTTTACTTTCACTCCCCCCCGCCCCCAGGCATGCTTTCTAGAGAGAAGGAAAGGAGGCGGCCGGACAAGAGAGATGGAGAAGCCCCCAGTGGAGGAAGGTTTGGGCTGGTGCAGAGCCGAGAAAGGGCTTGCACGTGCCCTGGCCAGGAGAGGGCGCTGTGGCCAAGGGCAGAGCCTCAGAGGACCGTGTGTTCCCCTGCAACTGCGTTCCCACCAGTGGGGGATCTGCCTGTGCCAGCCATAAGCCTGAGCCAGACGCCTCACCTCCAGAGCCTCACCTCCGCATCTGGGAGGTGGGGATGTTCAGAACTAACTTCTAGGATCCTTTCCAGGAGGATGCAAGGGGATGATGAGGGTGAAAGGACTTGACAGGCTGCACACCCCGTTCCCTCCTTCCTGCGCTCCCGGCACCAACAGCGCCAGCCCTGGGCTTGGTCCAAGGCATAGGGACCAAGGGCTGCCCTTCCTCAAGGACTCACTCAAGTCTAGTGAGACTCAATCACCGCAGTCCCTACTTGGAGAGAAGTGTTAATGGCCACATTAACCCAGTGTCCTGGGCTTGCCAGGCAAGATACAGAAACGAAACCCTGACTGCCAGGGTGAGGCTGGGGTCGGGAGAGCCTAGAATCAGGGAGGCCATGTGGGGAGGACTGGGACAGGGTCAGCATTTACTAAGGCCTGATATTAACGCAAGGCAATGTATTATGGGCGTTCACTTAAAATGATCTCACTTGATCCTCCAAAAAGCTCTACAAAGTAGACGATATTATCATCATTCCCTTTTAGGGATGAGGAAACTAAAGCTTCATGGGGCTAGAAAGGTCCCAGAGCTGGGAAGAGATGGAGCTGGGATTTGTAGCCAGGTTTTGCTGGACTGCAAACCCACATCTTTTCCTTGGTCAGGACGCCGGCCCGAGGCCTAGAAGACTAACAATGATTCTTGCCATCAGGTTCAAGGCTGATGGGGAGGACTTATTTGCTCACTGGCTGTGCCTGCTGGGCCTCATCCCAAGACAGACGGTCTCATAAACAAGCAATTGGCCTGAGATCCTGGCGTGCCTGGTGCTGGCACCAACATGGGGACATGGTCACAGCTGAGCGGGGGATAAAATCTAATTAGGCTCCTGAGGGGCGGGTGCCTTAAGGATTAACCAGGAGCACAGCCTGCTGTGGATGCAATTGGATCCTAAATGACAGCCTCCCCTGCCCCCGCCGGCTCATGGAGCTGTGAATGTCAAGGTGGCACAGAGCATCTGCAGGCTCTGGGAAGGACCCCTCTCTAGTCTGTGAGTTGAGCCAGGATGGGCACCCTGTCCCTGCCACCAGCCCTTTCCTCTGTCCCATGTAGAACACCCACAGGGCCATCAGAGAATCGTCAAAGAAGGAAGCATCTTAGTGAAGGTTGTCTCCAACTCCTCATTTCACACTGCGGGAGCTGAGGCCCAGAGAGGGACGGGCTCTTGCCCAGAGTCACACAGCACAGCTAGAACGAGGACCTCCTGACATGAAGCCCGCTGCTCTTCCCACCAATTGAGGCAGCCTCCCAGGACTTATTACACCTGCACGTAGGTAACTCCTGAAAGTGCTTTATACACTTTATGTCATCAGACCCTCTCAACTACCCTGCGAGGTGAGCAGTCATGTTTTACAGATGAGGAAACTGCGGCTCACTAGCCTGAAGTCACACAGTAGGTTGGAGGACCTGCTGGGACAAAATAAGGTTCCTGGCTCTTCTGCCCTGGCTGTCTTCCAGAGGACTCTGAGCCCCCAATCCCCAGGGTCACCCTCAAACAATCCATGCCTCCCATCCCCCATAGACCGGGGCTGGACTTAAGCCACAGAAGGTGCCAGTCCCAGACACAGGTCGGAGGTCCCTCTGCCTGTCTTAGGCACTAGACATTGTACTGAGACCACCTGTTTGCAAAGGCCTCTGCGGACAAAGCTCTTTGCCCTCTTTCAGGGACTGTTACTTTGCCACTTTGTCAGAAGGCAAGGCAACCTGGGAAACCCACGCAGTTTGAAATTGGGGGGAGCACAGAAGCACGGAGGTCACTCCATTAGGAAGAGTGTTTGGCCTGAGGACACTAGCGTCCACCTCCAACAGCCAAGTGTAGTTGAAGCAGGCCAAGCAACCAAGTCCAGGGGCCTGGGAGGAATGGCGCGGGTCAGAGTGAAGCCACCCTCTCTGCTCAGGATGCCTACCTACACCCTGTCATGTGAGCCCAGCAGAGCCCTGCAGGAAAGGTGCCTGGCAGCCAAACTGGTGATCTGGGGAAAGGCAGGTACCAGGAGGAGAGAAGCAGACATCCAGGTGTGGCAGGGAAACCCCAGTTCTGGGAGATGGTATAAGCACCAGGGGATAGGAAGGAAGGTTGACTCAGCCTGCTGTGGGGAGAGCAGACAGCCCCGCAGCCTCCCACAGCCTTGGGGAAGGGGCTGTAGGCACAAGGGGGCAGGTGGCCTGGCTGCTTCCCTGGGGTTCAGAGAGCATCCACTCAGTGGCCTCCCTGAGTAGTCAAAGAACAAGCTTCCTCCAACCAACCACTATTCTTGTGGTAATTCACACCATAACACTCTTGATTCATTCACTCCTGCCTACGTTCGTGCTTTTGTTCATTTCCCATTTAGTGAGCATCCTTGGCCTTTGCAGGAGCCTCACTGGCCAGAAAGAATGGAAGGAGTGACCCCTAGACCTGAGGTCTGGGGGATCAGCCAGCAGCAGCCTCTGAAGTTCCTCTGGTGATGGATAGCCCTGCTCTGGCTGCTCCAAAGCGTCCCTGTGTCCTAGTCCCTCAGGAACCCCCTATACACACACATGGGCTGACGGCCACAGCAGTCCCACCAATCCTCACCGTGTCCGCTGCCCAGCCTTGCACAAGCCAGAGCTTCTGGCAACACCTGCTCTGGCTCACCTGGACTGAGTCTTGTTTCTTATCCTCCAGGTTGCCTCCCTGAAGGTTTTTGGAAATTTCATGCTAACCAGAGCCTGGGTTTCCACAGCTCTTTCTGTACACCTGGCCTTGAACTAAAGGCATACAGGTCCTTACAAGAATCTAGAGGGTGTGTCCACTCTCCGCTGACCTGTAATTGAACTGGGCTTAGAGATGGTGTGCAACCTACCTCACATCATTCAGTCAGGCTGCAAAAGCCATCTGGCCTGACTCCAAAGCCCAGCACCTAGCCCCTTAGCAAGGATCTCTCCCATCCACCCCCACCCTTCGGCAGTCTCGTGAGGCCTCTGGACCCCACCTAAATATAATACATAAGATTAAAAAGGAAACCATTTATATTGAAATAGAGCTATCAGAAACTTTATCTTGGGGGACAGGGTCTCGCCCTGTTGCCCAGGTTGGAATGCAGTGGCATGATCATGGCTCACTGCAGCCTCCAACTTCTGGACTCAAGGAATCCTCCCACCCCAGCCTCTCAAGTAGCTGGAACTCCAGATGCATGCCACTATGCGCAGCTAATTTTTTCCCTTTTTGTAGAGACAGGGTCTCCCTATGACACCCAGACTGGTCTCGAACTCTGGGGCTCAAGCAATCTCCTGCCTTGGTCTCCCAAAGTGCTGGGATTACAGACGTGAGCCACTGTGCACAACCAAAATACTTTTTTAAAAGCAAATTTGGAGTAGAATAATACAAGTGCTTTTTTTAAATAAACATGCAAAACTCAAGATCTAGTGATGGATCTAATAACTATCATCATTTTAAGAAATTCCCAGCAAATTTTTTTTTTTTTTTTTTTTTGAGTTGGAGTCTTGCTCTGTTGCCAAGGCTGGAGTGCAGTGGCGTGATCTCGGCTCACTCCTGGGTTCCGCCCAGGCTGGCAAGCTCCGCCTCCTGGGTTCACGCCATTCTCCTGCCTCAGCCTCCCGAGTAGCTGGGACTACAGGCGCCCGCCACCACGCCCAGCTAATTTTTTGTATTTTTAGCAGAGACAGGGTTTCACTGTGTTAGCCAGGATGGTCTCGATCTCCTGACCTCGTGATCCGCCTGCCTTGGCCTACCAAAGTGCTGGGATTACAGGCGTGAGCCATTGCTCCCGGCCAAGAAATTCCCAGCAATTTTTAGGTAATTTGAAAATATGTACTTAGATCTGTTGATGACAAAGTCACAAGTACTGCTAACAGTACTGTGGTTTGTTGCTTGTGTTCATAATGGAAGAAAATACCCATTTTCAGTGAAACGTTAAAGTGAAGTTATAATATGTTTCTCAAAGTTCACCAATCCCTTGAGTTCTATGGAATACATGGACCCCAGAATGAGAACTTCGTTTGGCCTTGAAGGTAATGGCTCACCTCATCTGTCTTAGCAGTCCAATCTGCCACTCAACAATTCCCGTCCTTCCCCCAGATCATCCTTCTCCTTAGCCCCAGCTCTCAGCAGAGGGACAAAAAGTTTGCAGCAGGAGCAAATGGGACCATGTGCACAGGAAAGAGGCTGGGGATCAAAACCCTAAACTCCATGGAACGAGCCTGTGGGGCAGGACCGTGGCCATCTTCCTGCCTAGGGCAGCCCCAGCCATTCTGGGTCACAGGGAGAACAGGGAGCCAGTCAGCATCGGAAAAGCCCCTGGGAGCTTGCTAACCCTCAGACCTCTGGGACCTAGCCCTAAGATTTGGATTCTGCAGGCTCAATGAAGGGCCCAAGAGTCTCTGTTTTTCTCATATCCCTGGGAGGTCTACAAAGTTAGCTTCAGAGACCACAAGATGAGAAGGCCCCTGAGGTTTATCTGGGGTCCAGGGCTCCAAGCAAGCTGAAAATTATGGCCCCCAAATCTGGGGGACATCCAAGTCATCAGCTAATGGCCCAACTGCCAGTCAAACCCACATGGAACCCTTCCAGGTCATTTCCAGCAGCCAGAGCCCAGGTTCTCTGACATCACCCCATGTGGGCTTTGGCTCTTGGCCTCTGCCCCCTCCTCTTCTAGGCAGCCCAAACTGGATGGTTGATGCCACCGGCCTCCTGCTGGGGCCAGCCAGCCTGTGTCTGGAATGGAGACTTTATTCTCTGGAAACCCTCCTGCCTCCAGAGAGAGCCTGGGGCTGGGGTGTGAGGTGGCCATGGCCTTTTCTGCTTACCCAGAGGTTTGTGGTGGGGAATGGAATGTAGGGAAAGAGATGCTGTGAGCCCTGCTGGAGCCTATGGCTGGGGTGTGTCAGGGACTCTGAGATGTCCACCTCAGCCCTGAAATCATCTTCAAGGAGAGGGGTTTACATGGGGACCAGGAGGACCTTGCAGGACTGGCCTTATCCTCTTGGGCCCACTTCCTAAGGGGGTGCCCCCAGGACCAAGGGTGGGAGAAACAGGCCATCTGTATTAATCCGTTCTCACACTGCTATAAAGAAATACATGAAACTGGGTAACTAAAAGACTCACAGTTAGGCATGGCTAGGGAGGCCTCAGGCAACTTACAATCATGGCGGAAGGCACCTCTTCACTGGGTGGCAGGAGAGAGAGGCGAGTGTGAGCACAGGAAAAACTACCATTTATAAAACCATTAGATCCCGTGAGAATTCACTCACTATCATGAGAACAACATGGCGGAAACTGCTCCCATAATCCAATTACTTTCCTCCCTCGACACATGGGGATTACAATTCAAGATGAGATTTGGGTGGGGACACAGCCAAACTATATCACCATCCTCGTGGTTTTCTGGTGCATCCATCCCACCTGGGTCTCAGAGCTGCCTTGGAATTCAAATCCTGGACAGGGAGCTGAGCCAGAAAGTAACTTAGAGGTTACCCCAATTCTACAGCTCAGGAGACTGTCCAGAGGGGAGGGGACTGGCCAAGAGGCTCATAGCAAAATCAGAGCTGAATGGTGTAGCCAAGGCTTCCAACCTAGGTACTCCTGGCCACACACCAGGCAACCTCCAAATGCAGCCCAAGCCAAGCCCAGCCCCAGGGAAAGGTGACTCTGGACTCGCTGCTGTTGAACCTTCTCTACCAGATTATAAACCCTTTGGTGATCGGGACTGTTTCTCCCACTTCCTCTGAGTCCCTTCAGAGAATACAGGGGGTACTAGATGGTGCCCCCCAATAAGGATTCAGTCATTATAATAATGTTGTCAGTGTCATAACTGCTCCTGCTTCACGTGTGCCAGGAACCATACTAAGCACTTTCCAACATCACCTGAAAAGTGGGTGAATTATTCCTGAGTTACCCAGGGGTAAACTGAGGCTCAGAGAAGGTGAGTAAGCTTCCCACGTGGCCCAGTCGGTGAGAGAAGAACAGGGTCTCAGATGCCAGAAGGCACATGGCTGCTAAAGTCCCGGGCACCTGCCGGCTGATGGGCACTCACAAGGCAGAAGCAAGTGGTGAAGAGGAGGAGTTGGCAGCCCCGAGTCCTGGGTTAGAGTCAAGACCCTGAAAACTCGGGCAAAGCCTGCCCTCTCTCTGACTCAGTTTCTGCCGCTTCTCACAGCCAAGCCTCAGAGTGGGGCAGGAGCTGCCTCACCTCCTCCCTTCCCACATTGCATCCCCACCAGGGCCTGGAGCTCTGAAAAAGACCCTTTGAAAGACAATAATCCATCCCAAAATATGCAGGGCTGTTGCTGGGACAACCTGGCCCACCACACTGCCCAGATTTAAATATTTAATGGCTTCACGGGTATTAAGGGGGCCTGGGAACTAGGAGGGAAAGGGCACAGTTCTGAGCCAGGGGAGCGCTGGGTACTCCTGCCAGCACAGCCTCATTCCCAGCCCTACCCCAGCAGAAAAGGGTGCAGGGAGCTTCCGGCTTTCCTTGGTGCATTTAGTGTCAGACAGGATAAAGCAGGTGGTATTTGGAACCCAGGGAGAGGGTGAGACACAGAATTCCACACTGGGGCTATGCAAGGGTCAGGAGAGGGGAAAGGCGGGCCCCAGGGAGAGTTTCCCTTTTGCAGGTGAACACAGGAAACTTACTTTTACCTCCTAAATGCCTACTGTGCAGTGGACACTGTGCTAAGTTCTTACATTATCTCCTTTGAACCCCACTATAGTCTATGAGTCAGGCATATTATTATTCCCAGTTGACAGCTGAGAACACTGGGGTCAGAGAGATGAAGTGACTCCCCCAAGGCTATACCACTGCTGAGGAGCTCCAAAGCCAGTGCTCTTTGAGTACAGTCAGCATGTATGAAGCACTTTCTACAGGCCAGGCACTGGGTTAAGGACGTTGCATGTTCTAATTCACTTGGCCCTTGCAATGTCCCTATCAAGTAGGCATTGCCACCCCCATCTTACAGATGTGGAAATTGAGGCCCTGAGAGGGGAAGTAGGAGCCAAGATCAGAGGTTGGGGCATGGGGCAGGGGCCCTGGATTCAGGCCTCAGCAGTCGATTCCAGAGCTGAGGCTCTTCATCTAGCTCTTATTAGCCGAAATTTAGAAAGTCAGATAATAAAAAATAAAAATCAAATCTAAAATCCTTTTTCACTCTGGTACTTTGTCCAAGTCCTCCCCAGTTGGTTAGGACAGCAAGAGTAAATTCTTCCAACAACTCCATAATGAAGATGAGTCAGCTGGAGTTCTGGCTCCAGCCTCTTGCTCTACACACAGAGACACGTGCAAACAAACCCACACAGACAATATATACCCAGGCACACAGACAAGCTGTGGATGCAGATCACACACACACACTTATGTGCACATATTGATATGGCCACTGATCACTTTCCTGCGTGAATGAACTAACTATAGTGTCATGAAAAAGACATTCAAAGTCATTTGGCCAATGCCTCTGTGAATATCAAGACTGTTTCTCAACAGCCAAACTGACCTTATTCTTACAGATCTTTAGGAAGGAAGGCAACCCCCACAACCTTATTCCCACGTCTCCTCCTTAAGTGGGGAAGTCCTTCCTGGCATCTAACCCAGATTCCTTCCTCCTTTACATGAATCACAAAACATCTCTTTGCATTGATTCTCTGCTTCACAGCCCCGAAAGCCCTCCGTGTTTATGTTCTTGCTTGATCCCCACAACCGTCCAGCAAAGCCAGCACAGCAGAGATGATTCTATTTCCCCAGGAGTGGTGCCCAGAGAAGTTAAGCAGTTTGCCTGAGATGACACAGCCGTGTTGGAGCCGTGCTTGCTTGGGATGAACTAAGTGGCGCGCATTTGATTTTACTGCTGATTTCACAGCTCCTTCAGCTACCCCAAGCTGCCATCAATGTCCCATCAATTTCACTTTGTCTGCTCCTCTCTGCAATGAGCTTTCTCAGCTCTCAGCCTGTGTTCAGTAAAGAGACGTTGCTGGTCTTGTGTCACGTCTCCTCCTGCCTGAATAATGCTCGTGTGCAGCATGAAGGAGAGGTCTCTCAGAACTCAAGGGCCTGAAGCTCCCAGAAGCTTCCAGATCCAGAGGCAACAGGTGTCTTCCGGTCCCAGGGAGGGCAAGTTTCCTGAACCTCGAAGGCAGGCAGACAGTGGAGGCCTCCCTTCCTTCTCACAGCATCCTCCAGCTCCAAGGCAGGCTTCCCCCAACCCCCAGGGCCCAGGAACTGTCATCAGAGCAGAAATCAAGCCCAGTCCCAGGCCTCACCCCACAGGGCATCTGCCCCATTGATATTTGCTTGGTAATAAATACTGGAGACAGAGGGTCTTCTCAGGGCAACTGCAATTGATTCTAGTCACCTGGCCCGAATTAGGGGCGGCCACAACCCCTTCCCATAAGAGGAATGACTACAGGTACTCAGAGCTCAAATTATGGAGGGTGAACAACCGGAAGACAGAGAGACCGTGACAGAAGCACCCTGCGTGGCTGAGAAAAGCCTGCGAGGAAATGAATCAAAGAGAGAACCTGGGGCTTGGGCCTCAGTAGATGGACAGGAGGGAGTCAGAGAGTCCTGTTTTCTTTCCTCCCCATAAAAAACATCCCAGCTGCTCCTTGGAGTCATAAAGAAAGATGTGCTTCAGGGGTTGGGGGAGGGAGAGGGCTGGGCTTGGAAAGAGACAGGCAGGGGGCTGAAACAAAGGGAAGCTGAGAAATGCCTCATCCTTCCACAGAGGACCGGTCACCAGCTCCACCAACCCGTCAGGCTCTCCAGGCCCGGAAGGACGCTGGCAATCCCACCAGGAAGCCCAGGGATAAGCAAGGAGTCACCCTTTCAGAGCACCAGGACAATATTTCTACTTTTCTTTGGGGGAAAAAAAAATAATAGTAACAATCATCATTATCTTCTCCAGGTCTTAGTTCCTCCATCTGTGGAATGGGGACAGAAATCCCCACCTGGCTCACCTCATGGGAGCTGGGCAGGATGGAAGGTAATAAATACCGGAGAAGGGCTTAGGGAAGGGACATCGATGTGATGGGGACAAGAGAGGATGTGCCAAACACTGGTCTAGAGCGGTGTTGGTAACTTTTTCCATAAGGGGCCATATAATACCTATTTTAGGATTTGGCGCCATATTGTATCCATCACAGCTACCCAGATCTCCTTTGGGTTGAGAAAACAGCCATAGAGAGCACGTGGACAACTGGGCATGACTCTGGGACAACCCCACTTTAGTTACAAATTAACACTGGGCAGGATCTGGCCCACAGGTTATAGTTTGTGGAACCCTGACTTTAAGAACTATTGAGGGAGTGACTTTGGGCTAATGCAGAGGACTCTCAGTGAATGTTTTTCCCTCTGTTGTGTGGGGACAGAGAATGGAGAGAGAACAGAACTGCCTATCCAGAAAGCTGGGTTCAAGCCCCATGTGGCTGTGCAGCTTCTGGCAAGTCTCTGCACCTCTCTGAGCCTCAGCAGCCTCATCTGGAGCATAGGAATAAAGATGGCACCCACCTCCCAGTGTCATCATGAGGGTCAAATGAGGCCCTCATGGGTCACAGGCAATGCCCTTAGCAATGAGAAACACTGGGCAAGTGGTGGCTGACTTAAACCTCTGCAGGGAGAGCTCTGGCCGTGACTCCTGGGAGCCGGTGAGGTTTAGCCAAAGCCCCGAGTGGGGAATGTGAGGGGCTGAACCGCACAGGGGGGATCTTTCCAACAGAAGAGGCTAAAGGAACTGGAGGAAGTCGAGCTGATCGCCCATCGAGGCCAGGGGCCTGACGCTGCTGCCCTGTTTGAAAACAGCAAGCCCCTCTACCCCCACCCCTGTACCACATGGGAACAGAGCTTTGCTGCATAAGGGTTGCCAGAGGACCAGGCAATGAAGGCACATGGAACGGTTGTGCTGAGATCTGTTTGGGCAGCTTCGGTCCGCCTGCCTGCTGTGGACCTTGGCCCCGTCTCTGGGGCCATAATGGATGACAAATGACCCATCCAGAGCATATGATAAGCCAAAGGTGTGCACTTTGATTAGCCTGCTGTGCCTGGGAAGGTCTCTTCCCTGCTCTGCTGAGGCCCAATAGCAATTAGAAGGGGCAGGGAGGCTGGAGGCAGTGTGGGCAGACCTGGGGCAGAGAGGAGGCTGGGCCCCTGGCACAGATGAGCCAGTCGTCTCCTGTGCATCCCTGGGGAAGAGACGGTATGGCAGTAATGGTGATGATGGCAATAAGAGTTAATACAGAGTGCTTGCTAAGTGCCAGAAACGGTTGTAAATACCTTGCATCTGTTAACTCATTTAATTTTCACAACAACCTACAAAGTAGGTACAATTATTATGCCTATTTTACAAATGAGGAACCAAGGCACAGAGATGTGAAGTCACTGGTCCTGAGTCACACAGTGATTAAGCTGGCATCCGAACCTAGGCAGTCTCTCCAGCATCCGGGCTCAGAGGTGTCCAAGTCCCAAAGCTGGTAGGGCAAAGCGTGGAGCAGAATCAGAAACCCCAGTAGAAAGAGCGTTGTAGTGGGAGTCAGAGGACCCAGGGTCTGGCCCTTGCTCTGCCACTAACCAGACTCTGATGTTGAGCAAGTTACTTGCCTGCCTTGGGCTTCTCTGGGAACACATCATGCAGAGTGGCTGAGGGACCCAGAGTGGCCTGGGTGGAGTTGTCTCTGCCACTTACTACCTGTGTGGCCTTGGCCTTTCTGAGCCTCAGCACACCCTGTAACCTCACAGGTCATTGTGAATGTTGAGTGAGACCACACCGCATGAAACACGGAAAAGAAGCACGCGCTGTTATGACTCATTTGGAAGCCACACCTTTTGCTATCTACCGAGGGCCACTGTGCCATGGTTTCACGGTTCCCAGTGCCAATGTTGCAGAAACATCTAGGTGCCACTAGCTCCATTTCTGGGAGGAAAGGATTCAGGTATTGTCCTTTTGGAAATGGAAATGGTGGTCTGAATATTTGATGAGCCAGCCTCGTCATTTAAAAATGTACATATAGCCCAATCCGTGGCTTGCAGAGCTAAGAAACGTCACTAAAATGGAAGGATCCAGGTTTTAATGAAACAGAACTCTTGGGAGCAGAGGGAAGGTGGGTCTCATCCTGTAAAAGCACTAGATTTCAGGGGCTGTTGTTCCTGCCTCATGGTGCCCAGTGCCTGAGCTTGGCAGGGGAGGTCGCAGGTACAGTCGGGCACACTCATGCTGCCCTGCTAAACACAGACAGCAATGGTGCCTCCACCCAGGAAAGTGCCCTCTGTGTGTCTGAAGTAGGGGTGCTGAAAGCAGGACTCCGACGGGGCTTCAAGCCAGGCTCAAATCAGGCAAACTGGTACCTTTTCTGCAGTTCTTGAGGATGTAAGAACAAAAGGCAGCGCCCTTGGGTCTGGGGGTCTGGGGGTCTGGGTTTAAGTTCAGGCTTCACGGCCAGCCAGCTAGCTTGGTGTCTCGGCCACACCCCACTCTCTGGCCTTGAGTCCCATGTGCCAGGCTGTCCCTCCGTCTCTCTCCATCTCAGAGTCTTGTCTCTCTGTCTCTGCTCTCTCTTCCCTCTTGGAACACACACATACATGCACGCACATGCTCTCTCTCTGTGTGTGTGTGTGTGTGTGTGTGTGTGTGTGTGTGTGTGTCTCTCTCTCTGACCATTTCCTGGTGAGGTGGAACGCTACCTGCTAACATCAGCGGCAACACATCCTCTTAAAGCACACCGCACCCGGGAGCCTGGGCATAAATCCCCTAGCCCTGCCCTGGGACTATGACCCCCAGAGGGAGGTGGCTGCCTTTAATTTAGAGGCTCTGCATGTGTGAACCACTGTACAAAGCCCTGCTTGCCCGAGGTAGCCTCAGGACTGTGGAGACCCGCTGGGAGCAGGGGCCTCAGGGAGCCTCCTCAATGGGAAAAGGAAGAACGGGTAGGTGTTTCATTTCCCCCCAGCTGCCCCTTAATTAAGGAAGAGGAAGTTCCAAGGGGCAGGGACAGGGTTTCCCAGGGACCACATGGATGCTGCGCTTCTAGGGGAATGGGAGGCGGCTTTAGGATGAGGCTGTCCAGGGTCTGATCTGACCCTATCCCTGGGTGCTGTGTGACCTTGGGCAAGTCACTTCACATCTGAGCCCTGGTTTGGTGACTCCAGGACCACCAGGGACCCTAACCACTTGGACAGAGCTGGGTCAGAGAGAGCCTAAGAAGATGGGCCACACTGTGGGAGTTGGGAAGATGATTCTGAATTTAGCCGGAAGTCATTCTTTCACCAGTGACCCCTTCCAAGGTATAATTCCAACAGCAAATGTTATTAGAGAAGAGATTCTATGGGAAACAGGTCCTTTATAGAAGGCATCATATCAGGTTTGCCAAGGTAAATGTTCTGAGAAGAGACAAACCTAAAGTAGAACCTGGATCCTATTTCCTGGGTGCCTGCAACTGGAGACAATGAGGACAGGGTCAAGAACGGTTGGCCCTGGTCTGAATTCACCAACCACCTCCTACCTGTGTGCCCTTGGGCAGGCAGTGCCTCCCCTGCCAGTTGGAAAGGATAAAGCAGGTGGAGCGTGTCTGAACAGTGCCTGGCATACAGCGGGCACTTGCATTGCTGGGCTACAGGTGGCGGAGATGTATTTTCCCATACAGTTCATTGCAGCCTTCCAACAACCTTTTGAGGGACTGATATCCTCAGTTCACAAATAGAAAACTAGGATGAAGACCCTTTTTAGGTCATGTTTCCCTCGGAAATAGGGATGTTGGAGTTCTTTGCTCAACTTCTTGAGTGATGCTCAAAGAAATCCTTCCTTCCCATGACCTGTTCTCGTCATGATATTACAGCTGCCCAGCTGCTCCTGGAGGGAACTGGTGTTCAGGGGCGGCGGCTGAGGTTCGAGGGGTCTGGGGTCTGGGAAGGAGCTCCTCCATCAGCTGTGGAACTGGCTCACCAGGACAGGACTGGCTGGGGACCTAGTTCCAGGAAAACAACCAATAACAAGAGGAGTTTGCACTTCTACAGATCTGCGAGTGCCAGACATGGTTATCCATTCCTGTAGCCCTGGGTGGTCATGCTATTATTGCCCCCATTTCTCAGCAGTGAAGACTGAGGCTCAGAGAGGTTAAGTTACTTGTTCAAGGTCACACACTAGAAAGTGGCAGAGCTGAGATTTGAACACAGGCAGTCAGGCTGCAGAGTCTGGGCTTATAACAACTGCCCAACATTACTGTTCTCCCAGGCAGGACAGCAGGAGTCCCACGCCTGCTACAGGAGGACGGACAGCCAGTCCCTCCAGCCTGCAGGCCAGGCCCTTTGCCCAGCAGCCCTCTGGAGCCACAAGGTGTCATGTTGCCCACCCCTGCAGTCTGCTGTCCTGCCCAGCATTGAGCGGTGCTGCCCTGGCAGGTGGGCTCTCACGGAGGAATCAGTCACTTTCCCATCATACACAATGTCAGGGCTGGAGGCGGCTCAGAGGTCCTTGAGTCCAACCACTTCATTATACAGAGGTCCTTGAGTCCAACCACTTCATGCACAGATGATCGCTCTGAGGACCTGGCCCTGGCCACATAACATGTTCTGAAGGTCTTTGGCAATATTACACGGTGGCTTGGTCTTAAGATTCATCTCTCAGTGGCCTACTTCTCAGCTGAGCTGTGATCAGGTGGTGTGGTTCAGAGGGGACTATCAGACCAGGCCTCCGTACCCAAGGGCTCACACTGGGTGAATATGCCCCATGTGCCAGGAGACCTTCTGTGTGCTTCACCCGCACTCTCATTTACTGCTAATAACATCACTATCATCCTCATTTTACAGATGAGGAGAGGGAGTCCCAGGGAGGTGACACCCCTTCACCAGGGTTATGCAGCTTGGGAGAGGCTAACAGAGCACGAGGGTCTCTCTATCCACAAGCACAGAACTGGCACAGCTTCCAGCCCTGCGTATGGGACCTGGCACCAAGGCTGCCTGGCTGTCCCAGTCTCCAGCATTCCTGCCGTACATCTTGGAGTTCATTGGCGGGGCTACAGCTTGGAAAACCTCACTCAGCGGCCATCCTGGCGCTCTTCTGGCACAGGCACTGTCATGGGTGCCTTTTGGGTTGGTCTTTGACTGTGCAGTTTGTCCAAGATGTGGTAATGGAGGCCCAGGATGGATGACAGGCCAGGATTCCAGAAAGGCAGGCTACTCCTTCCTCCACCGTCCAGCCTCCCCCCAGCGTCGCCTCCTTGGTGCGGTGAGGCTCAGCTGTCTGGGCTGAAACAGCTACTGTCCAGTTGGAGGAGAGAGAGCTGGGAGAGGAGCCATCTCTTGCCTACAGTGGAGGTCCCTGCATGGCAGCTGGCACTCATCCCTTGACCAAAGACAACTTGCCTTGAGTTTCCAGAGGACAACGGGACACGCTTCTTCGTCCGCTTTGCCATCTGGCCTCCAGACACTTATCCTGGGAGGCCACAGACATCCAGCTCTGGCTGAAGGAGTCCTCTACCCCCATGCTGTCATTTACTTACCCCTGCCACAAACTCACAACAGCTTACAAGGCCCTCAGTGACCTGGCCCTGCCTTGTTGGGCTTACCTCCGACCACCCTCCTCACCCTGTTCCAGCCAGCTCCAGCTGCTCTGGCCTTTTCCACCATGGCAAGCACATTCCCGCCTCAGGACCTTGGCACCTGCCGATCCTACTGCCTGGGACTCTCTTCCCCCAGATATTCCACATGGCTCATTTATTCGACTTATTCAGGTCTCTGCTCGAAGACAGAGACCTTCCCTAAGCCCCTCTCACACAAAACCCCACGCGCTCCATCACTGTCTGTCCCCTCTTTGTGGACAGGATCTCCAGCAATGTTTTCTTTCTGTTATTCATCTTCTCTCCCCTTCTCTTGAATGTAAGAGGGCAGGGGATTTCGTTCATGGCTGAATCACAGCACCCAGTATACTGAGTGCTCAATGGATGTTTAGGGAAAGAAGAAGGAGGAAGGAAGGGAGGGAGAGAGGGAGGGAGGGATAAATCTCCGTGTGGGCTTCTTTCACACATTTCTGATTTAACCCTTGCTAAAACTCTGCTGAAACGTGCAGCACCAGCTACATCATTTCTGGGGAGCAACTATATCATTTGCGGGGCTCAGTAAAAACAAGGGGGTCCCTTGTTCAAAAGTTATTAAGAATTTCAAGATGGCAAGGGCAGAGCATCGAACCAACTGTGGGGCCCTTTGAAGTTCAGGGCTCTGTGGGATTACGCAGGTCGCGTGGCTGTGAAGCCAGCCCTGGGGAGGTGCTATTAGCATTTCCATCGTGCTGCTGAGGGATGGGAGGCTCAGAGAGGTATAGGGGTTGCCCAACATCACACACAATGGGGAAGCTCTCCCTTCTCAGTTCCCGCAGAGGCAATGGAAGACAACATGTTACCACCACATTTTTGGAGATTGGGAGACCCAGCCCAGACACAAGAGTGGGAGAGCACATTTGACTATAAATCTCCTGTTTTATTTCACATATTCATGCAATTATTTTGCATTTTACTCCAAAATATACCACATATTTTAAAAATATGATGTTTAAATAAAAAAGTAGGTGTGATCTTCCAAATCTTCAAGAATTAATGTTCTATTAGGATGCACAGGGTGAACCCTGAGACTTTGTATACCCTCTGGTTCAGGAAGAAGTACCCCAGGGCCCCGTGGGTACCCACCACTCAGTTTAAAAAGCACCATCCTATGCAACATTTCCTGGCACAGGCTCAACAGCCCATACTGCATAATAAATGTTAGTTTCACTCCCTTATTCTTTCCTTTCCTCCTGCTTGTTCCAAAGGAAACCTCCCCCGGGCTGGCCCCAGACCCAGAGAGCAGGGAGCCTTCCTCAGGCCGGGATGGAGACGCTGGATCTCATTATCTCTACAGCGTCCAGAGGGGAGCCCAGCGTGGCTTGTTCCCTCCTGGGGCGGCGCCCCTCAGCCTGTTAGCGGGAAGAGGAGAGCGTTCTTACACGCCCGGCCAGCCAGGTCCGCTGCCGCTCTAATTGGAACACGTAATGGTTTGTTAACACAGTCTAATCTGGGGAGGCCTGGGAAGGAGTCCCCTGGGGTGTCTGGGGTGGAGCTGGGGGAAGGGGCATTTAATGGTATTGTCAGTGGGGCCGGAAGCATGGCTGAAATGCTGTTTGGTTTTTGGTGTTTGTTTTGCCAGATGACGTCTTAATTCAGGATGGAAAGATGCAGTCTATTGTGCTTCTGTGTGTGCGTGTGTCTGTGTGTGTGCACGTGCACACACACAGGAGATATGGTGGTGAGTGGGTATGTGCAACTATGTGCCTGTCCACAGTACAGGGTATTAGGCCAGGAGCAGTGGGGAGAGGGAGAGAAGAGAGCCAAGCTCTATTACACCTAAAGGTAGAAAGCCGTGGTCTCCTCTTAAGAATGCAAACAAAGACATCTATTTTCCCACGACTAGCTTACCCAGCCCCTATTCACACTAATTAGGAGGCCTGGGAATTTCTCCTAACTTCGTAATTACCGTTAACAGGCTTCACAGGGGCTGTGGGCGAAGTGGAACAACCCATCCTATTTTCGTAGCCAAGATGATGGTGGCTCAGGTGGTCACCATAACCTGGCTGTTTCTCCCCGTCCCCTCCCTTTCTGGCTTTCTGAGGCCCCAGATGCTTGGACACCCGGGGAGATGATCTAACAGAGGAGCAGAGGCGGGGGGTCCTCATGGGCTGCTTTCACTCCTTTATTTAGTTGAGCGGGTCCTGGCTGAGGCTTCTAGAAAACGTTCTCTGTGTTGGGGATGGGAGAACGGGGCCAGGAGCCCAAGGAATGGACCCTGAGATCCCTGCAGCCTGCACCTCTCCCCTCGAATGACCATGGACAGACCACTCCAGGTCACTCTTCCTGGGCCATACACTGCCCCTGCCCAACCCCACCCAATGTCCATTAGATGAACCACATTTTAAAGGCAGCGCTGGAGAACTGGCAAGATCACAGTAGTGACTTCACAATGTCATCGGGCTCCCGCCCCAGCCTGCCATACCCTGCAGACGTCGTAGGAAACCACAGTGAAGCCATTATGGGGACCCCTCGACTGTTTGGCAGCGGGATGGCCACTTTTGTCAGCTGACAGGCCCAGGGACTTCCAGAAGCGGCAGTGCATGGCCCTTCCCACAGGCTGCATTTGTGCACACAAAGATCCTCCCTCTGGGCCTCCTTTCCTCAGAGGCGGAGAAGTCCCTCCATCCTGGCGTCCGCTGCAGGCTCTGCAGGGGCCTGGGGGAGGAGGCACCAATGCTCCTGGTGGGCTCTTCCCAGTCCCAGCTCCGTGAAACCCTGTCTGTCTGTCTGGGACTTGTGGCCTGGCTCTGCTTCCAGAAGACAATTCTTTATTCTTTGCTGCCTGCCCAGAAGCTGAGAGTCTCCATATATCAGGGAGCTTACAAGCCACTTTCCCAATCATGTTAAAAAAAGCTGAAGCAGTACCAAAGAGTAGCTGACTGTTGGTGATTTTTATCTTATTCTTCATACTCAAATGATTTCTATTTTTTACAACAAGGAACATGTATTATTTATGTAATTAAAACAAATCATTGTAAAAGAGCCACCCACCACTTAAACCCCATACTCTGATGTTACCGTGTCTTTGATGGTGCTACAACCTGGGCCTGCAATACCTTTTCTTCCTTGGTCAGCCTGGAAAACTCCTTCTCACACTCCAAGGCCCAGCTTGATGTCTCCTCAGCCATGAAGCCTTCCCTGATTTCTCCAGCCTAAGCAGTGGTCCCTTCTGTTTACTTCCAATGCCTTTACTTTGGAGATAAGAAAACAAAGACCAGAGAGGGACAGGGATCTCCTCAGGCCACACAGCAAGGTCACATGTGGCGAAGGTCACTAAAACTCAGAGGAGTGCCTTCTACAGTGTCCAGGCTGGGGACGCTGGCACACACCCTATTTGACACATAACACCCGCCTCCCTGGAGTCAGCCCCTGTCCTCTCAGAGACAGCATTGACCCACCTTTGTTCATCTGGGGAATGAGCCAGGGTGATCTTCTCCCAGTCCCCGGGGCACAGGTCACTGAGGTATGGGATAAGGAACAGAAAACAGAAGAACTTTTGTTCCACAAAAGGGGACTGGGGACAGGAAGCACAGGGGTCCTTCCTCTCCGGAGCTCCAGGCTGTGTCTGAGTGGTACCCCCAGCCCCATGCAGGCCAGGCTAGCTCTTGCCTGGGCCTTTTCCTGACCAGTTGGTTGGAGGCCTGGCTCCCACAGGGCCCACCACCTGGGGTCTGAATCTCAGCTTTGCCACTGAATAGCTCTGTGACTCCAGCCAGGTTGTTTCACATACCTGAGGCCTATTTTACCAGAAACACTAAGATTTTATAATATCACCTACCATTCATTAAGTACTACTATGGCACCAGGGCACGGATGAGGCGTTTTATATAAATCCTAGCTCATCTTCCTAAGCACACTTTAGAAAGCTATTATCACTCCCATTTTACAGGCAAAAAACTGAGGCTCACAGGAAATGAAGCCACTTCTCTGAGGCCAAGAGCTAGAAATGACTGAGCTGGGACTTGAGTCTGGATCAATGTGGGGACAATAAGCTCGACTCCCAAGGTAGTTACAAGGATTTGATGAGATAATTTTGCACAGGGCAAGTGCTCTGCACATAATTACGTGCTGAATGCTGTAACATCTTCTCAATTCCATTTCGTAATGAGAGCAAGCACTGTGAATTGGGTTGTGCAACCAGCTAGGATGAGGGAAGGTCGGTAGGTAAGATTTCCTGGTGACCTGGAGGGAGGTGGTAAATCCCTCGGCAGCCCCTAGCCTCCGAAGCCCCAAGGCCCAGACTTGCTCCCAGCCAGAGAGTATTGTTTGAGGATAAATATTATTTTATGCTCTAGCTTAATCCAAACCAAGCTTATCTTTCCCACCGAAATGCCCACAACCCAGAGAAAGCTAAGCCCTCTGCTGCTTGCCTAATTGCAGGCTTAGAGGTCTGGTTGGGGACACCAGCTCTCTGGAAAAGCCTGGTAAATGGTCTGGTATTTGGCAGTGGCATCAGAGAAGCTGGCTGTGAGTTGGGCTGTCTGGTGTTCTAGGCCCACATGGGCTGGGAGGGCCCCACGGGGGAGAATGTACCTCTGCAAGGGGCTGGTCCAAGGCCTCTCACTCTTGCATGGAGCTGCTGCTCCAGCCCTGGGGAAGATGTAACTACGGGGGAGCAGGGGAAGTGGGTCTTGCCCCCTCTGCCCCCAATTTAATGCTGATTCTCACTTGGTTGGAAAAGCAAAATGGGTCTGTGGGCTGCGGGACCCCTCCTTCTCTCCAGTTATGTCTGTTTCCGTCCCTCCTCTTCCAGTGGAATTCTCTGAAAAAGGGTTGCTAAAGGGAGGAGCGTGGTCTCAGCAGGCTCCATGCTGTTGAGGGCTGGAAGATCCTCAAATGGATCAGGAGCCAGCCTGGGTGGAACCCAGCCCCAGCCTCTCCTCACAGCTTCCCCACTGGGAACTGCCAGGCCCGGCCAGCCATAGACCTGAGGGACAAAGATGTCCCCCTACCCAGGCACCAAGCATGCAATTAGTTCTCCGGCTGGTTCCCATCTCACCATTTTCCTCTTTCTCCCTGGGGTGTTTTTAGAAGGATACCAGGGAAGAGAGGTGATTAGTGCCAGGCTTTGCAATCAAGATAGACTCGGGCATGAATCCTTGCTCTGTGACTTGGGACAGCTGAGTTGCCTTCTCTGTGCCTCAGTTTGCTTGTCTGTAAAATGGGATTGCTATAGTACTATCTCACAGTGTTAGAGGGAGGGCTAAATGACATCGAGTGCCTGGCACAGGGAGTGATCATTCTGGCTCTTCCAAGGGTAGAAGAGGGAGGTTTTGCCCAGAGGCAAAGGCACAAAGACCATTGACTATTATGGGGCCAGATGGGCCCTCCACTTGAGACCCACCCTTTTCCCCATGCCCAGGTCACCTGGCTGCCATCTCTGAATCAGGCGGAAGAGGTGGAGGTGAAACTAACATTGGTTACTGTATGTCCCATACCGTGCTAGGCCCATCTCCTTTTTACAGATGAGGAAATTGAAGCTCAGTGGTGTGAAGGAGTTTGCCCAGGAGTGCACGGCTCCATGGTGGAGCAGGAATGTGTCCTCATGCTTTTATACAGGGGTCTTTCCCACCCCACTCAACTCCTGAAGCCCCCTAAGAAACAGATGTAGGGCCATTCCCAGGCTGCGGGTGCTGGGTCCAAGGTGGGGACAGGTGAAGCCACCCAGCTGGCCTGGAGAGGCAGAGCTGGAACAAACCTAGCTATGCCAGCCTGGGAGGGCCCAGATCATATAAGCCCCCTGAGGGGCCAATCCTCATGTCTGTAGGTCCAGGAATGCCAGCTCCCTTCACAGATAACAGCTCCCTCTGGGCTCTGCCCCATGCTCTGCTCAGAGGGCTCTGAGGACCAGTGCCTCTGTATCCAGGTAACAGGCACATCCTAAGTCCTCTTCAAGTCACATGCCTACAAGTCAGGACAGCACTCCCCACAGACCTCCTCGAGGTGGCTCATTTTCAGCTTCCCAGAAGGAAATAAACCCTAAGGAGTGCAGACCCCTCAGCTTCCCCAGGCCTTGGAGGGACTGGGCTTTCAGCCACATCTCCTTAGAATTTCCTCCTTAGACTTAAGCCCTGTAAAATGCATCACTGGGTACAGTCCCTTCCATGCTGCTTTCTTTGTCCCCAGTCAAGGGGTTTGTCTGCTATGAGTTTGCATATTGTTCTTTCTGCAGCCACAAGAATAGGGCCACAGAACCCTGGAGCTGCCATGCAATCTCTGGGGTTGTCACAGAATCCCCAGGGTCCAAAATGTCTGCAACTTCCTAAAGCTGCTGTGGCATTCCTGGGATTATCCAGAATCTCTGGGCTGTCATGGTGTGCCCAGACCACATAGGTCCCTTGAGTGCTGGAAAAAAATCTGGGCCACCATGAAATTCCCTGAACTAACATGGAACCCCCAGGTTGCCACGAAGTGCTGGGCCACCCCAGGGTCTCTAGGCTATGCAGGGCCCCTGTGCTGCCAAGGGACCACTGGAATATCTTAGAATGGAAATTTTTGGCTGAGTCCTCCAACAACCCACAACCACATACTGTCACCTCCAGCCCCTTATCCAAGCATTTCGACCATCTTCTTCCTGACTTCAGCTGAAACATTCCTACCTCCAGGAAGCCCTCCCTGGTGTCTCTCCAGGCCTGGCTAGGTGCCACAGCCCTAGGTATCCTGGGCTCCATGACAGTTCCCTGGGTCTGCCCTGTCGGAACACTCAGCATGCAGTCCTGCCACTGCCTGGTCATGGATCTATCTCCTCTGAAGCACAGGCACCCTGTGCCCAGGCTGGGCAGGTGGCACTTAATAAATATTACTTAATATTAACTATAATATTATTTAACTGTGTGCTATTAACTTACTAGGCACTTGATGGCTGTGTGACCTTGGGCAAGTTGCTTCACCTCTCTGTGCCTCAGTTCCCTTTTGTATAATAAGGATACTAAGAGTATAGATCTCATAAGGCTGCTGTGAAGCTTCAATAACTTATGTAAAGCATTAAAGCAGAGTCTGGCATATAGTAAGCACAATATAGATACCTGCTATCATTAAATAACATGTGAACTGTATTCATTAGGCTTTCACAGGGTCTAGACTTGCAGCAAGGATGGAAAGGGGATTCTCCCATAATGCTCAGTGCTCTGTTGATAGCGTACACTAGCACAGCACTTAGCATGTGCCGGGCACTGCACTTGATGTTTTACATGCATTCACTCAGTGAATCCTCGTGGCAACCCTATGAGGTTGGTGCATGCTATGGACTGAATTATGCTTCCATACACCCAAATTCATATGTTGATGCCCTAACCCCCAACGTGACTTCATTGGAGATAGGACCTTTAGGGAGGCAACTGAAGTTCAGTCAGATCATAAGAATGGGGTCTTAATCTGATAGGATTGGTATCTTTATAAGAAGAGGAAGAGGCTGGGCACAGTGGCTCATGCCTGTAATCCTAGCACTTTGGGAGGTCGAGGCAGGTGGATCACCTGAGGTCAGGAGTTCGAGACCAGCCTGGACAACATGGCGAAACCCTGTCTCTACTAAAAATACAAAAAAAAATTAGCCAGGCGTGGTGGTGGTGGGTGCCTGTAATCCCAGCTACTCGGGAGTCTGAGGCAGGAGAACTGCTTGAACCCAGGAGGCAGAGGTTGCAGTGAGCCGAGATTGTGTCACTGCACTCCAGCCTGGGTGACACAGCGAGACTCTGTCTCAAAAAAAAAGAGGAAGAGAAACTACAGAGCTCCCTCTCTTGCTTTGTCTCTGTGCATGGAGAAAAGATTGCATGAGGGCATAGTGAGTGGCTTTTAACCACTACTCTGAACCTGCCTCCAAGTCCAAGGGTATGGGCTGGGCATCCCTGAGGCAGGTGTGCAGGCATGAGCAGCATCTATAGCAAGCAATACACATTGGGAAGAATGGATGAAGGAACAGGGCACATTTTGGCCAAGACTTTCAAGCTGCTTCTGGGACCCGCCTGCCAGGCCCAGCATCCTGAAGGCTGGTGGTATGAAGAGGGACTGACTATGTTCTGCTGGTCGTGGCAGAATCAGAACTGCTCCACCATGGAACAGGTTCCCAGGTAAGGTGGTAAGCTCCCTGTCTTTGGAGGTAATCAAGCACTGCTGCTGGACCATCACTTACTGGTGATGTGTGGGGAAGAATAAATAGTACTGTGGACTGAATGTTTGTGTCCCCCCAAATTCATATATTGAAACCCTCATCCCCAATGTGATGGTATTTGGAGGTGTGAGGTAATTAGGTCATGAGGATGGAGCCCTCATGAATAAGATTAGTGCCCTTATAAGAAAAGACAGGAGAGCTTGCTTCCTCTTTCTCTGCCACATGAAGATACAAGGCGAAGATGGCCTTCACCAGGAACCCTACCATGCTAGCACTCTGATCTTAGACTTCCAGCCTCTAGCATCTTGAGAAATAAATATTTGTTGTTTAATCCACCTAGTCTATGGTATTTTGTTATAATAGCCCAAACTGCAAATGACAGACAGCAAGAGTAAATACTCTAGACAGTTCCCTCCAGTCTCAAGCAGTTGTGAAATATTTAAGAGCTGGCAGTTAAGAGTCCCTGGAAACTCTTCCCTACAAGCTCTGCCCATTAATTCCTGCTTATCTTTCAAGTCCCAACTCAGACATCACCTCCTCTAGGAAGTCCTCCTTGCTTCCTTCCTCCTCTCCAGTCTCTATGCCACTCCACTCTCAGGTTGGTGATCTGTGTGAGTCTAGTCAGCAAAACTAGAAACGATGAGTAGAAGTCATTAACATAAGACAGAGTGAACCCCAATACAAAGATGAGTAGTCCCCCAGCAGAATGGAGTGTAGTGACATCTTTAACAGCTGAAATGTGGTGCAGGTGTTAAACAATGTGTTTGAAATAAAAAAGACGTGGGGTTTAAATCCAGCCATCCTCTGTGTGACTGTGGGTAAGTGCCTCAACCTTTCTGAGCTACAATTTCCTGAGCTGTAAAATGATTCCATCTCAAAGGATGAAACCAAAGATCAAATGACACCAGCAGGCCTGGCACTCTATGTGATCAGGATCTGAGAATTTCCTGTAGTCTCTGGCAAGTAGTGAGCTGCTGACTAGGTGTATTCAAGCAGATGTCAGAGGGGTCTCAGTGTGGAGATTGGTACCGAGGATTTCTTTCTTGCACTGAAGTAAAAATTGCACTCAGGGGCCTCGATGAGCTCTTCCAACTCTTAAAAAGAAACCACACTTCTGCCTTGGCCTTAGCTGGCTGTGGGGAGACAGGCATATCATTGAGCAGACACTGCTCCACCCACCTCCACACATGATGTATGAGTACATTTACATGAAATGTCCAGAAAAGGCAAATCTATAGATACACAGAGTAGACTGGTGGTGGCCCGGGGCTGGGGTGGGAACAGGGACTGATGGCAAATGTATGCCACATTTCTTTGGGGGATGATGGAAATATTCTAAAATTAGATTGTAGTGATGGCTGCAAAACTTTGTAAATTTACTACAGACTATTGAATAATATCCTTAAAACAGGCAAATGTTAGGGTGTGTAAATTATACCTCTATAAAACTGTTTAAAAAATAAAATAGGAACAAGGGCAAAACAGGATTGCAGAAAGGTATGGTAGGGGGCAAGGCCCATGCCCTTGGGGGAAGTGTGGCACTGCGGGCTGAGGCCTGAGGTCACAAGGTCAGAAGTCACTGCCAGTTTCAGGGACCACCTCTCCACCTGAGCTGTTATACTGGTGCTTT
Source organism: Homo sapiens (assembly GCF_000001405.40). Classification (NCBI taxonomy): domain Eukaryota; kingdom Metazoa; phylum Chordata; class Mammalia; order Primates; family Hominidae; genus Homo; species Homo sapiens. Next base: position 44,869,902 of record NC_000011.10, on the reverse strand, counting down.
CTCGTTATTTCCTGTGGGAGTCGAGGCAATGCTGCCTGCCCACCCACCCCAACCTCATTAAAACCCTGATACAAAGCCTGATAATGTGAGGAGGGTGGGCCTGGGAGGGGACTGTGTGAGGGACGGAGGCCTCCAGAGAGACTGAGCCTCCTAGAAGCCTTTGAACACTGGGCCCGTGTGACAGCTCAGGGCATCCTGTGGTCTGCGGCCTCTGAGTTAGGATAAAGTCATGGACGGGGCCTGGCCGTGTCTCTAAGGCACTGTGGTTCCATCAAAGGGAGGTGGGGGCAGCACCAATCACATCCTGGCATCAGCTACGTGCCAGGGAGAAGCTGACATTTATCCTGCTGATACTATTGGACGTGGGACATGTACATTTGCTGAGAAGACTGTCTGGGCCCAGCTTCTATGCACTGTGGAGAGATCTGACTTGTTCCTGGTTGTACAGTTAACTGGTTTTAACCTCTCCACGAGTGAGAAGTGGGTATTTACCAAACCCATTTTAGACTAAAGGAAACCAGAGCTCTAGAAGGTAAGTCACTTGTCTGAGGTCACACAGCAAGAGGCAGGGATAGGATTTCAACCCAAGGCCTTTGCACAGCATGGGAATGACTTTTTTCAAAGCAGTCTGAACGCTCTCTTGGTTGGTAGTGAGCTCCCCATCGCTACAGGTATGTAAGCAGAAGCTGAATGAGCACCTCTCAAGGAGTCAAAACCGATCACCTTAAAATCCCTCCCGGCCCAGTCTGCAAGGCCACACATCCTTGCTGATCACTTTCTTCGAGAGTTAAATCTATACACTAAGAGTAAAGCAGAAAAAAGGGCCTAAGCCCTCCTAAGGGAACGCCTAGTGGGCAGAACCTGGCTGGCACCCCCTCAGCCAGAACCACAGCTCCTCCAAGTGCTCACCACAAATCAGCAGTGATTGTGGGTTGGGGCTAATGTGATCCTTAAGTACACACAGACCAGGGCCAGCATCACCTGGCTCCAAGCAACTGCTCTTTAAACTAGCACCAGCAGTGGATGCATTGGAAGCAGGAGCTGCCAAACTCAAAGCACATAGAGTCCCCATCTGGCCCTCCAGCCAGCGGCCTATTTCAGACCTGCCTCACTTTCTGCCCTGGTGTGGGCGCTCCACCTTCCCCCTCTCCGGTTCTGCCCGCCCCAAGGACTCAGGACCCTGGTTGTGGTTTGCAAGTTTTCTCCTCCCGGCCAGTGGCTGGACTCACTGTAGGATGAGCTCATTGGAAGCTCCTTTCCAAGCAAGAGCCCTGATCCTGGGAGAGGCGAGTCCCCATTCCCTAAGCTGTGCCCGCCTGGCCCTAGGAAAGCAGCAAGGAAGGCTGGGGTCTCTGAGGAAGGGGCTGGGCTGGAGCTTCCTCTGCTTCCTCCTCTCCATGGGGCTCCCAACGCCAGTACTGAGGTGGGGAGGCCAGGTGCCCTCCACACCCATACCCACAGCCCAGCTCCCACCTCGGGCCCCGACAGGATCCTCTCCTGGTCTCCTCCCAGCTCCACACTCAGCTCTTGCATGTCCTGGTGCCTCCATTCCAGGCCTAGCACCCAGATGTGCAGATGGTATTTTGTTTTTCTCTATCCCCAAAAAGATAAAGGGGAGCATGCAAAGATGAATTATAGTGCCTGGCAGCAACTGAAGGCTTCCAAGGCACTCAGACAGAGAGTGACGGCAGATGGCCACCTGGGTTCCAGCCTCCAACTGCGTCCCCTGAGGGAAGGATCTAGTAACAGGGCAGGGCTCCTGCATGACCCGGGTATCCACGCTGCACCCGGCCTCCTTTTTCTCCATCTCCCCACAGGCCCAACCCTGCCCTCAGAAGCCAGCCTGTCACCAGCTGGAGGCCTTGCAATGACTGCAACTGAGTCTGTTCACCCTCAACCATTATCCCACCTCCCTGCCATCTTCTCAGGGCATCACCTGTCCTCCTCCTCTGCATAAACCCTTTTATGGCTCCCCAGTGCTCCTGGGGAAAAGCCCAAACTCAGCACAAGCAGCCTATCTCATATCCCTTCCCCTCCTCTACTTCCTCTGCTCACTCCACCCAGTGGCACCATTTGTAGCTCCTTGAATGCTTCTGCTCTGTCATGCCCCAGGGACTTTGCATGTGCTGATCCCTCTGCTGGAATCTACTCTCTCTCAACTCACACACAGACTCCTTTGTCCCCTTTTAAAACATACATAAACGAGCCGGGTGTGGTGGCTCGTACCTGTAATCCCAGCACTTTGGGAGGCTGAGGAGGGTGGATCACCTGAGGTCAGGAGTTTGAGACCACCCTGGTCAACATGGTGAAACCCCATCTCTACTAAAAATACACAAATTAGCTGGATGTGGTGGTGCATGCCTGTAGTCCCAGCTACTCAGGAGACTGAGGCAGGAGAATTACTTGAACTGGGGAGGTGGAGGTTGCAGTGAGCCGAGATCGGGCCACTCCACTCCAGCCTGGGTGACAGAGCGAGACTCTGTCTGAAAAAAAAAAAAAAAAAAAAAAAAAAAGATTCATAAACCAAGCCTTCTCCAGTACCTCCCCCTTCCCCAGCGTGCATCACCTGGTCTATGGGCTGATGCATTGCAGTGTATTAGACAGACCACTGCCTGCTGTTGCCCTCAGGGACCCTCAAACTTGAGCTTCCATCAGAATCTCCTGGAGGGCTTGTCAAAACCCAGGGTGCCGGGCCTCACCACTCTCAAGTTTCTGATTCAGTGGGTCTGGAGTGGAGGTCTGAAAATCTGCATATCCAGGTTCCCAGGAGATGCTGGTGATGCTGGTCTGAGGATCATGTTTGAGAACCACTATTTAAACCCTGAGCAACTTGAGGTTGGTCTTTTATTATTTTTTTACCTCCAGTCTCTGAAAGAATCTGATTTAAGGTTGGTGTTCAATCAATACTTGAATGAAAGGTATTGATGCATTTGTTGCAGCCAATGAGAGTGACAGGATTATGTCTTGAGACTTTTTTTCCCCAATTTGTTCACTCTGCAGTGGGCATTCTTCTCTCTTCTTTCCGAAGATGGTGGCCAAGTCTTTGGGTCCTATGCCTTGGGGGCGGCTGGTTTCCCAGGCCAGTCAGAAAATGGCTGGGTCTAGGAAGACAGCTTAGGCTGAAGCCCATGAAGGTGGCTGCAGTGTGAGCCTGCAGAGGAGGGCAGCAGAGGCAGCAGGCTTGAGGGGAGGGGTGGAGAGTGTTTCTGGAGATCAGCCAGATTGGTAGGATCCAAAAGTTACAAGCTCAGGTGCCCTGTTCCCGGAACAGCTCTTCCAAGAGGTGATCAGGCTTTAATGGAGTGATCCTGAGATGCCAGAGAATGGTTGGGAGACTGAACACCGAAGCTCATAGCTCGGAGTTGCAACCAAAGACCACAGCTGTGCCCTGGCTAGCACAGAAATAGCTGCTGCCCACCTGGCCTCATTAGACCCTGAGATTGGCAAAGAAGCCTGTCTGCGGGGCCCCTGTGTGGGCTCAAGTCCAGCAGCCTTTCCCAAATGTTTCGGATCACATAAGGCCACCAAGACTCCTATGTGATCCTAGGTGGCAAGAAATCCACTCCCCAACATAATTGGGATTGAATGTCTTTCAAATTCGTGGAGGGAGCTGAAGGCAGATTTAATCAGATTTAGAGAAGTAAAGGCAGACGGCACACCTCGTACCTGCTGCAAGTCCATTTAGCACCGATGATGTGCTGGGCCCCATGCCAGTCCTGCTGGAACCTAATGCCAATTGTGTTCACTTGGACCTGGGCCTGTGCCCGAGTGTGGCAGCAGAGGGCACAGCTGGGAGTGCAGACTGTCAGAAGGTGAGCAGGAACAATCGATTGTGCTGCCGGGGTCACAGAAGCTGGAGCTGGACTGAGCCCTGGGGCACTGTGACAGAAGAGGGGCCCCCAGCAGGTGGCCATCCACATTGTTTGTGAGGCTGGCACTCCAAGCCTGGACTGAATGTGGTTCGGCTCAGGCCACTCCCATCCCCAGGACTCTGAGACCCCATAGAGTGCTGGAGACCCCTGTGACTCAGAGCAAACAGTGCTGGGGAAGCCAGGCTGCCTAAGGGACCCGACTGCTCCTGCTCCTGTTCCTGCTCCACTGAGACCCCTTGGCACCAGCCTCAGGACTTTTAGCCTGGATGACAACTGGCTGCAACAGCCACCAGGCTACTGTCCCCTCCTGACTGCATAGCTGTCCCCTGTCCTTAAGGAGAGAAAAAAAAGAAGAAAAGTTCTAGTCTTGAAGAACCCCACATTCAAAGAGAATGTTGCTAGGAAAAGGGACTGATGGGGTTGGCAGGTGGAGGGAAGAGGAATTTGCTTTTTAATTTAAATCCTTCCAGATCATTTGAATTTTTAAGAAGCCTATATTGCTTGTGTAATAATAACTTTTCAAAGTAACTTTTTTGTCTTACAAATGCAAAGTAGTCTGGAAAAACCCGTGTGGGAGCAAGAAGATGCAACAAATAGCTTAAGGGTGTTCATTAAATACACCATCATCATCCTTTCTTGAGCATTTACCACGTGCCCAGAGCTCTGCAACTGTTTTAACACTCATTATTTAATTTAAAGCTCATCGCAGCCCTATGATGCCATTAGTGCTACCATTTTCTAGATGAGAGTTGAGAATTTGAGAGAGACTCAATAACACGCCCAAGGTCACCCAGCCTCAGAGCTGGCGTTTGCAAGCTCTGTCCTTAAATCAGGGTACACACCAGGCTGCCTCCCTGAAATCAAACTGAGAAACTTAATCAGCTCAAAAGCCATTTGTTTTGAGTCCATTCCACTACTTGAAAATTCCTTATATTCCACGGGAGCCAAAATCAAATTGTCACAGAAAAACAAGCCAAGAGATTGGTATGTCCAACCACCCCGGCTGAGGCTGGGACAACACCGATTCCAGTAAATCCACTGTGATCCTTCCACCCATCCATCCATTCACCAACCTCTGGCTGATGCCCCACATGGCAGGCTCTGCTGGCTGCCAGAGACCAGAGAGGGTGAGATACCCACAAGGAGACCGCCAGGCAAACACAGGGGCAGACTGGACCCCCAGCACCTTCCATGTACAGGCTTGGCGTCCTCCAGAAATAATCAAAACCCTTTGCAGTTCAGGATCCAAAGAAGCATCAAAGGGGGGTGAAAAATGAAACAGGACCTTGCCATTGGCACCCAGGGCAAGCCCATCTTCCCCGTGAAACACTTAGTTTTCCTGATGCTGAACTGGGACTTGGCAATCCACCCCATAAGGTCCATGTGCAACACTGGACCAGTCCATTTTAGTGGATGCTCTGGCATTTCACCCAGGCCTTAGGCCCAAGATGGCAAGGGAGGGTTGAACAAAGCTTCGGGTGCCATGGGAAGCTGGGGTGGGATTTTCCCCAAGGCCTCAGCCTGAAGACCTGAGCTGCCGAGAGCAGGGACCCTGAGCATCCTATCCAATAGGACCCCACGTGCCTCTCAGAGGCCCAGGCACACAGTAAGTGCTCAATGAAGTGTTGGTGAATGAATGAATAAATGTGATTCTGGGTAAGGCAGCCCCAACCCCAACACTTTTCGGAGATGGGAGGGGTGTGACACCCCACCCCATCACCAAGTTTTTTTTTTTTTTTTTTTTGAGACGGAGTCTCACTCAGTCACCCAGGCTGGAGTGCAGTGGTGCGGTCTTGGCTCACTGCAACCTCTGCCTTCCAGGTTCAAGCAATTCTCCCACCTCAGCCTCCCAAGTAGCTGGGACTACAGGCGAATGCCACCACACCCGGCTAATTTTTGTATTTTTAGTAGAGACGGGGTTTCACTATGTTGGCCAGGCTGCTCTCGAACTCCTGACCTTGAGATCCGCCCGCCTCAGCCTCCCAAAATGCTGGGATTATAGGCATGAACCACCGTGCCCGGTCCCCATCACCAAGTTTTTTGGGACATGGACCAACAGGCACCTATACACTGAAGACTCCCACAGAGTTATATTAATATGATTGAAATATAAATAATAACAACACCAAATAGCATCAGTACTACACTGAATGCTGATCCCTGGCAGGTGCTCTGTTAAGCACTTTCTGTCATTCAAGTATTTCCTTCCATCTTCACACAGTCTTACGAGAAGTGACTATTACTATCTCTAACTTACTTATAAGAATACTGAGGCTGTACTGCTAGCAGAGCTCAGATCCGAACCCAGGTCTGACATGGAATACAATGTTTCAAGCGGAAGGAGCTTGACAAACTATAGGCCAGGAGGCTAAGGACATCAGTAGTGCAGCAGGGACCCAAGTCTCCCAACTTCCAGCCCAGGGTATGCCACTAGGGCAGCTGCTTGCAATGCTCTAAGTGAAAATGAGCCCTAAGCTCTGTAAAGTATCTCAGGAATGAGAGGATTAAGAACTCTTGGTCTTTGTGCAGCACCATCTCTTTGAAAGGGCCCTCCAAAACTCCCCTTCCCAGGGAAGAAGAGGACAAAAGGAAAAGGGAGGCGCTACTAAACTCCGTACCCAAGCTGTAGTTGAAAGCAGCCTTGAAGACAAGATGGCCCCAGGCCCAGCACGGCCAAGCCTGGAGGCCTGCGGGAAAGAAGGCTAACCGAGTTCATCTGGCTTCCTGCCTGGCACAGTCTTTCAAGCCTCAGGGTCCCACTGCCAGGCCTTTGCTCTCACTGTGTCTTCCTCCCGAATGTCCTTTCTAACGTCCGAAACTGGCCTATATCTAGGCACAGCTCACAGGCCTTGCATCCCCTGATTTTACACCACCACTGTGCAGCAGTAACATCTCCTTCTGGCCTCTGAACCCCCAAGCCTTCCTTTATATTTCAGCTCTGGACCCTCCCATTCTTTACCTTGGATGTCTTGACTTTGATCGTCTCCCTTAAAAATCTGGCCTCTGAGGTGCCTGTTGAGTGCATCTGAATGAATGACGAATGCCTGGGAAGTGGAGCTTGTATGATTCGTTTTATTAACAGGTGCACACTCCAGGAGCAGGTCTGCATACAGATCTCTCTAACAGCTGCCCTTCCTCCTCCCCAGGGCCATGACAAGTGGCACCTTACACCCTAAGTCCTAAAGGCTGAGAACCAAGTCATTCTGCTATTTCTGCTGCATCAGGCACAGGTGGGGGCTTTACAAAATGCTGTGGAAAGTAACTGACCGACATATCTACCAAGCCAGCCCAGTTATGGTTTAGCACTGTCTGAGACATCAGGCGAGGGGTTGGGGGCAAGACACCCAGAGGAGGGTCCTGCCCTCAGGAGATCTCCCAGAGGAGAGGTCAGGGAACCCTGAGGACAGGGACCTTTGGGCTTTGCTCACCCTCAATCCCCAGCATTTAAACAGCTCCTGGCACATGATAGGCACTCAACAGCCATTGGCTGAATAAATGAATTAACACTCATTGACCCAGAGGTGCTGAGCTCACCATATAAGGCAGGGTGGTGCTGAGCGCTGAGCTGGCTGCATGGTGAGTCAGAGCTTTGGAGCCCACAGGCGAGACACAGAGCGAGAGAGACTGGGGGAGGGCCAGGAGGTTTGTGGTTGACCAAAACCAAGCAAGGGGCAGCTGCCTGGGAGGCAGCATCACAAGCTGTGGTTTTCGGTATTTTTTCTGCAGAGGAATATTTGCTCAAATGAAATCACACATCGCACCCTAAATGTAGGACAGAGCTGCCGCGGCGGAGGGCAGCAGGGCTGCCAGGCTGGCCTGGCCACGTGTACCCTCGTGCCCCCAGAGACGGAGCTTCCACTCAACCAGTGCCCGTCCCCCTCTGCTCCCCTGTCCCTCTAAGGGGCTTCAGATAAGCAAGGCTGCGGTTGGTCTTCTGGGAAGGGGCCCATTTAGCGCAAAAAACCCTAAAGAGGCTCAAGAAACTCCCCTCAGCCATGAAGGAGTGGAGGTGGGGGGAAAAAGGAACAGGCCTTCCCGGCGAGTGGAGGTCTACTCAAGGCAGCCAGGCGCTGGGGTGGCTGAAATAGTGGGGCGGCCATCAGAGAGTGCAGGGACTCTTTATGAGAAAGACCTTCTGGAACAATCTTTTTGGAACGTGAAGTACCACTCTCAGATCCATCAGAGGCATGGGGGCTGTGTGTGTGTGTGTGTGTGTGTGTGTGTGTGTGTGTGTGTGAAATTTGGGCTTTCAGATACTAGATTCACTAAAAATGAGGCACTTAGAGAGAGGCCAACCCTGGTACCATAAATCACAGGAAGAATCCCAACTGGGACACATGCGACCACCTGGGTGCTTCATCGCCCCCGACTCCCAACATGACACCAGTAGGGAGAATCTGCTGCTTTGTCTGCCCAGCATTCCTTTCTCCTTTTTCTAAAAATAATGCTTGGATTTTCCCTTGCAAGTCCATCCCCTCTCATGCATTCAGGCTGACTTCCCCAACCCACGACACCTACCGACCTCACCACACCACCCCCAACCACCGACCCCCCGCCCAGCACCGACCGCCCCCACCCCAGCACCGACCAGTCCCCACAGCCCCGACCACCTCCCTCAGCACCACCCGCACCCCACCAACCCCCGCACCGACTGCCCCCCGACCAACTGACCCAGTCTGGCCAATCAGCATATCTTATCCTCCAGGTTTCAGTGATTGGGCAGAGGTGTCATGTGACCCAAGACCATCCAATAAGCCTTGACTTTGGGATTTTTGTTGGACCGCCTGGGAAAAAGAAGCTCTCCTTCCATTGGATTTGAAATGAGCAAGGCGTCAGTCTGGATCTGCAGGTGCCTGCCCTGCGGCCACATGGAGAGTGGCTACCGAGGACTGAAGCTCACAAGGAGGGAGGCAGAGGACACGGATGTGGTGAGATACGGTCCTAACAGCATCATTTGAGCCCTGGATTCAGCCCTGCCTGCCTTGAAACCAATAAATAGGCCCCAAATATATTATTTGGAATATATATATTTGGAATATATATTATTAGAAACCAATATATTAGAAACCAATTTTAAAAAGCTAATAAATGGCCTGTCTTGCTTAATCCAGTTTGAGTGTTGGCTCCCAAATGATGCAGCATCTGACCTCAGTTCAGCCTTTGCCCTCTCACCACCCACTGCAGCCAACCTTTACTTCTGACCCACCACTGGTTCTTGCTTACCTGGGCAACAGTTCCACCCTTCCCCAGTTGAGCTTGAGGGGCATGGGCCAGCAACCTGGTGGGCTAGCCTGCACCTCAGCCTTCTCAGCTGTCTGGCCCCTCCGAGGGTTATCTTCTTGGCTAATCTAGTGAGACCCCAGCAACCTTGGCTCAGATCCACTCACACTATCTGCACCCCTTACTATCCTGCCCACGGACCTTTGGTGTGATGGGAGAGACAGACACTGATGCATGAAAGAGAATGACAGGTGCCCTGCTGATGGTTACCCTTAGCAACAACAACAGCAACAACAAAAGTAGCAGAAATCCCCTTGCTGAATGAGCCTAACCTCTGTTACCTGGAGAGCCAGCGTTGAGATGTCTGCAAAAGGATTATGCTCGCGTCTCCAGAAATCAAATTCAAGGGGTTCCAGTTGCTTTGATGGTAGTGTTAGAAGCTCAGCTCACCTGAAGCTTGAGGGTGGTCCAGGAGATGCTCACCTGTGAGAGGGAAGCAGAAGCAGCCGTGATTACCTGCCCGAGCTGCGGTCTCTTCTTTCTGTTTGAAAGGCTCTCCTGGCCCTGCAGGAGGCGAAGTGATGGAACCAAGACTGCAGGAGCCTGCAGGTGAGCATCAGGATTGGGCACTCAACATCTAGATCCGACTGAAATAGCCTGGAAATAATTCTAAGACACAAAGGTATGCATGTGCCTGTGTTTGCATGTGCTGAGTAAAAATACATAAGCGTCATAACCCCTGCATCTAGCACAGTGCCCCTTGCAGAAGGGAGAGGAGGTTCAGCAAATGTTTCATGATTTGCTTTTATGTAAAACATAATTTGTGTGTCTGAGTGCAAGGCAAGTCCATGAGTCCAAGCAGATTGGAGAGAAGTTTCTTCCTCGTGTGAAAATGCATTCCTGGGATGCTCCATGCCGCCAGACCAATGGCCTCTTTTTACCAATAAGGAGACTGATACCCAGAGAGGGGCACTGACTTGCTCAAAGTCACACAGCAAGTTGGTGGCAGAGCAAGGCCTAAACTCTGGGTCTCTCCTGACTCATGCTGAGGCCTCTCTCCAGGGCCATACCCTCTTCTGTAGCTGTCAGACTGGAGCAGCCCCAGGAGCATAGCAGGAGCCTGTTGCATGCTGTGGTGGCGGACGGGGGACGATGCTCACCACCTCTACCCAGTCTTGGGCCTCAGCAGACAAATGCTTCTTGGTTCTGCTCAAGCCCAGACAAAGAACAGGAGGTTGCCCACAGTAGCCAAGAGCACGGGCTTTGGAGGCAGGTGGACCTTGGCCACAAGCTGGTGCAACCTCTTTCCAGAAGAGGCAAGTCAGGTGTCCTCTCAGAGCTTCAGACTCTTCATTTGTAAAATGGGAATAATAATAGCATCTTTTCCTGAGGATTGCCGGGAATTAAAATGACTTTCGTAAGTCTGTGAAGCCCACAGAGGAGCATTTGGCGTCTAGAAATTGCTCAATAAATGTTAAGGAGGTGACGCAGAGGATAGTGCATGAGCATGTCAGGGGACCTGGAACACCAGACTTGGGGTTGCCTTGTGTTCTGGCAAGACTTTAGACAAACAGCATCTCTAAATTCTGCCAGACATTAGTCCCCTCTGCACCCACCTTCGCTCCCTTCTCTGCGTCTCAGAGACCTGCGTGGGCCCCCAGACCAGCAAGCCTGCCCCTCTTTCTAGGCTGGGAACCTCCCATTTGCCTAAGGATCTCCTTACCCCCCATCACCAAGCACAGCCCACATTTCACCAGCCAGCAAAATGCAAATGTCATTAGCGCTCTGCAAGCTGGTGAGCACGAATGTCACACCAGACGGTGTGAACTGGGGAGCGGGGGGAGGGTGCATTCCCCAGGAGGGGTGGCATTCCCAGCATTTTCCAAAAGGGCATGATAAAGAAATAAATAAACGGCTGCAGGAAAGAGGTGACAACAGAGATTGTTTCAATAGCAGCATACACAGCCATGCCATTCTTGCGGGCTCACCAGGGTCGCCCATGGTTCCTGCTTCAGCCAACCCTGTCCCAGTCCCCACTCTTGGCCTCTCCTCCCCAGCATCTCCCACTCCTCTCTGTACCCCACCATCACACACAAGCTCATCTGGGGACCCCCTTGGCCCCCATCTATCTCCCCCAACTTCCATGCTCCCTCAAACTGGCTGAGAGAACCAGATCACCCACCTAACTAACAGATCCATGGAGGGGGGAGTCTTCACTCTGAGAAGGAGGTGACATCTGTGGACCCACAGGCAGGAGTCCTGGGTTCCAGTCCCAACACCACACTAACTTGCTGTGAACATTCAGGCACACCCTCACCTGCGTGGGGCCTCAGTTTCTCCATCTGTGAAAGGGGATCACGGACCCTCTGTCAGTCTCTGCCATCTCTCAGGCCAGCTTTGAAGCCTGTGCTTGTAATAACTCAAAGGGAGAGGAGCTTCTCCTCCTCTAATTCCCCTGATAACACCCGTGAGCATGTGAAGGCTTCCCGGAGGAGGGGGCAGATATGGGTGTGTGGAGATGGTAGCAGGGTGCTGTGGACAATGGGCCCAGGGTGAGCATAGGCGTGGAGATACCCAGATGTGGGAGTGGGGGGCAGGCATTTGAGACCACAGGCTAAGACTGCCTGTGGGAGCTGAGTAGAAATGAGATAGAAAGGTCCCATGGTCAGTGCTTTACGTATGTCCACCCATTTCATTCTAACAGTGCTATCATCCCCGTTTTATTGATGAGAAACTGAAGACTGGAGAAGCTAGGTAACTTTCAGACACACGGCTGTGAAATAGACTGGATTTGAACCCCTATTTGCTTTATGAGCGGAAGCTCTCGATCACTGTGGGATGCTGCCACCTAGACTGTTTAAAATAGAGTGTGAACTAGAGACATTCAGGAGGGCGTGTGTCACCCATGTGTGCACATGACTGTTGGCAGCATGTGGGGGTGGGCATGCATCTGTGTGTATCGGGGGGAGGGATTCAGTGTGTGAATATGTGTCGTTGTAAATGCACGTGTGTGTCATCCTCAGATAAAGCTCCTTTCCCAAGTCCAGGCCCAGAAGTGCCAGTTGGGGAGGATACGGCTGAGTGGTGGATGGGGCTGGGAGTGGACAGTCACAAGGCCCTGGTCATCCCACAGCAGCTCAGGAAGCCCAGCTCTGAGGGCTGTGAGCCAGGCCTGGCCCACGTCACCTGTCTTCTGATCCCACACTCGTTGAGGCCAGATCCCTCTCGTGGAGGCCTGGCCTGGCATTTTCCCTGGTTCTGTCTCCTTCACTCTCTAGCTACCTGCTCCAACCAGGGGAATACATCCTGTAGATGAAGTCTGGTGTAAACACAAGGCTGCTGCCAGCAGGTAGGGAAGCCAGTGAGCATTGGCATCCACGGGGGAGGCGGGGAGAGCACAGCTGTGGCACAGCCCGACTTGCATTCTACCCCTGGCTCCACTGCTAGACACTGGCTCTGTGGTTGACACAGGCAACCCACCTCTCTGAGCCTTGGTGAAAGCTCACAGAGCAGCTGAGATGCCTGTCGTAGGTCAAGTTCATGCAAACTGTAAAGTGCAGTGACCACCAACAGAGTGGTAGTTCTAATCCCAGTGATCAAGATAACCCAGGAAACAGCAGAGAGTTCCCCAGGGAGACTTGACTGAGAATTCAGCAGATTCCTTTACCTAAGTCCCTCTTTCCCCACCTCTGGGCCTCAGTTTCCTCATCTACAAAATCCTCAGGCTCAAAAACAGAGTGTTGTGCAGCCCCTGGGTATCTCGTTTTCTTCACCATTATCCACGATGAACATCACAGCTGGAATTAATTTGCCAGAAACCAGAAGGCCATTTACGCAGCAGTAAACCAAGTAAATGGCACCCAGGACAGGTAAGTTTTATGGAAGAAGAGAGGAAAACAGTTTTGTTTGAGTCACTGATCAAGAAGAAATGTGACAATTCTAGGAAGACAGAGGGAAGTGTGTAGGGAGGGAGGGAGGGAGGAAGAGCTGTTGAAAGTAGGTAGAACTTGGACAAGTATTTCCCGAAATTTGCGTGGGGCTGGTCTTGAATTCAACAGAGAAGACAGGGAGTTCTGTTTCCTGGAGACCATGAGCAACATGAACATTCACTCATTTGGAAAGCATTAATTGAACACTTGCTATATACCTGGGATTCCAGGGGCACCAAGGATGAGAGAGGCACAGATTACACCTTCAAAGGTGCTGTTCATTATTATGGGCAACAGAAGACGATGCCTATGGCTCTGTAGTTCCAGGTGGCTAAGGAGGGGTTCCTCATATCATTATGAATTCAGAGGAGTGAGAGGCCCCAGGGAAGGCTTCCTGGAGGAAGGGGAAGATTGGAATGTATGAAGATGAGGAAGGCACTATAGGCAGAGAGACCAGGGCAAACAAAGGCACAGGGTACCTACATGTGGGCGGGTATTCAAGACCATGAGCCAAGACCATGAGCCAAGCCCGCCTGTTGGGGCAGAGTGGGAAGTGAGACAGAAACGGAAGGCAAGGGGTGTATGGTTAAGGTCCTTGAATGCCAGACCAAGGATGATGAAATTTATCCACAGGCAATGGGGAGCCACTGAAGATCAGAGGGCAGAAATGTGCTTCCAGGAGATTAAAAGCAGCAAGAAGGCTGGGCACGGTGGCTCATGCCTGTAATCCCAGTAGTTTAGGAGGCTGAGGCGGGTAGATCATGAGGTTAGGAGATCAAGACCATCCTGGCTAACATGGTGAAACCCCATCTCTACTAAAAATACAAAAAATTAGCCAGGCGTGGTGGTACACAACTGGTAGTCCCAGCTACTCGGGAGGCTGAGGCAGAAGAATCACTTGAACCTGGGAGACGGAGGTTGCAGTGAGCCGAGATCACACCACTGCACTCCAGCCTGGGTGACAGAATGAGACTCTGTCTCAACAACAACAAAAAATTAAAATAAATAAATAAAAGCAGCAAGAAGCCCAGGCAATGGAAACAGAAAATGAGAGGATGGAAGGAGGATGGGCAGGGCATGGTGGGGGGTGGGGTGGATGGGGATAAGGAGATGTCAGGGGAAGGTGGGTGGGTGGTGTGGGGGGATACTGAGTCTGACAGGCTGAGGGTAGGAAGACAGATGTGGGAGGGAAACTGTTGGCTGATTTAGATACTGTGAGGGTTAATTTGAGGTGTCAGCTTGACTCATACAGACTTGTGTTTGCATCCCAGCTCTGCCACTGTCACCAACTGTGTGGCCTCAGGCAAGTCATTTAACCTCTCTGGGCCTCAGTTCCCTCCCCTATAAAGTGGGAAAAAAAAATAAAGCCATTTCAGAAATGTGAGATTCAACCACCTTATATATCAGAACCACTTTGAATATAGTGATTGTCGAATGCTTGCTTTTTAAAATTTATTACTTTTATTAACTAGTGATACCTTTCCCCTATTACAAATAAAGACACTGAAGCTCAAGGTCAAATAACAGGCTAGAGTTGGCTGTGCTAGGCCTCAAATCACAGGAGAAGCAAGTTATGAGCAAATAAACCTGAGATGACTCAGAAAAGAGTCTTGATTTTAAAATATTGTTAAAGAAAAAGGGTATTTTATGACTTTTGCACAGTGTGCTTATTAAACCCACGCTATAAATGTGAACTAATAAGTAAAATGAGTTAAGTTAATGAAAAAAAAAACCTTCAGGATGAATCCATATTATCTAATGGCAGTCCATAAACATAAACATAAAATTTTAAAATACAACAATGAATTGCAATGCCCAGCAGTTCAAGGAATCTGCAATTTCTCTGTCTGAAAAATAAAAGCTATTGATTTTAGCTGGGTTCTCATTGCTCATGAGTGAGTCGTTGGGAAGTCATAAAGGAAGGAATTATTTCCAATTGTTTACTCACTAAGTATCATATGTATTGAATTTAAATTGTCTCCGATTCCTAATTAGTACAAACCAAATTAGAATCTGAGTACAGCAGCACTGGAAAGGCCCTTGGAGGCCTCCAAGCTCAGTTTTTCTTTGTTTTATAGACCAGGAAGCAGAGAGACAGAGAAGGGGAGTGACTTGCTCAAGATCACACAGCAACGGTAGGATCCAGGTGAGAAACAGGGCTCCTGCACACAGGTCAGCATCCTGCTTTGGTCCCCACAGTGTCCAGGATCAGGTTATTAAATCCAGTCCTAATGGGTGTGCTGTGCTGGTACCGGGGCCTCAGCCCAAGTGGTTCCTACAATAAGTAAGAACTTTCTCCCAGCTGCTGGGGAAAGGAATCTGCCCAAGAAAGGACACTCAAAGCCGAACACAGTCTAAGAGGGTGCAGGAGGGGACTGGTGGCAAAGTTTGCAGTGAGTTCTAAGACATGACAGCACATTGCCACGTATGGAGCACTTGAGCCCCGTGCCAACCTGGCTTGGCCTGGCAGCCCTGCCAGACAGGGGACACCTGGGCCTCATGTTCTGTTCTGAGAGGGACTGCAGGGTGGCACAGCCCCAGTCCTAGGTCAGTTCCTCCCGGTGTTCCAGGTGAGGCTGGGGAACAAAGTGCTCATTGTATGGTGGGGGAGGGAGAGGTCTCTAACTCAGCCAGGCTCTGTCAAACACACCCACATCACACGCACACAAACCCCCCCCCCCACCCCCTGCCCCAATGAGCAGAGACCAAGGAGCTCTGCATGTGGCACAGGCATGTGTGTATGTGTATAAATGTTCAGCCTCAGGCTGCACACGATTATCAAGCAGATGTTTAATTACTACCTGAGTGTAATTAATCAATACGATTAATACACAACCCATACCACATAATTACTTTGCAATTACACCAAAACGAAATATTTTATTGCCGAGGGTTTGCTAATTACCCGGCCTTGCCAAAGGACAGGTATAATGGGCAGCAATTTTTCTTCCTTCCTTTCCTTCCTTTCCTCCCTCCCCTGCCCTCTCATTAATCTTCTGGGCTGATGTCCCCACCACACAGAACCGGGAGGCCCAGAGGGCTGCGGCCTCCTCCCCGAGGTGCTGCTTCTGCACTCCGGTCAGTTTCCAAGTGAAGCCCTGGTCCTCTCCTCTCAGTGCTTCCTCTTGGAAATGCATGTCCACTCCAGAAATAAAGACAGGCTCCTGCAGGCCTGTGGATGGAGAGGTGCATGGGGCGGGGGTTACCAGCAGAAGCTCTGCAGGCAGCTGCCTGGAGTGGAATCCTGGCTCTACCAGTTATTGGCTGGGTAATCTCTGTCAAGGTAACTGTGCCTCAGTTTCCCCAAGTGTAAGACGGAGACGATGGCAGTTATCACCTGAGGGGATTCTTGTGAGTATTTAATACAGCAAAAGCCATAAAGCACAGTACCTGACACAGAGGAAGGCCTATATAGCAATTACAGTTATTATTGTCCCAGAAATGGCCCCTCCAGGAATGCTTCCAGTCATTCAGTCTCCCAGACTTATGGGCCTTCGAATTCCACTCTCTCTCCCTTCCCAAAACAACTCAGTCCCATCTACCTGGAAACATCTCCTCAATGAGGCCCCTCCCTTCTCCCCACCCACTCCATGGACTCTACGTCCCTAACCCAAGCTTTCATCCCCTCTCACCCAGTCCCCAGCTATAACCTCCACAGTCTCTCTGCTGCCCCTCCATTCCATCCTCCACCAGGCAGGAAGACAGATCTTCAGGAATGAAGCTTGGACCACGTCCCTCTCCTGCTCAAAAACCTTCTATAGCTCACCATTGCCTCTTCACCAAGGTCTAACTTCTCCACCTGCTGTTTTAGGCCCTGGAAGACTACCAATGCCCAAGTCCCTCCTTCATTTCTTAGGGCGTTAGTATAGCACGAACACTTGAGCTTTTGATGAAGCAGTGAGCAATTGATCACATGAATGGACGTTTTGGTAGATATTAGATGCGTCTGTGCCTTCCAAGTTGGAATGGCCAGGAGCATTTTTATAAGCTTGCATATTTCCCAAGAGTCTCCTGGGAGGTGAGGTTTATCTGTCACAGTTCATTTGCAGACCATCTTGGTTCCTTTCCCCTTCCCCTGACAAACATCCTCCCTGCATTTAGGAACAATTGATCCTTTTGGGCATAGTAACCCCCACGTCTGGCTGAGCAAAGAGACTATATAAGGACCCTCAGATGCAGGGCCAGTGGATGGTCCACTTGAGAGGCAAGAATCAGGGACAGGACAATAGACTCCAGCACAGGTGGCACACACTGGAGAGAGAGCCAAGGGGGGCACACACATGTGCATGTATGCATGGTATGTACATGTTTGCACAAAGAAGGCCCCTGAGGCCACTCCTGAGTGTGAATTAACTCAGAAGCCAACATATCAAGTAGCAACATGAGTCATTCATTCAGTCACTCAATAAACATAAGAGGCTGAGTTCTGGAGTCAGAGTGCTGGTGTTGGAGTCCTGTCTCTACTTCTGACCAGCTGTGTGACTTGGGGAAAATGCCTTAACTTCTCTGGGCCTCAATTCTTATTTGTAAAATGGGGATAATCAGAGTTCCTACTGATAGTGTTGTTACTACGTGTAACATTGCACATGTAACATTGCCATTGCCTCTTCACCAAGGCCTCTTTAATCAGGGCCTGGCACAAAAGAAGGGCCAATGTTAGCTATTTTGTTGTTGTTATAAACAAGAAGAATAAACCCTGGGAACACAGAAACTTGGTGCCTAGAGCTGAACATGGCATACAGTACTCGACCAATGGGTGGTGAAATCCCTGCAGAGACATTACAGTAGAAGGCAGTAAGTGATATTCATCATTCATTCATTCAGCCAGCAGACACTCATTAAGTGCCTACTGTATAACTCACTATGTCAGGCATTGGGGGAGGGCACAGAAATTCTGGCAATGTCTCTGCAGTGAGGCTGAGTTAGCGATGTGTTCCCAAATAGCTGAAAAGACAGAGGCTGGGGAGTGTTCTGAACCACTGTTGTATTCCCAGGGTCTGGAATGGCATGTCATACCTGGGCACTGAATGAATGGATAACAGCGCTGTTGAAGATGGAGAAAGTAGCACCTGGATGGGTGGCTTAGCTGCAATGGGTGTTGGAGATGAGGAAGAAAGGTGCTCTAAGCAGAGGACACAGCCAAGGCAACAGCGCAGGGCCTCCATTTGCACGGCAGGTGTAGAAAGCAGCAGGCGGGCTGTGCTTTGGCAGATGTATGAGAAGAGAGAGGAGGGAGGTAGACAGGGACCCAGCCGTTGGGGGGGGGAGGTGACAAGAGTACCTGGGCTAACAGAGACCCAGAGGAACTTCATGGCAGGGGCAACAGGGACCACTCTAGGTCCTGGGTTTTGTTTTTCCCCCTTGTCTGATGTTCAAACCTTGATCTTTGGAACTCTGAAGTCCACTCTCCAGAAGCTGATGGAGACATTTCCAGGGAGCATTGATCTATTTCTGTCTCCACGGATTTGTATAAAACCCCCTGTTCAGCCAGAGGCCAGACCACAAAGAAAGTACACAGGCCTTAGAGGGCAACCTCTGGGTGGTCAGGGGATGCCGGGCTAGCCCCGCTAGGAAGTGGGAAGTGTGACATCCAGGGAGCTGTAGGAAGGGGCAGGTGACGCCGGAAGCAGCTTCCACTCAGAGCCGGCCAGTCCCCAGAGATTCCCCGCTGGCCCACTGCTCAGGCTGTGTGTGATGAACGTGACCAAGGAGAGGAGCTTCCCTCTTCTCTCCACGCACTCACATCCCCACACACACGTGCAGCATGGCCAAGTCTGGGGTTGGATTAAAGCAGAAAGGTCAACAGGTTAATAACGCTGACCAAGAGGGAGGAAACCGTTGTTCTAGCCACAGCCCTGGGATGGTGTTGCTGTGTGTCCTGGAGCAGATCAAGTGCCCTCTCTGGGCTTCTACATTCTCCTTTCTGTAAGGAGACAGAGGTATTCCACCATCTTTAACCCTGGAGTGGAAGGCAGAGGGCTAAGTGCCCACAGATGGGTAAAGGTGAGGTGAGAAGGAATCTAGGGAGCCTGAGCCAGGGGAGTGAAATGACCTGTACCTGGGATAAGGCCAGCTGGCACCGACTGGGACAAGCGTCAGGGTCTCCTGCACCCCACTTCCTGGATAAGTGGGGCTGAATTTGAACCCTGGTCTCATCACTTACTATGTGACCTTAGATACCTTATGTGAACCTGAACCTCTGCCTTCTCATCTGTAAGATGGAGATATGTCTCATGTGCAGAGTTCAATGAGAAGATGCAAGGAGAAGGCCCATTGCTATTATCTGGGGCAGAGTAAGGCTCAGTAAGTGGAAACTATTATTATTATTACAATGATCATTCCATCCACATTGAAGGGTTTTTCTGGAAAAACCCAAGCCAGGCAGCTTATGCACCCCTCTGTGCCATCCTCCGGCCAGCAGGGACCTTGGGAAGTGCCTGGCCTTCACCCTTGTCCTCACTGGGATCATGCGAGTCCCTCCCAAACCCTGGCAGCCTCACCCTAAAGGAGAACTTTCCTGACCACACCCCAACCACACAAGGACACGGAATTGTCATCGGTTCTCTTGGCAAATGGTGGCAGGAGGGGTTCTAACCCCACCTGAAATGTGTCCTTTTTTCTAAGCAGAATGTATCTACATATCACTCGATATGTAGGAATAACAATAGGAATAAATCAGCCATGTCGGGGACAAGCACCCCTGGTGAAATTCCAGGACTTGGCGGGCCCTGGGGAGCAGGAGCGGCTTCAGCTGTGTTTCTCATTTCTGGAGGAAGGGAGCCGAGAACAATGGCCTTCTTCTCTGTTGGTCCTGGGGACAGGGGTTATTAGGGGTCACGTAGTCCATCTCTCACCCTTAAGGGAAGGCACTTGCTTGGGCCAGGCCAGTCAGGAGAGACCCCATCCTGGGACGGTCTCCCTATTTATGGGGAAAGCAACAAGTCGGATGCCCCCCACCCAACTGATGCTCATGGCCTACTGTGTGCTTGGCCAATGAGCTGTGGCATCTGATGTGTCCTCAAGCAAACCCTGTGGGCCCTATGTGGGAGGGGTCTTTAAACTGAGACCCAGGGAGGTCACTGATTCTGTGAAGTGGCAGAAGGGGCATCGCACCAAAGTCTGCCAGGTGCCATGGCCTGTGCTTTCCTCATCATCCTAGACTGAGGGCTTTCAGGGTGTGCAGGTGCTTTGGGTGCTGGGCCCTGGTCCCCTTTCCTGGACGGGACACCCATCCCAACTGCAGCAGTGCCACGGGCTGCAACCTTCTCCAGGGGAACTGCTGTTGGCTGTGAAGCCACCTTGCTCAGAGATCCCTGGGAGGCCACACCCCCATCTGCACCCCCAGGCCTAGCCCGTAGCCACTGACAGGCTGACATGGGGCTATAACAGTCCAGCCCCCTTGCCTCTGTTGGGGGCAATGTCTGAGAGGCCATTCATGCCCCAGAGACCAGGCTGAGGCTAGCCTGCTCTTAAACCTCACCCTTGCTTAGCTACTTCTTCTGCCTTCTGCTTCCCTTGCTGGTTTGCAGAGCTCTCCTGAGAATCCTCCTTCACTAGTTCACCTGGATAACCATCCTCACTCAGGTCCTGCTTTTAGGGACCCCCACCTAAAACACAGGGAGCTCACAAAGGAGACAGACACAGTCCCTCCTGGCACGGGACTCAACGCCCAACAGGAGTCAAACCTGAGACAGGAATCAACAAAGATCACTTTGACTGTCACCACTGCCCCCCTGCCCCCTGCTGCCACCCGTAGCCTCTAATGTAAGAGCTTACCACAAGCAGGTGCTGCACAATGCACTTTCCCTCCTGATCTCAAAACCAACAACCCAGCTAAGAGATGTGTTCTCCCATTTTAAAGATGAAGAAATGGAGGCTCAGAGAGAGAATTTGCCCAAGGTCACTTGCAACGCCTACATGGCTGCACTTGGACTTGAACTCAGTTCTGCCTGACTGCTGGGCCCCAGCACCTGCCTCCTGATCACCAAAGGGACCTGAGTACAGCTGAAGAGACAGGGCCAGGGGGGTGGGGGGAGCCCCACGGTTAGAGACCTCCCCTAGGCAAAGCTCACTGCTGTCTTCCTTTGTCACCTTGTGCCACTCATGGGCCATGTGGCGTCAAGAGAACCACAGACTCCAGGAGGCAGCTCCGAAGAAAGAGGGGGAATGGGGGTACCCCAATGATTGCTTCCCTGGGTGCCGCTGGCCTCTTCCCACATCATGAGTCTGGTGCTCTCTCTTTCTCTCAATTGAGTCCTGTTGACACTGGCTCCCTTCCCCCGCCCCCTCCTCACTCCCAATTCCTGTTATGTTGCAGACTTTGCAGCTCAGCCAGGCGAGTAACAGGCAGAGAATGGGAATTTTACCTGTTAATTTGGTTTCTGAGCCCCTGCTGCTTGCCAAGCCTGAACAGCTCTGAAGAGAGGGAAAGAAGTAGAGAGACAGCAAACAGCAAATGCAGCATCAGTGGTCGCTAAGGGCGCACTCCTTGGGGGAAGGCAGCTCAGTGGAGCCAGCAGAGCCAGCCTCCCTGGCTCCAAGAGCAGGAAGGGGCCTGGTTCCTAGGGTACCAGCCATCTGCTCACTTTGCCCCATCTTTGGTGCGCAAAGGACTGAACGCCTCGAAGAGCCAAATGGATCAGGGCAGGGGCAAGGTCAGCCAGGCACAGGAGACCCCTGCCCCTCATCCTCCTTTCCCACAACCTGTCAGCCTTCCCTAACACAGCCTCTTCAAAAGGTACTTTGAGGCTGGGTGCAGTGGCTCATCTCTGTAATCCCAGCACTTTGGGAAGCTGAGATGGGCAAATGACCTGAGGTCAGGAGTTAAAGACTAGCCTGGCCAACATGGTGAAACCCCTATCTCTACTAAAAATACTAAAAATTAGCCAGCCACAGTGGCATGTACCTGTAGTCCGAGCTACTTGGGAGGCTGAGGCAGGAAAATTGCTTGAACCCAGGAGGCAGAGGTTGCAGTGAGCTGAGATCACGCCATTGCACTCCAGCCTGGGCAACACAGTGAAACTCCATTGGGAAAAAAAAAAAAGCAACAAAAGTTACTTTGAGCCCTCACTATCCTGGGCACTTCATTTAATCTTCAAACCCCTTCCCATCCTCCCTTCATTATGAGACAGCTATTGTTATTATCTCCATTCTGCAGGTGTAGAAGTTCAAAGTGATACTCTGTTCTCAAAAAGTTCAACCTGGAGGTACCATACAACCCAGCAACCATTCCCAAGTCTACACTCAAGAGGACTGAAGTCAGGGAGTCAAACAAATACTGGTACACAAATGTTTATAGCAGCATTATTTATAGTATCCAAAAGGCCCATCAACAGATGAATGGATAAGCAGATGAATGTGGTATATCCATGAAATGGAATAGTATTCAGCCATGAAAAGTAATGAAGTTCTGATAAGTGCTACAATGTGGATGAACCTCCCAAACATTATGCAAAGTGAATTGCACACTTTAAGATGGCTAATTTTATGTTATGTAAATTTTGCCTCAATTTTCTTAAAGAAGAGGTGATGTAACTCACAGGAGGTCAATGAGCTCATAAGTGAGGGAGCCAGGTTCACACTTGTGGCTTTCTGAGCCCAGGGCCTGTACCCTTGGCCACTGTCCTGTGCTTGTCCACCTCCAGGCCTTTGCCTCTGCTTGCTGCCCCCACCAGGAAAGCCCTTCCTTCCCATTTCTGTTGTCAAAATCCTTCCCATCCTTCTAGAGCCTTGGCTAAAAGCCACTCCATCCCTGAAGCCTTCCTGGATTTCCTGGAAGTTCTCTTTGGCTTGGAGCCACACAGCCCTGCGTCTCTCCCTCTCCCACAGCAAGCGGCTCCTCTGCTTCCTGCTGAAGTTAGTGCTTCGCGAATCTTCCCACCAGCCTGAGGGAATACCACAGGCACAGGGCCCTTCCGAGAGTTAAACACTATGAATGCCCCTGGAGTTCTCCGCTCTGTGCATGGCATATAGTAGGCATTCAATAGATGATGGTTTTTAATAGGCTGGGTTCATTCCTGAAGAGCGGGGACCTGCCACTCCCAGGCACAAGTCCTGTGTTCAGCAGGATTCCTCAAATGGCTGCAAAGTAGAAGGTGGAGAAGAACTTCCCTGACAAAGGGGCACCTTCCTACCTGGAGAGGCTGTATTTCCCCTGGGCAGGAAACCTATCTTAGTTCACAGTTTATGTTATAATAAATGCAACTCCACTTCCTCTCAGCTAGGGTTGGCCCCAGCACAGGTGCACACAGACATAGACACATAGACACACACACAAACACACACACACAGACAGCCTCTTGGAAGAGCCCAGCCCAGAGCAGACTGTTTCTGTTAAATATTCGGGCCTCCTTAGACTTGACGTTTGTCGAGTGTTCTGATCCCTGAGGTGTCCCCATGACCAGGTTTCACAGGTCAGGGGAATCAGAAGCTCTGGCCTCAGGGGAGGCAGGCCCCTGCCAAGCGCCCTCCCCCATCACTGCACAGGCCTGCGCCCAACACTCCGCAAGAAGGTACAGCCACGTTCATTAAACAGATATTCATTAAACATCAGAGGTGTATGTTGAGGCGGTGGGAATGGAGTGTGAGCAGGAAGATCTCTTGGCTACAAGCCGGAATGCTAGAGTCACACAAAGCTGGTCTGGTTCGGATTCTGCCACTTCCTGGCTCTGTGAAATGCTGGACAAGTCATTTTACCCCTCTGAGCCTCAATGTCCTCACCTATAAGATGGGAATAATGAGACCCACCGCTCATAGGGCTGTTGCATAGAAGAAAAGAGATGCCACCTGCAAAGTACTCGGCACAGTGCCTGGCACACAGTAAAGAAAGGTTCCATCAGCATGGCCATTATTGTCATTTTTATTCTCCCCATCTTACAGATGCAATAACAGTGGCCCAGGAGGGGAAGCAGGAGTCTGGGAGAGTCATAAGGTCCCCAAGCTGATGCTTTGCTCTCCACTGGAAGTCCATTTTTCCCTGCTGCCTTGGGAAATGCCGTAGGTCTGGCATTGGCGATGGCTCACCCTACCAGGTGGAAATAGCACAGGTGGTGCCTACCCACCCACTTCCATGTCAACTGTGTGCCCTGGAGAGTGTCAAGGAGACGGCACAGAGGGCAGACAGAACACAGGTCTGGGATCTGGGATCAGGCAACAGGCTCACCCATTTCTAGGCCAGGTAGCCTTGGATAAGTCCCAGCTTCAGGCTTCTGTCCATGCAGTTCTCTTGGTCTGGAATGTCATTCCTCTCTTTGCCCACCTGATGAACTCCTATTCATCCTTCAAGACCCAGTTCACATGTTGCCTCCTATGTGAAGGCTCCCATCTATCCCATGGCAAAGTGGCCACTATTGTGCTGTGCTCCCATTGTGTTTTCTTCATCTCTACAAGCTCCGTGAGGGCAGGGAGTGCTTCTGGTGTATTCCCTGCAGGGCCCTCATCAACAAGCCTGGTATATACACACCATGTCAAAACTCAGTGAGGTACTCATGTGCCAGATACTGTGCTAAGCACTTTGCACGCAGTATCACCTTTCATCGATGCAACAGCTCTATAAGTTGTAGGTCTCATTAAATCCATCTTACAGATGAGGACACTGAGGCTCAGAGGGGCAAATCATGAATAAGCCTCTATGATTTCACCCCATATTGAATGTTGACTTGTATGTCTTACTCATTCGACTTTGAATGCCCAAATGCAGGACTAAATTCCACTGTGTCCCCCTGCTCTGGGTGAGTCTTCAGTAAAAGTCTATGGGACATTACCTCTCTAATAACTGTTGCCTGCCTACCTCACTGGCTTAAACTAATGATGGAATAAGACAGTCATCAGGGAAGCACTTCATAAACTAAAAGAATTACATACATCTAAAGTATTGGCATTGAGGATAATTCCAAACACCACATTCCAATCCTTTTGATACCCCTTTGGAGCCTCCTTTGAATCTGCAATGGTGATGATGACTCCTGCCTCAATGAGTGGTGATGAGCACCAGGCAAGGTGAGGTAGATGGACCAGGCCTGGTGCAAATGAAGTTCTCAATAAACATTCATTTTCTTTCTTCTCAAATGATTCCTGGGCACCATAAGAAAGTAAGAAAGCAAAACACAGACTGGGAAAAGTATTTGCAACACTTATCTACAAGAAAAGACTTATATCCGAAATATATAAAGAACTCCTACAAATCCATAAGAAAAAAAGAGAAAACAACCCAGTTTAAAATTGTGCCAAAGACTTAGGCACTTTCCAAAAGAAGCAATCCAAATAGCTGATAAGCATATAGAAAGGTGCTCAGCATCTTACTACCAGGGAAATGCAAATTAAAAGGCACAATGAGGTATCACTACAGACCCACCAGTTAGCTAAAACTGGGCAGATGATGCCAAGTGTGGATGAGGAGGTAGGGCAACTAGAACTGTTCCACACTGCTAGCAGGACTGTCCTATGACATGCCCACTCTATTTGACAGCATCTATTAAAGCTAAACACAAGACACAGCATTTCAACTCCCAGTTATACACCCAAGAGAAATGCCTGCCTAGACCCACTAAAAGACATGGACTAGATTATTAGTTGCATCTTTAATCATAAGCACCAAAAAAAAAAGGAAACGATCCAATGTCCATCCACAGAAAAAATGATAAGTTGTCATATATTCCTGTTGCGGGGAGTCAGGGACCCCAAACAGAGGGACCGGCTGAAGCCATGACAGAAGAATGTGGATTATGAAGATTTTATGGACATTTATTAGTTCCCCAAATTAATACTTTTGTAATTTCTTATGCCTGTCTTTACTGCAATCTCTAAACATAAATTGTAAAGATTTCATGGACACTTATCACTTCCCCAATCAATACCCTTGTGATTTCCTATGCCTGTCTTTGCTTTAATCTCTTAATCCTGTCAGCTGAGAAGGATGTATAACGTCTCAGGACCCTGTAATAATTGCGTTAACTACATAAATTCTACAGCATGTGTGTTTGAGCAATATGAAACGTGGGCACCCTGAAAAAAGAACAGGATAACAGCAATTGTTCAGGGAATAAGAGAGATAACCTTAAACTCTGACTGCTGGTGAGCTGGGCAGAACAGAGCCATATTTCTCTTCTTTCAAAAGCAAATGGGAGAAATATCGCTGAATTCTTTTTCTCAGCATGGGGAACGTCCCTGAGAAAGAGAATGCGCACCTAGGGGTAGGTCTCTGAACTGGCCCCCCCGGCGTGTACCTGTCTCTTATGGTGGAGATTGCAGAGGCGAAATAAACTCCAGTCTCCCATAGAGCTCCCAGGCTTATTAGGAAGAGGGAATTCCTGCCTAATAAATTTTGGTCAGACCGGTTGATCTCAAAACCCTGTCTTCTGATAAGATGGTATCAATGACAATGGTGCCCGAAACTTCATTAGCAATTTTAATTTCGCCTCATTCCTGTGGTCTTGTGATCTCGCCCTGCCTCCACTTGCCTTGTGATATTCTATTACCCTGTTAAATACTTGATGTCTGTGACCCACACCTATTTGTATACTCCCTTCCCTTTTGAAACTCCCTAATAAAAACTTGCTGGTTTTTGTGGCTTGTGGGGCATCACGGATCCCACCAATATGTGATGTCTCCCCCGGATGCCCAGCTTTAAAATTTCCCTCTTTTGTACTCTGTCCCTTTATTTCTCAAGCCAGCCGATGCTTAGGAAAATAGGAAAGAACCTATGTGATTATTGGGGCAGGTCCCCCCATATATTCCTACAATGGAATATTACATAGAAATACAGAAGAACAAACTACTGCTATATGCTATATTAGATATATATGGAAGGATCATAAAATCATGTTGAGCTAAAGAAGGCAGAGTCAGAGGAATGCACACTGTATGATTCCATTTATATAAAGTTCAAGAATAGGCACAATTGCTTGAAGGTGATAGAAGCCAGAATGGTAGTCACCTGGTTGGGGGAAGGGTGGGGGAAGGGGGAGGGAAAAGGGAAGCACTGATTGGGATGGGGCATAGGAGAGCCTTCTGGGCTGGAGGGATGGGAACATTCTATACTTTAATCTGGATGATGGTAACTTGGTGCATAAAAATTCTTGAGCTGCACACTGAAGATTTATACATTTTACTGTTTATATGTGATTCCTAAATGGAATTTTAGGATGATGGATTGAATCATGCCATTGCTAAGGCCTACCAGCTCTATCATTTTATAATTCTCAGAGCCTGGAGAATGACTCTCAGGTTCTAATGCTGGAATTCAAGGACTTCATGCTCAGTTTCTTCTTTCTCTTCCCTTTCACTGCCCCTGGCTTGCCTAGGAGGCCCTCTCTCGCTTATTATCCCTCCCTGACTTCATGGAAGTCAATCAGCCATTCTTGGCCTCATCATCCCATCTGCACAAAGTGGGTCATGCTGCCTGGACTCTGCTCCAAAAGAGAAATACACGGTCATGCATAGAAAATGCTCTGTGCATCACAGAGCAAAAATGTTAAATGCATTCCCAGAATTGCTAGCAGATGTATCTTTACATGGGGTCAAACACGTTCAGGCAGAATTGCAGTTACTACAGTGAGCGTGTGGCTTAAAAATCCCACTTGGTCCATGTGTGTTTCTTTGGCATGAAGGGACCTAATAGTGGCCATGAAGCAAAAGTCATGGGCAAGGGGCAGCCACGGTTGGACCTGAGGAGGCCTGCTTGCTGGCATGGTTCCTCATCCTTGAAGGAGACTGAGGCTGTGCCCACCTTGGGGCTTCTGCCAGCCTCTCAAAGGAAGGACCACTAGAGCTGGAGTCTGAGGATCTGGGTTCAAGGGCTGCTTTTGCCCTGATGTGTTATGTGACGCTAACAACCTGTTTCCCACCTCTGGGGCTCAGTTTCCCCGCTGCACAATGAAAAGGTGGGCTAGATCAGATTTAGAGATCCTTCCAATCATAACTGTTGATGAGCTTACAGACGGCTCACCTCTTAAAATTTAAATCATAGCATGTCCCTTCCTGTTTAAAGCCTTATCTATGACTTCATATTAGACTTAGAAGAAAAGACTAAACTTATCATTTGGACCTGATGGTGGGGTCACTGCCAACCTCTGCTGGAACCACTGCCCCATCTCTCACTGGGCCCCAGCCATATTGCTCTTCTCTCTACCCATGAACAACCCAAATCTATTCCTGTCCCAGGGCCTTTGCACATACTTCCCTCTCAGATGGAACCCTCCTCTTCCTAGCTCTGCGTGGTCAGCTTCACCTGCTTTAGGGCACCAGCCCAAGGGTCCCCTCCATAAAGGCCTTTCCTGACTACTGTAAGTAAGGCAGCCTTTCTTATTTTAAAAAAATATTTTCCCACCTTCATACTACTTATTACAACATGCAGTCTTTTTTTTTTTTTAGATGGAATTTCGTGCTCTTGCCCAGGCTGGAGTGCAGTGGTGCAATCTCAGCTCACTGCAGTCTCTGTCTCCTGGGTTCAAGTGATTTTCCCGCCTCAGCCTCCCGATAGCTTGGATTACAGGCACCCATCACCACTCTCGGCTAATTTTGTATTTTTAATAGAGATGGGGGTTTCACCATGTTGGCCAGGCTGGTCTTGAACTCCTGACCTCAAGTGATCCACCTGCCTCAGCTTCCCAAAGTGCTGGGATTAAAGGCATGAGCCACCACGCCTGGCCACATGCAGTCATTTGATGAATTCCTGGCTACCTTGTTTTCTGTCCACCTCCTATGCTGGAGTATTAAGCTCCATGTAGGCAGCCACTGTGTCTGTCACCACCAAACCCTCCGGCACATACGCAGTAGACACTCAATAAATCTTTGTGTATCTTTAATCCTGCCAGGCAATACTCCAGGGCTCCTGCTGCCCTGGGGGGTGCTGATGCAAGAGTTCCCCAAGGGATGAAAATGCTCAAGTATTGAGGTCCCAGCAGGTACTGTGATGATACCAGGCTCTTTGCATCCTTGTGTCATTTAATTCTCACTGCGCCCTTGGAGACAAGGAGGAAACTGAGGCTAAGAATAGTACAGTTGTACCCATGGTCATATAGCAGTAACCAGGAGCCCTGAGCTTGGAGGATGATGGCCCCGTGCCACCTGCTGGCTATGGAAAACAGGGATGTGATTCAATCTCTCTAGATGGTGCTTTTCTGTCTGCAAAGTGAGGTTAAGGTTTCCTGCCTGAAATGCAAGCTGTGTCATGATCAAGCAGGATAATGAACGTGGTGTGTTTTGCGCACCATCAAGCAGCATGCCGCTGCGTTTCTGTTGAAACAGAAACAGAGTCTGGGGCTTGCTTTGCCCATGGGAATCTGTGCCTCACCTCTCTGGGAGGCAGCCTGGGGCTGGAATCCTGCTCCATCCCAGCTGTGAGCTGGGCACCCTCAGACACTGATGCTACTTCACTGCTTTGAACTTCAGTTTTCTCATTTCCAAAATGAGAAGAATAATTACCTCACCTTAGGGCTATTAGGAGTATTAAGCAAGATCACCTGCCAAAACAGCTTTATCC
Organism: Homo sapiens; assembly: GCF_000001405.40. NCBI lineage: Eukaryota > Metazoa > Chordata > Mammalia > Primates > Hominidae > Homo > Homo sapiens. The sequence goes on along the minus strand of NC_000011.10, from coordinate 44,840,401 downwards.
TTTACAAAGTGCTGTGAAAATGTTGCTTCCTCTTTTGATGTCTTATGACATCTAGTTATTATATCAACTCTCCCCAATGAGGGAGAGAGGCCAGCGGAAATGGGCAAAGACCCTCAAGGCTGCCTCCCCCACTCCCTGGCTGGTGAAAACAGGCCAGGCACTGTGCCATGCCCTCGCCAAACAGTCTCCTTAAGTGCTCAGCAGTTGGTCATGCATGATCAGCCCCTTTTCATAGATTCACAAACTGAGCCCTCAAACAACATTGCTCAAGGTTCCCTGGCCTCAGGAGTTTTCTCTCTGTGGAGGACTTGGCCGAGGCAGCACATTGGTTTTGCGCAGAGCAAAGCCCAGGTTGACTTAGGATGATGCTCACTCCTGACGTAGCCATGAGTTCTGGGGAGGTCCTTGGCCATGGGTCCCATCACAATCCTGTGAGGGACTGAGGACAGCCACCCACCCTGGGTGTGGCATCTAGGATTATTTCTGCAGAACAAGCCATGTGCTTGGGAGGACTGGGCCCCAGGAGAGCCATCCTGGGGAGCACCGGGGAATCAACAAGTCACGCTCACCTCTGCCTCCCTAGGCCTACAGCCACTGGCCTTCTCTGTCCTCTGGTTGCCCCCTGGTCCCTAAATGGGCCCTGAGCTTCTGCCCCACAACACTTACCTCCCTCCCCGCTTGCATGCTCAGTTCAGTGATGGTGCCTGTCTTAACTCCAGGAAGCAATTAGCCAAGATTAGAGGGGCAGAGAGAAGGCAGGTGGTGGTGGTGTTGGAGCAGTTGGTAGAGGAACCCCTGGGGCAGACAGGGGGAGGGCAGGAGAGACAGAGGTGGGCTAGATAAGAGGGAAAGAATGGCAGAGGAGTTTGCATCCCGAGAAGCTGTTGCAGGTGGGACAGAGGAAGACAGGAGGATATACTTTCTTTCCTTGTGGGAAGGAAAGTGATGAATGCAGAGATCCAAGGAAAAGGGAAAAGAGCCCGAGGGAGAAGCTCATTAGGGAAAAACAGACAGACACATGCTCATTTATTTGGCCTAATCCCAGGAGTGTCTGAGAAATGGTTTCTCTTTTTGCAGGAGGCAAGGGAGACAGCCTGAGCAGACAGAGGACAGACTGGGGAGCCGGGGGGCCCAGAGTCCAAGCCCCTGACCCCTTCCACTGCATCAAGGTGAAATGAACAGAAACGTATTTGCATGTCCACCAAAATGTTCAGAGAGATGTACAGTCTGAAAACTGTAGGGTAAACAGTCGGGTTGGAAACTCAGGCAGGAGCTGATGCTATAGGCTTGAGACAGAATTCCTTGTTTTGTGGGAAACCCCCATTTTTGCTCTTCCTGCCTTCCAACGGATTGGATAAGGCCCTCCTACATACCTAAAGTCAACTGACTGTAGATGTTAGCCACATTGACAAAAGACCTCTCTAGCAATACCTAGATGAGGATTTGATTAAATAGCTGGGTACTCTAGGTAGTCAAGTTGACACATAAAATTAAATGATCACACCACCTAAAAGGGTCTCCTTTGGCTGCTGCAATGAATGACCACAAAGTTAGTGGCTAAAAACAACACAAATGTATTATTTTGTTAATTATTCTAGAAGTCCTTTTAAATGGTACACAGTGTCTGCAGAGTCACGTTCCTTTTGGAGGCTCCAGGGGAGAAACTTTTCCTTGCCTTTTCTAGATTCTAGAGGTTGCCATCTTCCTTGACTCATGGGTCTTTCCTTCTTCAGAGCCAGCAGCGGCCAGTCCAGTCTTTCACAGGTGGCGTCACTCCCACACTCCTCTTCTGAAGTCAAACTTCCCTTTGCCGCTTGTAAGGACCCGTGTGATTTGATTGGCTGCACCTTGACATTCCAGGACAACCTCCCCACCTCAAAAACATTAACTCAATCACATCTACAAAGTTCCTTTAGCCATGTGATATGGTTTGGCTGTGTCCCCACCCAAATCTCATCTTGAATTTTAGCTCCCATAATTCCCATGTGTCATGGGAGGAACCGGGTGGGAGATAATTGAATCATGGGGGTGGGTCTTTCCCGTGCTGTTCTCATTATAGTGATTAAGTCTCATGAGATCTGATTTATAAAGGGGAGTTCCTTTACACAAGCTCCCTTGCCTGCTGCCATGTAAGACATGCCTTGCTTTCCCTTTGCCTTCTGCCATGATTGTGAGGCCTCCCCAGCCATGTGGAACTGTGAGTCAATTAAACTTCTTTCCTCTATAAATTACCCAGTCTCGGGCATATCTTTATTAGCAGCTTGAGAATAGACTAATATGCCATGTAAGAAAATGTATTTACAGGTTCCAGCGATTGGGACATGGACATCTTTGTAAGGGATGTGGGGGCATTATTCTTGTACCCCACCACCCAAATCTCATCAATATTTGGGTGGATACAAGCATATCTCAGTGATATTCAGGTTCAGTTCTAGCTCATCCCAATAAAGCAAATATCACAATAAAATGAGTCACACAAATTTTGTGGTTTCCCACTGAAAGTAAAAGTTATGTGTACACCATACTGTTATTAAGTGTGCAATAGCATTGTTTAAAAAAAATGTAAATACCTTAACTTAAAAACACTTCATTGCTAAAAAATGCTAAATATCGTCTGAGCCTTCAGCAAGTAGTAATGTTTTTGCTGGTGGATGGTCTTGCCTCCATGTTGATGGCTGCTGACTGATCAGGGCAGTGGTTGCTGAAGGTCATAATGGCTGTGGCAATTTCTGAAAATAAGATGGTGAAGTTTGCCACACCGATCAACTCTGGTTTTCACAAAAGATTTCTCTGTAGCATATCATGCTGTTTGATAGGATTTCACCCACAGTAAAACTCCTTTCAAAATTGGAGTCCATCCTTTGAAACCCTGCCACTGCTTTAGCAACTAAGTTCATGTAATATTCTAAATCCTCTGTTGTTATTTTAACAATGTTTAAAGCAACTTTACCAGGAGTAGTTTCCATCTCTTTGCTTATCCATAGGAAGTAACTCCTCATCCACTAAGGCTTTATCATGAGATTGCGGCAATTCAGTCACAGCCTCAGCCTCCATTTCTAATTCTAGGTCCCTTGCCATTTCTACCACATCTGCAGTTACTTCCTCCACTGAAGTGAACTCCCCGAAGTCACTCATAAGGGTTGAGAATCAACTTCTTCTAAACTCCTGTTCATGTTGCTGTTTTGACTTCCTCTCAAGAATCATGAATGTTTTTAATGGCATCTGGAATGGTGAATCCTTTCCAGTAAGTTTTCAATATACTTTGCCCAGATCCATCAGAGGAATCACTATCTATGGCTGCTATAGCCTTACAAAATCTATTTCTTAAATAAGAAGACTTGAAAGTTGAAATGACTTCTTGATCCATGGGCTGCAGAATAGATGTGTCTTAGCAGGCAGGAAAACAACATGAATCTCCCTGTACATCTCCATCAGAGCTCTTGGATGACCACGTGCACTGTCAATGAGTAGTCATATTTTGAAAAGGAATCTTTTTTTCTGAGCAGTGGGTCTCAATAATGGGCTTAAAATATTCAGTAAACCATGCTGTAAACAGACGTGCTGTCATCCAGGCTTTGTTCTTCCATTTACAGAGCACAAGCAGAGTGGATTTAGCCTCATTCTTAAGGGTCTTAGAATTTTCAAAATGGTAAATGAGCACTGGCATCAGCTTAATGTTACCAATTGCATTAGCCCCTAACAAGAGTGTCAGCCTGTCCTTTGAAGCCTTGAAGCCAGACATTGACTTCTCTCTAGCTATGAAAGTCCTAGATGGTATCTTCTTCCAGTAGAAGGCTGTTTCATCTACATTGAAAATCTGTTGTTTTGTATCGCCGCCACCTGCATCCATGATCTTAGCTAGATCTTCTAGATAACTTGCTGCAGCTTCTCCATCAGCACTTCCTGCCTCACCGTGGGCTTTTATGTTATGGAAACAGCTTCTTTCCTTAAACCTCATGAACCAGCCTTGGCTAGCTCCCAATTTTCTTCTGCAGCTTCCTCACCTCTCTCAGCCTTCACAGAATTGAAGAGAGTTAGGACCTTTCTCTGGATTAGGCTTTGGCTTACGAGAATTTTGTGGCTGGTTTAATCTTCTATCCAGACAACTAAAACTTTCTCCATATCAGCATCTGTGTGTTCACTGGAGTAGCACTTTTAATTTCCTTCAAGAACTTGGCATTCACAACTTAGTTAACTAGTGCAAGAAGCCTAGCTTTCGGCCTGTCTCATTTTTCAGCATGCCTTCCTTATGAAGTTTAATCATTTCTAGCTTTTGATTTAAAATGAGAGATATGCGACTCCTCCTTTCACTTGAGCACTTAGAGGCCCTTGTAGGGTTATTCATTGGCCTCATTTCAATATTGTTATGTAGTTGGAAATAGGAAGGCCCAAGGAGAGGGAGAGAGACAGGGGAATGGCCGGTGGGTTCAGCAGTCAGAACACATATAGCATTTATTAATTAAATCCACCATCATATAAGGGTGCAGCTTGTGATGTCCCCAAACAATTACAACAGTAACATCAAAGATCAGTGATCACAGATCACAACAACAGACATATTAATAATGAAAAGTTTGAACATTACCAAAATGCAACAGAGATAGGAAGTGAGCACATGCTGTTGGAAAAATGGTGCTGATAGATTTGCTCTATGCACAGTTGCCACAAAGCTTCCATTTGCAAAAATAAACAAAAACACAATAAACTGAAGTGCAATAAAACCAGGTATGCCTGTAACATTTTGCTACCACCGCCCCCTATCCCCCCGCCCCCCACAGTAAAATACAATGTGTTTGTGAGAAGAGACAAGTTGGGGAGGGGCTTGATCCAAGCTGGGTTGCAGATCGCTGTCTCAGCAAAATCAGGTCTGGTCCAGTAATGCCTCACCCAAGCCTTCCTCCTTCCCTGGGAGCAGTCCAAACTCTCAGGGAAGGCAGGAGAAGGATTCTCAGGAAATACGAAGAAGATCTCAGCTTGAAATTCCAAAGAACTATGTATGACATTAGGAGATCTAAGCCTGTCTGAGAAGGGACTTACTAACTCCAGTCCCTATATGGATATGCTGTGCCTCTGCAGGTTCATGTCCTAACCTTTCTGTGATTCTCATTTGCATGAATTGTCCAGTGACTGACCCAGGACCATGTACTGAACACTCGCTGTATGCTAGGCTGGGGGCTGCCCATACTCCAGCAGTGCTGTCGGGGACCCTCCCCACGGCCCCCTTTTCTGTGTGTTTCTTCCTTAGAGGCCTGCCCAAGCCATTCTCATGGGAGGATGACCTTTGAGCTGCCGGAGCCCCCTGCTCCCGTGTGCAGGCAGCCAGAGGTGCCCGGAAGATTCCATCCCTCCCCCACCCTCAGGGTGGCCCTTAGCCAATGTCTGAGGGTGTGGAGGATGAAAGCTCAGTTCTCTCCTCTCAAGTTAACAGAAACTTACAGGTTTCCCTGTGGGATCAGCAAGAGCAGCCCTCTGCAGGGCCTAACCTCGCCCCCTTGCTTTCCTCCCCTTCCCTGTCCTGTTCCCTCAACCCCCTTAGGCTTCTTCTGGGAAATCATCCTTAATATATCTTCTGTTCACAAATGCTTGCCTTGGTGTCTACTTCTAGGGCATCTGACAACCATGCAAATATTATCCCATTTAACAACAGTGCTTTGAGGTGAGTGTTGTGATTATTCTCATTTTTCAGATAAAGACATCGAGGTCAGAGAAGTTTAGCAACATGACCAGGTTACAGCTGAGCAGGATCTGAACCCACATCAGCCTGGTGCTGAGCCTGCCTGCCTAACCCCCTCTCTCTATGACTTCCCCAACTCCCTAGAGAAGTGAGAAAATGGAAGAAAGGGTGCTGGGGAAATGCATTTAGCAAAGGACAATGGTGAAAACTCCTTGTGAGGCCTTGGGTTTCATCAAAGTGGAAAAAAAAATAGATTCATCATTTGCCAACTTCACAACCCAGGCACACACAGTGTGCTCTGAAACCCAACCACTCAGTCCTCTCCCTGGGGCTGTTTCTTCCTCCCTAGAAAGAACCCGTGTGGCTCTCTCCTTTTGGAGCCAACAAAAAGCCCCAGCTTAGGCAGCGATTTGTTTTCTAAGCAGAGGAGAGAGGCTCCAGGGGCCGAAAGGAACTGGCAGGTCTTTTTGCCAGAGGTGCCCGAGGTGCAGGCTGGAAAGAAGCTAATAACTCACTGTTCTGTGTCCCAAGCCCCCCACCTCGCCTCCATCTCCCTGAGGGTCCATTTGAAAGGAAAAAAAAAGAATCCTAAAAAGCCCCTTCTTTGCTCCTGGCCTCAGCAATCTCGTGGTTCCTGCCTGGGTTTAAGCCTTGGAAACAAAAGCTGATCGCTGGGACTGCTTGTAGCTGGGCAGTGAGCAGCAGTAATTAATTATCTAGGAAGCCGCCATTATAAATTCCTTTTCAAAGGGAAGCCACACCCAAGTGTTATTTACCTGCCCAGCAGGCTCTCTTTGGGCAGGCAGGTTATGGACAAAGCAGATTCCTCTACTGGGTGGGGGTGAGCATCTAATTGCAAGTGATTAGATGGGGAGGGTGTCTTTATCCCCAGCAAGTCCCAGATCCCAGAGACCCACCAGGTGACTTTTAAGAAAGAAGAATCAAGGCCCAGGTGGGGTGTCTATCAGACCTGGTGTCTACATACAGGCTGCAGTTGCCGGCATCTTCTCTGCTCGGTGGGGTGACCTGCCTGCTCCTGGGTCCCTCTCCCCTGCCCAGCCATCATTCTGGGTTAACAGTGATCCATAGTGACATTTAGCCACCGCAGATGGACTTTTTGAGATAAAATTATGTCATTCATCCTTATAAGCCTTTTCGAGCACAGAAGATAAAAATCATTCAAATAACGATTCTAAGCAGGGAAAAGTGCTTATTAATGAAGTCATTTGGTGATAACAGGAAGGAGGAATGAAGCCTGGAAATCCAGGGAGGGCTTCCTGGAGGAGGTGGAAGGTAAAGCTCTTGCAAACAAGGCAACTAGAGTCAAATGAGAAATAATTACCTAAGAGTCACCATTTGCTGCACCATTTGCTCAGAGGTAGGGGCTTTGTCTCTGATCATTAAACCAACCCAAGAAGGCAATTTTATTATTCCTCTTTACAGATGAAGGAATGGGGCTCAGAGAGGTTAAGCTACTTGCCCAAGGTTACTAAGCCGATAGGAAGGAAAGCTAGCATTTGAACCCAGGTTCACGTGTCCATCCAGGATCCTGCCCTGTCCATTGTGTCCAGGACAGCCAGGCACCGAGATAAATGATAAGGGGCAGACCACAGGCTTTGGAGCCCAGAGTGAGGAGACAGTGTTTCTATGGAGCAGTGAAGGGAGGGCTCCTGGAGGAGGTGTCTTCAAACATGGAAGCTTTAAGCAGGCAGAGAAGGGAAGAAGGGCATTCCCAGGAGAGGACAGCGTGTGGGCAAAGGCACAGAGAAGGAGTGTAGCCTTATTTGATAGACATCCAGGGAGCATTGTTGGCAAGTAAAGTCCCAAAGATATCCTAGATATTCAGACCAAGCCACTCAAGAAGGAGACCAGCAGTGGAGAGCCACCGAGGTTTCCCTGGATAAGTGAACCTGGATAAGTGAAGTCAGTGGGTGGTGAGGCTGTCGTCTGAACAAGGAGAAGGCTGCAGGCTGTGGCAAAGCTAGGCAGGAGCAGGTGCAGCAAGGATCGAAGAAGGAGGAACAAGGAAGAAGGTCAGCTTCGGAAGCCCGACTAGGACAGCTGTTCCCCAGGGTCCCCGGGACAATGAGGGTGCCGCAGAGAAATAGATCCCTCCGGGGCAGTGGCAGTTTGGGAGGAATATGACTGGCTTGTTCCGGGCTTCCGTTCCAGCTGTCAGCATGGGAAGAAGCAGCCCAGAGCTGGAAAAGCTCTTTGGGAGCTGAGGAAGGTGGAATTTGGGGGTCTAGGGTAGAGAATTGGAAACAGAAACTGGGCTGGGGAGGGATGAGAGAAGCAAAGGAGAATGAAGGAAAAAGAGGGGGAGTTGAGGATGAAAATGAGGTTTACTCTCCATCAAGTGGAGCACCAACAAGCATCATTTATTCATTAATAGCATGGACTGGGCTAGGCATGGAGCTGGATGCCACAAACATAGGCCTTGGTAAGATGCAGAATGCATACTGATGGAAAGGAGGTGGCTCGGAGGTGGGCTGCCTGGCTTCACATCCCACACACTGCCCACCTAGCACGGGCAGCCACTGGGGTCGAGCGATGTCGCCTCCTCTGATGAAGTGAGGATAATGACGCCTGGGTCATAGGTAGGGAACTGAAGGTCACTATGACATGAGTCAAGTGCTTGGACAGGTGGCCGCTATTTTCCAGTTAGGGGAGTGATGGTCTCCTTCACTCTCCTTCCCTCTCACCCTCTTTGATCAATGACCTTTTTACTGTTCCTTGAACTCTGAGCTGCTGCATTTCAGGGGCCATGGTGCTGGTTCACCCTCTGCTTAGAACCTCTTATCCTGGATCTTAGCTCAGCTCCCTCCATTTCATTCAGGTCTCTGCTCAAATATCCCCTCCTCCAAGAAGGCTTCCTGGACCAGCTGTCCCAGACAGCTTCCCACCCCACCAGCCACACCCTGCCTTCTCGGCCTAACCACTGCATGACGTCATGTTATGTATTCATCTCTTGACTTGTTACTCCCACTAGAAGCCAAGCTCCATGAAGGCAGAGACCTTGTTCCCTGTTGCCTCAGCATGTAGAATGCCAGTGCATACTGGACACTCAACCTAGATTTGTGAATAAATGAATGAGTGAGTGAGCGAGTAAATGAATGATCCAAATGCTCTGATAACCCAAGCTTCTCCAGTAGGACCTAGGAGTGGTGAAGGGGCCGTGTAAACAAGCACAGTGATGCCCAAATTTGGATCCTTGGACATGCTTTTTCCAAAGCCAAGTTCTGGGTTCCCCTGGGGCTTGTGAGGGCCTAGGTGAGGGACCTTGAAAGCCAGGGACAAAGAAATGTAACCACACTTGTCAGCTCTAGTGCACTGCAACATCTTGACATCTTTTTTGGGGCCACATCTTTTGTCTGACTCTGTAGCTCCGAGCATACATAACCTCTTCATCGGTTCCTGAGGTAGGAGACAGCCTTTCAAAAGGTCTGAAAAGGTGGAACAGATGGGGGTCCTCAGAGGACCTCTCCTGCTTTTCTGTTCCCTGGACCCTAAACCAGAGTTGAAGAAAGTGGATCTTACCTCCATTGGCATAACACAGTACTGGCATAGTGGCATTTTGTTTTGTTTGTTTGTTTTGTTGTTGTTGTTGTTTTTGAGACAGAGTCTTGCTGTGTCGCCCAGGCTGGAATGCAGTGGTGTGATCTCAGCTCACTGCAACTTCCACCTCCTAGGTTCAAGCAATTCTCCTGCCTCAGCCTCCCGAGTAGCTGGGATTACAGGCACCTGCCATTGTGCCCGGCCGGCACAGTGGCATTTTTTTTTAAGTGTGAATTAGCTTGGTAATTTTCAACAATTGGAAAACATCTCTTTAAAAAGCTGAGTTTCCAGCTTCTTTTTAAAGACTTCAGAAGACCTGAAAATACTGGAGCTAGCTGAAAAGTAAGTCTCCATTTAGACAGGGTGTGTGCTGAAGTTTACTGCAGTCCCCACCACTCTCTGGTATCTTCCAGATCCTAAAGCCATAGTTTAAATGACTGAGCCTGAGCTGCTGATTTGCTTGTTTGTTTTTCACTGAATTTGCTTACTTATTTGTGTTAGGTGCCTGGCCCTGTGGGAATTTGAATGATCCCTGCCCTAAGCCCCCTTTGCTTCACTTTCATCACCTGTAAAGTACAGATGATCTTCCCTCATAGGATCAAAGAAAATAACAAACGTGAATGTGGCCAGACTGTGGCTGGTGCCTAACCAATGCTCAATAAATATTTCCCCTTCCCTTGTCTGCCCAACTAAACTGGCCCAGCCATTCATTCTCCAGTCAGCAAATAAATATCAAGCCACACCTTTATGCCAAGTACCACGCAAGACACTGGGGTGTGATGGTGAGCAAACTGGCATGGCTTCTCCCTGCTATGGCACTTGCAAACTATAATCCAGCAAATAAATCTGTAAGTCCAGTTTGAAATATGTGCCATGAAGGCAATAGATAGAGTGGGACGAGAGAGAAGAGGAAGGTTTCTCCAAGGAGATGTATCTGCATTGAACACTGAAGAATAAGAGGGGCCAGCCAGGTGGAGAGGGCTGGACAAGAGCTCCAAGCAGAGGGAACACCCTGTGTGCCCCTGAGTTAAGAAAGAGATTGCATGGTTCTAGGAACTGAAATGAGGCCTATGTGGATGGTGTGGAGTGGGCTAGGGGAAGGAAGTGACGTAACCTTGTGAGGAGGGCAGGGGTGGATCATGCAGGCCCTTCAGACCACAGAAGGAGCGGGAATTTTATTCTCAGTGCAGTGGGAACCACAGAATGCTGGGAGAGACACAGTTGGTTCATATTGCATGTTTCAAAATGTCTGGGCTATGAAATAATCTTTTTCATACAGTATGATACCACTGTATACCTATTAACATCACTGAAATCCAAAATCCTGATAATACCAAATGCTGGCATGGATGTGACTCTTATTCATTGCTGGGGGGAGTGCAAAATGGTGCAGCCACTTTGGAAGAGAGTTTAGCAGCTTCTTATAAAACTAAACATACCCTTATTGTATAATCCAAAAATTGTACTCCTTAATATTTAACTAAATGAGGTGAAAATTTGTATCCACGCAAAAAACCGCACACTAATGTTTACAGCAGTTTTTTTCATGATTGCCAAAAAATTGGAAGCAACCAAGATGTCCTTCAACAGGTAAATGGGTAAACAAATTGCATTTGTCCAATATAATATTATTCAGGGATAAAAAGAAATGAGCTATCGTACCCAAAAAGACATGAGGGAACCTTAAATGCATATTGCTTAGTGAAAAAAGCCTGTCTAAAAAGGCTACATACTGTATAATTCCAATTATATGACATTCTGGAAAGGCAAAACTATGATGAGTGTAAAAAGACTAGTGGTTGTGGGAGGTTCAGGAGAAGGAAGGGAGGGAAGGTTAGATGGAGCACAGAGGATTTGGGGGTTAGTGAAACTACTCTGTAGGACACAGTACCGGTAGACACATGTCATTATACAGGTATCAAAACCCATAGAATGTACAATGCAAAGAGGGACCCCTAATGGAAACTATGAACTTTAGTTAATCGCAATGTATTGGTTCAACTGTAACAAATGTATCACAATAATATTAGATGTAAATATCAGGGAAACCATGTGTGTGCCTGGGTAAGGGGAGTCTCTCTGGGAACTTTGTACTTTTCGAATTGTTTGTAAACCTAAATTTTTTCTAAAAATTAAGTCAATAAATTAAAAAATAAACATTCGTTTTTAAAACTGGGTTATAGTAGAGAGATGGGATTGATGAGAGGGGCAAGAGTAGAGGTGGGGAGACCAGTTGTCCAGGCAGGAGATAGTGGTGGCTTCCACAAGGGTCGTGATGGAGAGAAGAGGGTAGATTCAAGAGCTATTTAGGAGGTAGAATGGAAAGGCCCTGGGGATGGGCTGGATATTGAGAGGGCTGGAGTGAAGCAGGGGGAGAGTCAGGGAGGATTCCCTGGTCGTGGCCTCGGGCCATGAATGGACTGAGGCTCTCCATTCACTGCAGCTGGGCTACAGAAGGGGGAAGGGAATGAAGGTCAGGGAAGCTGTTAAGTCAGTAAAGGACCCATGGGACATCCAGACACCAGGGGTCTGGAGTGTAGGAAAGAGGTCTAGCTAGAGATTCAGAAGCCTCCATCATACAATGGCAGATGAAGCCACAGAAGCGGGCTCACCTTCATGCATTCAGCTCAGACCACCTTTCCGGGGCCCCTGCCGCAGTGCTTATGGCCTTGTGGACTTACCTGTGGCAATACCAGCCCTGCAAAGGCCCTGAGCACCCCTTCATCCTCCTATAGGTAAGGAAACCATTCTAGACGAATCAGAATTGCCAAGATCCTCCAGCCAGCTCATGGAAGATCGAGGCTTCCATCTCTCTGCCAGCTTTTTTTTTGTTGTTGTTGTTTAATTAAAAAACCATTTTTAATGCAGCAATCAGTCAATAAGAGAACTGAACCGGATTCGGGATCAGAATGATGCAGTCCTCCATGAAGATTTCAAAGCTAGATTTTTCACCTCAACCTCCAGCCTTTCACATAGGTAAAGACCATACGCATCTCCAAACCCTCATTCCCCCAGCCTCTACCTTGTGGCACTCTGCACAGCCACCTGTGCAAGACACCCAATGCTTACACACAGAAGACCCTCAACATAATAATGATAACAATAAGGTCCAAAGCCCATGAACTCCCAGGAAGAGAGAAGTCTTCCCTGTGGGGAAACATGAGTAAGGTTGAAGCCAAGGCTCAAACCAAACAGCCAGGTGGGAGTCTACAGCCTGCTTTCCTAAAACTCCTGCGCCCTGGACTCTCCCAGGAGGCCTGTCCCAGCCTGCAGAGGATGAAGGCAGCCAAGTTCTCCTGTTTCAGGACCCAGCCATCCCTGCTTCCCATGTCCCTCTCCTTTCTCTGCCAACATCTTTTGCACAATTCCACACTGCCCTTTCCTCATGCACCTGTCTCCAAACGCCTCAGCATCCATTCTCGCAAATGCACACTGAGCTTCCCACATGGAAAGATATCTTTTGTAGTGGGAACAGGTCTCTTGAGAGGTATTCAAAATCACAAGTGGTTTGGGTTTCCACATTTTGAAAGGGGGATAATTTTAACCTGAGTTCAGGCTAAGGCTTTATTCCAGCCAGGTCCCTGATGACCCCAGGGTGGGATATGTCCCCCTTCAGCATAAGGAAATCACCTACCTGGAGACACCCCCATCTTCCCTACCTGCCCTGGCTATGCTGCCTCCCAGACTCCAGGCACTTCCCCAGTCTCCTTGCAGAATCACCTACCCTCCTCTAGGGCCTGGGCCTGGGCTTGGGTAGGGCACACCTGTCTGCACAGACATTCAGGGTCCAAGACTCAGCAGGGGCTGAGGGAGAAAGGGAAGCTATGGCTCAAGGTACCCAAGGCTTGCTGGTCTTGTTCCGTCTGCTGGCTTCCCATGCTGGGATCCCTGTTGTGTGGTAGGTAAGTAACATCAGGGACCTGGAAAAGCAACTCCGGGGCCTAGAGCTCCTGGGACAGGCTCAGAGGACAGATTATAGCAACCAGCCAGAAAACCATCAGGCCCCCGGAAGGGTCATGTGTAAGCAGTGACCTTGGAGGCGGGAAGGAGCGCAGTGGCAGAGTTGGCGGGATCCACCCAAGACTCCAGCCCAGCCCAGAGGGGCCAGACATCCAGTCAGGGCCCTCGTGAGCTAAAAGGCTCTTGGTTTGGCCACAACAGGAAGCACCCAAGAGTCCAAATGCCTTCACATGTAGAAGACAGAGTCCCTCCTGCCCCCAATCACATAAGACTATGGTAAGCTGGGCACAGGCACCAACAGGTCAGGGAGGGCAAAAAGTGTATAAAGGAGAAATGACATTATACAGAAAGAGAGTAAAATCCTGCCCCTACCCCAGGCTCCCCAAGGCACTCCCCACACTACGGCTGACTCAGGCTCTGTGCAGAATCCAAACCCCTGTGTGTGTCTATCCACAAGGGCACACAAACATCCAGAGGCAAGGCCTGCAGCGTAAAGAGCTTTGGCTTTAGAGTCTGACATTTCTGGTTTCAAATCCTGGCTCTACCACCTATTAGCTGTGTGACTTTGGGCAAGTGACTTAAACATGCTGTGCATCAGTTTCTTTATCTCTAAACCAGGTGAGACAAGATGAGCCAGGTAAAACCCTGAGAGCAGTGCCTGGCACACAGCAAGCTTAGGTGCTAATATCAGTGGTACCTGCCGGCGATAGACATACAGACGATGATCCAAAAATATCCACCCTTCATGTACAGGCAAATGCAAACTTTTTTCTTTTCTTTTTTGAGACAGAGTTTCTCGCTCTTGTTGCCCAGGCTGGAGTGCAATGGCGCCATCTCGACTCAGTGTAACCTCTGCCTCCTGGGTTCAAGTGATTCTCCTGCCTCAGCCTCCCAAGTAGCTGGGATTACAGGCATGCACCACAATGCCCAGCCTAATTTTTGTATTTTTAGTAGAGACGGGGTTTCTCCATGTTGGTCAGGCTGGTCTTGAACTCCTAATCTCAGGTGATCCGCCCACCTCAGCCTCCCAAAGTGCTGGGATTACAGGCGTAAGCCACCACGTCCGGCCCTTCTTTTAGCCTTGCCTGTTGCTGGAAAGCCTTCCTTTCTGCGATGGCCCCCTCACTTTGTGTGTGGTGTAAGAGTGTGGCCCCTATCTCCCACTATCTTTCCTCCAGCCTTGTAAGGTAGATCTTATCCTTGTTTCATTGTAATGATGGGAAATGCAGGCTGAGAGAGGAGAAGCTCCCAGCCTGAGGCCCACAGTCAGAAAGAGGACAGAGTGGGGACCCACACCCTGGTTTTCGAGGCTGCCTTGCCTTGCATGTCCTGTAAGGCCTGTAGACAGTAGACAGAGCGAGCATCCAACCCTAAACACACTCATGGAGAAACAAGCCCACCAGGGTCTCTGTTGTGAACTGGGGACGTCTGAGGATCCGTGAAATGGCCTTGTCTAAGAAAACAGGCCCTGGGTGTACAAAACCCAGCCAACCCCCGCTTCAACATTTCCATCAGGTTCAAATGCTGAGACGGCAACATCCCTGAAACCTGTAAGGAGATAGCTGCATGGCCCCTGACTCCTGTTTCCAGCTCGAGTCTGTCAGGAGACTTCACACAGGAGGGGTCCCGCTGGGATGCATCAAGTCAGGCAAGACCAGCCTTGTTCTAGGAGAGGTTCAGCCTCTGCTGGAGCCTGAGAGCCCACCAGTGAATCGGGGCGCACACTGCAGAAGGTGGCAGGACCCAGGGAGAAGCTTGAGAGCACTGGAGTCAGACTGACCGGGGCTCCCACCCAGGCTGCCCATTTCCTAATAATGTGAACTGAGCCATTTACTCAACCTGGTGGGGCCTCAGTCTTCTCATTTGTGAAATGGGGAAAAAGTCAGCCCTCCGTTCTTGGCTGCGCTGAGGTGATCTGCAAAAGCTCTCACACAGTTTCTGACACATGGAAGGTGCTGGATAAACATCAGGCTCTAACATGTTGCCTTCTACGTGTCCTTCAGTTTGGAGTCAAGAGAAGAGATCAAAAGGGAGCTCTGCCCTCCTTTGATATTCAGGAGTCAGCAGGAGCACT
The DNA here is from genome assembly GCF_000001405.40 of Homo sapiens. Classification (NCBI taxonomy): domain Eukaryota; kingdom Metazoa; phylum Chordata; class Mammalia; order Primates; family Hominidae; genus Homo; species Homo sapiens. The sequence goes on along the minus strand of NC_000011.10, from coordinate 44,825,135 downwards.
CAGGTCAGAACTCCTCCCCGAGTTCGGGGTGGTGGGGGGTGGTGGGAGGGGGCTCTGACCTAGCACCCTATAAAAGGAAGGTAAAGCTCCAGCACTGGCACAGCTTCATGCCCCTATTGTTGTCTGACCACACTGAACTGGGAGGATGGGTTTAGTGTCTGTGTCTAGGACCAGAGAAGGGTGTAGGGAGGACAAGGATGAGCTGATGTTGATTTTTACATTCTCAGCCCCAAGCGAAGCCTTTGGCTGGTGCCAGTCAACATCTGTAGCATGAGTGAATGAATGAATGAGAGCATCATCCCCGCAGAAGCATCAGACACACAGTCTCTCCTTTCTCCGGCTTCTCCCAAAATTGAACAATTATCTCAACAATAACAGCCACAATTAAAACCCAGCACTGGCCCTGTGAGCCAGGAAGCCCAGTGTGTTTACTCTGAAGGCCTCCGCGGCTGGGATGTGAGGAGCCGGCCTCTGGAATCCCAGGCACAGGCCCGTGGGCCCCTGGCTTTATCTCCCTGCTTTCTCCTTCCTCCCATTGTCCTGTCTGGCTTCCCACAGCCCTAGACAAGGCCCCAGCTTTGTTTGGAGGTCACAGGGTGGCCCTGACTGCCCCAGAGGTATTCGGTTAGGGCAGAATGGCCAATGCCCCTCCTAGGGAAGCATTCCTTTCTGAACTTTCCCAGTGACCCTCCCCCACACAGCTTGGTTTCCTCAAAGACATCAAGGCCACCACATCCCCTATCCCTGCCCCCAGCCCCAGTTGGGGGTGGGTGATCAGAGGCCCCCCAAAGAGGCCAACTGATTAGCTAAGGTAGAGGGCAGGCAAAAAATTAACAAGACAAATGAATAGCCAGGACCAATAAATTAAAATACTACATAGTGACAGCTAGGAGGGGTGTGGGGTGAGGGCAGGGTGCCAATCCATCCTTCCCTAGCGGAGGGGAAATTCAAAAGCACCAGAGGTTTCTGAAGACTGAGCTCAAGAAACAAATGATCCCTCAAAGGCCTGAACTCCAAACCCTCAATGATGGTAGCGAGGCAGGCTTTATGTTGAGGGAAGACCCCGACAGCAGGAGGTGGAGCTGGGGGCGGTCATGACCAAGCCTTGCTTTTTAGCCGATTCCCAGCGACTGGCTACAGCACGGGACTCTAGTACCTCTTTCCAGAGACAGACAAGAAATAAGCTCCATAAATCCTGGTTTTCCGGTATGAGTGGTGCCCAGTTCCGAGAGGGGGGCCTCTTTCATATTCTCTTCCTCCCTCCACCAGCTACTCGACTCAAATGAGCTTCTCTGATTGTCTCAGAGGGTGATGGGAAATGCTGATGACAAAAACATGATGATATCAGTTCTATTCATTTTGCCTTAAACCTAAGCCAGGACCTTTACTTTTGATAGCAGCAGGAGACAAATAGGGGCAGGTCCCCGGTGAAACCTCACCTCCAAGCTGAAGACAGTTTAAAGCCTGAAAGCCAAGCTACAAGTCAAATCCATGGACCAGATTGAGAACCTGTCTTCCAGTCTGGTGTGCTTTCCTCTGATTGATCCCCACCCTTAACCTATTCTACACTTACCTACCCTTTCCTAATTGGTTTTCTACACTGTTGTGCCCACCTTTGAGTGGTGTCTTTACTTTAACCTTTTTTGCATACTCCTAAATCAATTGGCATGCACTCACCATTGTGAGTCCATAAAAAGCCCTGGACCCAGCCACACTAGGAGAGAAACCACCCGACTTCGGGGGAGAGAAAGCCCCCCGCTGCATCGCCTCTCCACTAGAGCTGTTCCATTGTTCAATAAAATTCTTCTCCACCCATCCTCACCCTTTGAATTGTCAGCATATCCTCATTCTTCTTGGACACAGGACAAGAGTTCCAGAACCACCAAATGTGGGTACAAGCTATAACGCAAGCAGGCCGAGTGGGCAGGGTGCCTCTAGTGGTAGGCCTGGGGCTGAGCAAGGCCTGGGCAGTGGGGGGGCGTTGCCGGCCGTGGAGGTCCCTGATTGGCAAAGTGGCTGAGAAAAATTCTGTGTCACTTTCCAATGTTGTAATGAATGAAGTGATGACCTGGATAGTAACATCAGCAGCTCACATTCACTGGGGGCTGACTATAGGCCAGAAGTGTCTTGCTGATCCTCATTGCAAGTCAGGGAGAATTTGTACAAGGACTCAGAAAGTCTAAGAAACCTGCCCAATGTTACACAGCTGGTGGGAGAATCAACTCAGCTCCACCTACATGTGAGACCCTCAGTCCCTTTAATTCCCTTAACTTGGTTTAGCAGGACTTATATTATACAATTGGAGAAAGTGAAGCCCAGGTCAATGATTTATGTCATTTGTCCTCAGAAGCAGGGTCCTGGTCTTCATTTGGGGTCTGACATTTTCCCAGAGTTAGCCTGTGTCTCCTCAGCCTTTGGGGAAGGACAGCTGAAGGGGGTTGTAATTCCAGAAGGGTGGCTGTCCTCCAAACACTGGGATGCTCCCTTTAGGGCTGTGGCTGGGAAGGGCTAGCCAGCCAGGAACTACATTTTGCAGCCTCCTTTGCACCTATGTGGTCATGTGACTCATTCTCACCAATGATAGTGGAAGTGACGCCCAAGTCACTTCCACTATCATTGGTGAGAATGTGATGAGAAAATAAGTGAGCCCTCTTTACTCCTTCCTTCTTCCATAATGACCTTGGAAGCCACATGTTGAAAATGGAAGAAACCTGGGACCCAAAATACTGTGTGGACAGCCACCCACCACTTTCACTGGATTGTCGCTGAGTGAGAAATTAATGTGTATTGTATTAAGCCACTGAGATTCTGGGTTTACCTCTTGCAGCATCTGGCACTGCCTTAACCCATTACTAGCAGTTTTGGTTCTCAGTTATTACCAATCATCTTACCCACAACCATTCTTGAAAGTGTTAAGAAAGACCCCCATATCAAAGTTCATTTAAATTGGGAACTATTTACTGAATGCCTCCTATCCCTGGCCCTGTCTCATCAACACACAGAAGTTCTCTAATGTCCCTATCCCTGTACCCCCACCCCACCTTTCCTGCCTGTCACAGCCAGGCCTCTCGAAGGAATTGGCTACACCTCCTGTTGCCATTTCTCTATCTTCTATTCACATCTCAACTCCTCCAGTCTGGCCTTCACCCCCAGCCATCCTCAGAAGCAGACCCAGCCAAGGTCACCCTTCCTCCACGACAGTCGAGATTGCAGTTCTGATATTCTGGAACCTCAGCTCTTGTACAAATGGCCCCACCTTTCAGGAGCACAGCCAAGCTGACCACACAACCTGTCCACAGACCTGATTCCTCGTGACTCTTTCTACTACCTTGAGGGATCATTTAGTTAGTTTCTGTAAATTTATGCAGAAGCCCAGTGTGTGCTAGACAATGTTGTAGTCAGGGATATAGAAGAGGAAGAGGAGGTGAAGAAGAAACCATCCCTGACCTTGAATGGCTTTCAGTCCAAGTAGGGTCAAGTATATCCCCATTCTTCAGATGAGAAAACTCAGGCTCAGAGAAACTAAGTGTCTAAAATAACATAGCTGATGAGTGTCATCTCACCCACTGACCCCACAGAGAAATTATCTGAGAAAAATAATGAAGATGATGTACTTCAAGAGAGGCCAGAACCTTAATATGCACTTAACTAATCATCCCAATATGGGTACAAAGAAACAGAACAATCGCAGGTTCATCTTTTCTTCTTCCTGATTCTACTGTTTGTAATGTTCTAATTAAAAGTCAACCACTCTCAATAATCTCCAGTGAGACCCAAGGAAATGTCTTGGCCCTAATTTTAGCCCCGTGAGAAACAGTCCAATATCCTATTAGATAAAATTATTTGACCTTAAAAAGGACTACATCCCCTCTCTGTGCTTCAGTTTCCCATGTGTACACTGAGGAGTGTAGAGTTAAACTCGATGATCTCTCAGGCTTATTGCAATGTTCGATGTCTGTGATTTTAGCATGCTCCCACTTGTTAATCAGACACTGGCAGCCGCCTCATCTATCTTTCTGCACCCTAAAAGTTAACATTTTATTGAGTGCCTCTCTGGTGTATCACAAGCACCAACTCATTGTATTAGTCCATATGTATTGCTCTGGAGGAATACCTGAGACTGGGTAATTGATTTAAAAAAGAGGTTTACTTGGCTCATTGTTCTACAGGCTGTACAAGCATGGCACAGCATCTGGCTGGCTTCTGGTGAACCCCCAGGAAGCTTTTACTCATGGCAGAAGGTGAAGGGGGAGCAGGCATGTCACATGGCAAGAGAGGGAGCAAGAGAGAAGCTATGCTCCTTTAAACACCTGCTCTTGCATGAACTAATAAAGCAATAATTTACTCATTATTGCAGGGAGGGCACGAAACCATTCATGACATAAAGGATCCACCCCCATGAGCCAAACACCTTCCACTCCACCACACCTCCAACACTGGGGGTCAAATTTCAACACGAGATTGGGGGCGGGGGGACAAATATCCAAACCATATCACTCATGTATCTTTCATGACAACCTAGGAAAGTATCATTTTATGGATGAGGATCCCAAGGCTTAGGAAGTTTAAGGAACTTGCCCAAAAATGCACAGCAAGTGGCCAAAACAGGATTCAATCACAAACAGTCTAGCTCTCAAGTGCCACGTGGCACCTCCCACAGTCTCATCTATTGCAAAAAGCTCTGTCCATAGCTTCTGAGAAGTGGACAGTGCACCATATGACCCTGTCCACTTGCCACAGATGACTGGACCAGGGAGGACGCCTGTGCCCAGAGCAGTCCACCCCTTGACCATTAGCAACAGAAGGCATGGCTGGGTGTGGAAGGCCCCACCTAACAGCAAGAGGCATTCAGGTTTGCATAGGGAGGCTCCTAGGGCTCTGGCCAGTTGGCTATGAGAAACTTAACTGAAACCCATGAGAATGTGTGGCGCAGGCACCAGTTGGGTCAAGGTTATCATGAGTGAGTAGAACACGCTAGTCAAAGCACAGAGAGCATGGGCCACCCTGAAGGAGCCTGGCCAGAGATAGAATTCTTCCATTTGCTGGTCGCAGGGGCTCAGAGGTGTCCCAGTTTTGCCCCTTGGATTTCCTTAAGCCCTGACTAGACCTTGACAGCAACCCTCCTTGGCCGGCGCTAGTGCAGATGGTTCTCTGTGTCCTTAGTCCCAGGGAGCTTTCAGAAACCAAAACTTTTGAGCAAATCAACTCCCTTTCCCCTTGCCAGACACCTTTGCCTGGATCTGTCTGTACCTTTACAAGACCAACAGAAGGTAATAAGTAATAAGTAAGCCATTGGCTCAGGCTCTGGACTTTTCTGTGATATAGAGATTTTTGCTGTCACAATATTTATTGTAATAGGATTTGACAGAGCACTGGCATGAGAGACAGTATGCATAAAGAAAAAAAAAAGGAAAGGAAAGAGGAAAAAAAAAAAGCCTTCCAAGCTCAAGAAAATGGAAAAAGCAGAGTGCATAAGAGAGGGGAGAAAAGTCAATTAAATCATGATAATTACTTCCACTGCCGTGCCCAAGAGCAGCATGAGCGTCTATTAATTAGGAGTTCCATGTTGACTGTGCCGTTTGACTTCAACGAGGCTGCCAGTGTGCACCATAATAACATTCTCCTGGAGAGCAAATGTGTGAAAATATTTTCACCCTGACAATTAGCAGTTTTAAAGAACCCGACACACATGCACATGCGCACAGTCCACCTCCCTTCCCAACATACACACAGAGCAAGTTCCCTGGGCCCCTGCGATTAGCCTGAAATGCAGCCGTTTCTGCTGTCCCCAATATCTATTCCTCAGAAGTCAAGTTTCCCAACTCCAGTCCCTATAATTACCGGCTCCTCTCATTAGCACTCAGCAGCTTGCGTGGGTGCAAATTCCCAGCCAGGGGCACAGAGCAGGAGCCTAGAGGTGGCAGCAATCCCTGGCCAAAGGCAAGATGGGGCCAAACCACTCCAGAGAAGAGCCCGCCTGAAGGCAGCCTTGACAGAAGGGGGCTCAGAGCAGCCTGACTCCTTCCCCAGATCCAGCTCCACATCCGCACACCAGGCGCGTCCGTGGCTTAGATTCCAGGGAATGTTCTAAACAATCCATGAAACTGGGACCTGGGGAGACAGGCAAATGGCCAGGCTGTTTACTCAGGAGGGTTCTGTCTGGCCCAACCCTGGACTACCAGGGTTGGGAGGGACGTAAGAGATCACCTAGGCCATTTGGCAAATGGGGAAATAGGTTCAGGGAAGTCAGGCCACGTGCTGTTAGTGGCAGGACCAGAACTCAGGCCTAGGCCCCTTGAGCCCCAGCCAGGACTCCCCCCTTATATGACAGGCTCATCTAGGACATGTTATATCATATATTATTCTTTCAATATAATAACTATTGCTATGTAGGGCCTGGCACATGAGCGGTCAGTACATAACTGTTCACTTCTTCCTCCCTTTCCTTGCAAGGATAACAGTCAGACATTGACTACTGTGTTTCCCGGCCCTGGGGGATTGAAGATGTGGGGATAGGGCAGGCAGGCAGAGGGGAATGGGGGATGCTCTAGCTCTTCCCGGAGTGAAGTGGGCACACAGGAGAGAAGCCAGGAGCCAGGTCTCAGACAAATGCAGGACGCTGGGCCACCTGTTCATCTGCCCTGATCAGCTGGAAACAGAGAACCCAGGCAAGGACACAGGATCGGGCCCCTGCTGATGCTCTCTGGACAGCTGGGGTGCTGAGCCAGGAAATCCTCTGGCCCTCTGGCCCCAGGCTCTCCATTGCTTCAGAGCTGGGGACAGAGGAAGGTGAGGGTCAGGGCCCTGGGAGGGCTGCGTCCTGGAGGATGTATAGAAATAGCATCCCCTGCCCAGGGAGGGCTGCATGGGCAGGGCCGTGGAGGGAAATGGGCTTTCCTGCCATTCACCGTCAGTTCTGCACCAGCCAAGTTAAACAACAGGGACTTGCCCACATCACCCACCTAGCCATTTGCAAAAGTGGGATATCCTGACTTGCAGGCCAGTGCTCCCTGCTCTCCTGACTTAACACAGGCTTAAAGGCTAATGGGAACAGATATTAGCAATCAACATGGAAAAAAATCAGAACTCTGCAGATCCCTACCCCAGCCCCATTTCCTGGATAGGTGATCTCAGCTACAGGCCTCTCCTCTCCAGCCTCAGACCTCCCATTTACAAAGCAGGAATAATTTCAGTTCCCACTGAGGACTGTTGTCCAGCTGGATGAAATGAAACCACACTGGCAGAAGTGCCTGGACCACAGTGGTCAGGTGACCTGGGTGACTTCAGCTCCTGGAGCCTCATTTCCTGTCTGTGAAGTAGATGGGTTGGACACCATGTATTGTATCAAAGCCCTTCTGCACTTTGGTGGCATGTTGAATTAGGGTTCCCAAGTCTTCCCTCTCCATAAAACAATGAGTCACCCACATTCTTGCTATAGCCTCACATGGGTGGAGTGACTGTCCACCCCTTGAATTTGGCCCTGTCCACATGACTTACTTTGACCAATGGGATGTCAGAGCAGAGGCATGACTGTGCCCAAGGCTGGGAGGGTCTTCTTGGCCTCTGGTCAATTGCTGTGAGAAGAAAATCTCAGTAGCCACTGCCCCTTCAGCCTAAGTCGCAGCATAAACACACGTAGAGCTGACCACAGGGTCCAGGCAGCTGCTGGCCCAAGGAGGAAGAGAGACACAGAGAGCAGACATCAACACAACCTGCAGCCAAGCCTGGAGCCGAAAGCCTAGGGCCAGGCCAGCCCAGCCATGTGGCAGCTAGCCTACAGCCCTTGAGCTGAGAGTAAACGTTGGTTTCAGCCACTGAGCTTTGGAATCTTTTGTTATGTGGCATTACTTTGGTGATAACCAATATAAATCCCATTTTACTCTGAGAAAGAGGTTGAGTGACTTGCTCAAGCTCACAGTGAGGGCAGGCAGCAAAGCCAGAGCTGGAACCCAGGATGGCCCACCGTGCATGCCATCAGCTGCCTCTTCCGTGTGCTGATCTTGTGGTGTTCACAAGGGCATCCCTAAAGGGAAGCTAAGCAGGCCCCCAACCCTGCTCCTCGCCTCCAGCCTCACACTTCCCTGAGAGGAAGCCTTCATTCAAGTGGCCCCACCTCGCTAGCTCCAGTAGCTCACTGCACATGTGGCACCAGAGCCCAACTAGCCACAGGATTCCCTGACCAGAAAGTTGCCTCACCAGGGCCTGGCACTCTCCTGTACTGCTCTTCCTTGGCAGGGACAGAACAGAAGTGCAATGGAGGAAGAGGAGAGGCAGACAGCAGCTTGGAAAAGAAAGCTGCCAGGCTCCTCCTGCTCAGGAGGCACCATGGCCCACCTCCTTCCTGCACCCAGACAGCAGCAGCTTGGGAGCAGACTCCCCCAGGAAGTCTACACTCACTTGCATTTGGAGGCAGAACTCACTGGAGTCAGGCAGGCTCGGAGAAAGCAGGAGGACATGGGAGAAGCTACCAGTCAGCACCAGCTTCTCATCAACTCATTCCCCAAGCAATTCTCAGGGTGCAGTCTCTGAACATGTGTGGGCCCTCACCTGCCTTCAATCCCCATGTATGGAGAGAGGAGTTAAGATCCTCTCCCAGGGTTGCTGGGAGGACTGCACGGGTTATGAGCACCAGGGCCTGGTGTCAACACAGAGGCAGCATCACACATCAGCTGCTATTATTCTCTGATGTTCATCTGTGCCAGAGCACACATAGCACTCGATTCTGATGAACCAGAGGGGAAAAGACACAGATGCTGAAGCTGGTACAAGCACATGCATATCCAATGCAGTCTCTGGACAATTTCAGTTGCGGGTGACCCAGGAATGGCAAATGTGTGGCACACATGCAACTGCCTCCTGGTTCTCACCCATGGCAGACATCACTAATCGATTACAGTACTCTTTGCTGATCCACCTGGAAGGGAGCTCCGTGCACCTTTTCAGTCCAGTGCCTTGGCAGCTGCTAATCATTGGTCTACATTGGCGCTAACAATAAAAGTGATTTATCATCCCTTCTCCAGTCCAGCAGTCTTGTTTACAGACAAGAAACTAAGGCCCAGAGTGGGCAATAAACTTGCCCCAGGTCACACAGGAAGGCACGATAAGAGCTCAGGTTTTTATATTCTGGTGCTTTCCCCACTGCATTTGTGCTGCACACGGACACTGATTTTGTTTTCTGGATATATTGGGGAGAAGGCTCCGTGAGACTCCATCATCTGCTCTGCTCCCTCTGCCCAGCCACCCAGCCTCCTCTTGTGCCCACCTCATTGCCTTTACTGGTCTCTCGGCCCGGCACACTTCTCCTGATGACACATGGCTGGTGGGCTGTCAAGCTTGCTCTCAACTGCCCGCTCCTCCAAGAGAAGCTGCCCCTGCCCAGTGAGCTGAAGTCTCCCGCACCCTCCCTACTCCTCCATCATGCTCCATGAGCTCCTTTTATTTTGTGGGCACTCACCATGGCCTGAGTTTATCTAAGGCATGTATGTATTTATCATTATCACCATGGTATCCCTGGGGCCATTCTAGAGCAATCCCCAGCACAGGGTAGGTGCTCAATACATAATTGTTGAGCAAGTAACCAAATCCCATCAGCCCTCAACTCCCCAGACCCCCCTTCACACACCACACACTCCAGGGACAAAAGAACACACCTCGGCTGGGCAGGCCTCCAGACCACACACCCTAACCCTGAGGGTGCCCCCATCCGGCCCACAGTCCAGCCACCCCTGAGGAAGGGCTGATCAGCAGCAGAGCTGAAGAAGTCAGCCTTTGGCCTCTCCATTCTTAGTCATCTTCTGGGAGTGCACATGGGCTCATTTTGGTCCCTTGTTTCGACACAAGATGGATTGAGAAATGAGGAGAGAAATGCATCCAGCCCGTGGATCACTCTAGTCTGTGCCTGGATCCATATGTCAAGGTAGAAGGCAGGTCCCAGTGGGGCCTGGAAGCCCCCAGGAGTGCCTGCCCTACATTACAGGTGGGAGCCTAGCTGCCTGCCTGCTGAGCCCTTCCTAGGCCCACAGTAAAGCCTCTGACTGGCTTCACCATCTGCCACTCTAATCTTCCCACTGCCATGCTCCCACGCCAAGCACCTTTCTATCTTGCCATTTCCTCTGCCTGGAATGCTCTTCTGCCAGCTCTCTGCATAGTGAGATTCTTCTCATGGTTCAGGTCTTCTTTGCACAATATTCTCCCATCAGAGGGACACACCCAAGCAGCCCCCATTGTCACCCTTCCATCTTATCATATTTCATCATCTTTGCATCACTTTTTACTCTCTGAAATTATCTTATGTACTTGCTTTCTTTAGTTTTAGCAGCCTGCTCTATCAGACTTTAAACCCAGTAGGCAGTACCTTGTAGGCCCTGTTCATAGCTTGTACTCCTGGTTGGCTGGTCTATTGTAGTGGCCACACCATTTACCATTGATGAATGAGTGGGTGGGTGGGTGGATGGATGGATGGATGGATGGATGGATGGATGGATTCTACCACCAACTCCCTCTGGGACCCTCCTAGATGGTGTTTCTCTCTGAAGCCCCAGTATTAACTCAGGCTTGGTGCATAGCATGGCACAGACACAAAGTGTTGCTGAGTGCACTGTATTATTTTCAGGATCTCAGTTTTCACATCTGCAAAATGAGGCACTGGGACTAGTCAATGCTTTTCAAACCATGTGGCTGGAAACCTTCTGGAAGGGGTTCACACATCCTGCTCTGCTGTTGTGATTTTCAAATAAGCAAATGAGAAAACTCAAGACAAGACAGTGAGTTTTCATGGAGCCACGTGTCTTCATTGTAAAGCCCAGTCCTTCCTATCTGGGGGATGGGAAGAGGGGCAAATATTCTTTCTTCCAAGAAATAATGGTGATAAGGGATGATTGTTATCTTAAAAAAAAAATCCTTATTCTGCAACAGGAAGAGATTGGCAACCAGATGCAGATGTCAGTCCTGACTTTTTTTAAAAAATTATTGGTAAAGGAAATGAAGTCTGGGAACCTCCATTCTGGTTCTCTGCAGAGATGCCACAAACAATGAGGCATTTTCCACCAAACAATGAAGAATTAAACTGCCTGAGGACTCCTTTCTTGCTTTTGTCTGTTTTCTATTTGGGCTTTCCTTTGAAAAAGTGGCTTTGCTGCTTTATAAAGTTCAACGATCCCTGAAGGATCTATCTCCAAGGCCCCATTCCCAGGATCTCTGCACCCTTGATTTTTATTTTTACATCTTGGCCCCTGCATTATGCAGGCTTTTCTCCAGGTCTGGGCGTGGTTGGATCCCAAGTGTGCAGAGGACCCAGGAGGGCTCTGTGCTGCTCAGCTCAGCCCTCTGTGATAGTCTGCCCTCTGGTCTATGCACTCCTTCCTGGGCCTCTCCAGGCAAGGTTTTGTGCCTCTTGCAAAATAACAGCCTCTGAAGTGTATTTTTGTCATGCATGCAGCTGGGACCCTGGCATTGATAGTGGTTGTACAATTCCCGTTTCTAACCTCATTCAGAGAGACCAAGTGTCTTACTCAAGGTCACACAGCAAGGAGGGGCACAAAGCCAGTTCATAGAGGTCTTACTCCCAGCAGCGCCTGCTGAGTGGAAATTTCAAGAGCCCTTTGGCAGCCACTCCTGGACATGAGAAAGGGTAAGACTGTCTCCAATTCACTCACACTGTGCTCATAACCACCGTGTGCTGAGCACTTGAACTGTGCCAGGCACTTTATATACATCGTTTTAACCCCACAAATGCAAGAAGTATCATGATTCCCACTTTCCCCCTCTGGAAACCAAGACTCAGAGAGGTTCCCTGACTTGCCGTGATCACACAGTGAAAACTAAGCCAGGATTTGGCCCATATCCACTCAAAGCACACCCTCTCCTTTGTGTCTGTCCTCATGCCGTGGCCTGTGGCTTCCTGCGCACAGGGCATGCAGATGGTCTTCCCCTGCTCAGGGTCATCTCTCCAGAAGCAGCCTGACCGGGTGCCTGGCCTGCAGGAGACAGAAGCGCCAGGCCGCTGAGGCCAGGAATGGACTGGCAGGACTGGGAGAAATCAAGGCAGCCCTTTCCCTGGGAGAGTGAGGAAGCTGGGCACAGAGAGACGGCCAGCAGGCTGCTGCAAGGTGAGGGTTATGGGTGGCCCCAGAAAGAGCAGGCCTGGTGTCGGGGAGCCGCACACAGACACAGGGCTTTGCTCCCTCATTCAACACATGAAGCATTAATTTTTCTCAGGGCAAATAAGCAATAGTGCTCTGTGTGTTTCTGTGTGTGTGTATGTACACTGGTCTGTCTTAACATTCCTAGGAACCCTAGGGACCCCAATGGTGCCAAAGCAGCATCACAGCCTGAGGGCAGCCCGTGGCACCCCCTCTCCCTCCCTCAGATACCCGCTTTAGCTAAGAATCCTGCAGCATCTCTTTGAGCCCAGTAAAGCTATTTCATGAACCTGGTCTGTGCCTTAATGATCCCTGGCACCCTTTGGGGGTGGGGTCAGTGGATGGGCAATAGGAATGTTAGCCCCACCTTTTCCACTATTCATTCTCTAGGAACCAGACTAGGGAGTCTGTGAAGATGGGCCCCCATCAGAGTTTGCACCACCTCCCCTGGGTTCCAGCAGCACGTGGTGCCCCCTCTGTGAGTCTGTTTATGCGTCATCCCCACTGGACTGCCCTCCATGACAGCAGAGGATTCTTTTAGTTTAACTGCAACATCAGTTACACATCAGACACAAGAAGGTCCTACATCATACACACAGCAGGAAGGAAGGAGGGAAAGGGCATAGTAACAACAATCACAGATCTGAGCCCTAATATGCACCAAGCACCTCGCTGAGCACATTACAAGCTAGCACTCATGTCATCACTCCTGTAACCCTATCAGGGAACTGAGGCCCAGAGAGGCTAAGTCATTTGCCCCAGGTCACACAGCCAGGAAGTGGCCAGGCTGGGTTTGGAACCCAGGCCTGCAGATCTACAAAGTGCATGCTCTTTGCCTTGGTTAGACCTGCCTGGCTGTACAGGACGGAGGATGCCCCCAGCTTGCAGGCCCACCTGGCAGAGACCTGGGAGGTAAGCGTGTTTGATTACTCATTGAGAGTGATGAAAGAAGGAAACCACAGGGCCTGTTTCCACCGAAGTCGACCACTAGCAACATATGGCATTGCCAGCCCTGCCCACTCACAGGGCTAACTGGGACAGCTGTCATCCCGGGGAATGAGCTGACCCTTCTGTTCTCCCCCTGGGGGTTCCTAATTTTACCAATAGCAGCCATCTTCATTAAGGAACTTGTCAGCACATCAAAATAGTGCTGTGATTAACTCCTTGAACAAATATTTGCAGAGCCCTGACTTTACACTCAGGGCTAAATGTTCTTTAAAAAGCATAAAACATAGGCCGGGTGCAGTGGCTCATGCCTGTAATCTCAGCACCTTGGGAGGCCAAGGCGGGTGGATCACCTGAGGTCAGGAGTTCGTGACCAACCTGGCCAACATGGTGAAACCCTATCTCTATCAAAAATACAAAAAAATTAGCCAGGTGTGGTGGCGGGTGCCTGTAATCCCAGCTTCTCGGGAGGCTGAGGCAGGAGAATCACTTGAACCCAGGAAGTGGAGTTTGCAGTGAGCCGAGATTGTGCCATTGCACTCCAGCCTGGGCAACAAGAGCGAGACTCCATCTCAAAAAAAAAAAAAAAATCCTAAAATGTGGTACATGTCATCAAGGAGTTTATCACTAGGAGATTAATTGTGCTTACATTTCTGATTCCCTTTCCAAGGCTAATTGTAGAGTGTGCCTTTCCCTCCCTCTCTCTTATCACATCCAGATAGATGCTGACTATCTAATGAAGGCAGTTAAAAAACAAAACGAAACAAAACAAAACATCAGATTATGTGAATAAACATCAACAGAGGTGCAATCTCCCAGTTGGACAACAACTAGTGGAAAAGCTGTGGCTACAGTATGAGAAGGCACAGGCAGGGGTGTGTGTGTGTGTGTGTGTGTGTGTGTGTGTGTGTGTGTGTGTGTGTGTTAAAACTCCAGTTATTGACTAGGGATATAAAAGAGTTTCAACTGTGTTTGTAGAAAAGGAAGCCTGCTATTGTTTTGGGATGAGACGGATATCAGCCAATTCTTTAATTAGAAATGCCTACTGGTTACATCATACTACGAAATGACAGTGTAACATGCTTCTGCCTGTTCTTTTAAAATATGAGGAAACCACTATATACTCAAAAGAATTGAAAACAGGTTGGGCTTGGTGGCTCACACCTGTAATCCTAGCACTTTGAGAGGCCACGGCGGGCAGATCACTTGAGCCCAGGAGTTCGAGACTAGCCTGGGCAACATGGCAAAACCCCCTTCCTGCAAAAAAATAACAAAAAATTAGCTGGGTGTGGTGGCATGTGCCTGCAGTCCCAGCTACTTGGGAGGCTGAGGTGGGAGGATGGCTCCAGCCCAGGAGGAGGTTACAGTGAGCCATAAGCCGAGATCGAGTCACAGCACTCCAGCTTGGGTGGCACAGTGAGACCCTGTCTCAAAAAAAAAAAAAAAGAAAAAAAATTGAAAACAGGTGCTCAAACATAGCAGTGCTGTTCACAACAGCCAAAAGATAGAAATAAATATTCATCAACAGATGAATGAGTAAGCAAATTATGGTATATACATACTATGGAATATTATTCAGCCACAAAAGGGAATGGAGTTCTGATACCCACTGCAACAGAAATGAACCATGAAAGCATGCTAAGAAGCCAGACACAAAAGGCCACATAGTGTATGACTCCATTTATATGAACTACCCAGAAGAGGTAAATCCATAGAGAAGGAAGAGGAATTGGTGGTTGCGAAGGGCTGAGGAAAGAGGAGGGTGGGGAGAAACTGCTTGATGGATAAGGGGTGATGGAAATGTTTTGGAACTTGACGGAGGTGGTGGCTACAGGACACTATGAATGAGCTGAATGCCACTGAATTGCACACTTTAAAATGCCTAATTGTATGTTATGTGCATTTCACCTCAATAAATGGTTTTTGGAAAAAGAAAAAAGATGCAAGAAAAGCCTGAGTTTTCCCAATGATATGAAGGCAAACGGGTAATACGGGATGAAGGCACTGGTTTTTGAGCCAGAGCTCCAGGTCCACTCTCGCTCCATCACTTCCTAACCCTATGACCTATGGTAATCATTTTTGCGCCGTTTCCTCCTCCATCAAATGGGGCTTTGCAGGGCTGTGTGAGGACCCAGTGGGTGCTAGATAAGAAAGTAATTTTGACAATATAAGATGCATTAAGCTAACATTTACTGAGTACCTATGGCCCAATCGCTGTGCTGAACACATTTCACTGTGCATCTCACTTATTCCCCATAACAAACCCATTTTACAGAAGTGGAACCTGAGGTTTAAAGAAAATCAGTGGTAGAGCCAGATCAGAAGCGCATGCTGCTCTCAGCCATGGTGCCAGCCTGCCTTGCCCATGGCATACGCACTACCATCATTCAGAAGAGCTATCACACCTCTTGAGATACACACTCCAAGCACCCACCCCCTCAAGATTCAGCAATGCACCTCAGCTCTGTACTAATGTTCAGCATCAAGCGAGAAGCTGGGTTATTCGGGCCCATGTCCTGACAGCCAGACGCATCTATGGACCTGTGGCTCTCTGCTTCTCAAATGGCTCCTTCCCAATTCCTGGGGAGCCACTGATGTGAATTTCCCTGAAAGTGAATTTCAGATTTGAATCCTTTTGTGACAAGAACCTGATTGCATAGTCTCCATGTGCCAGGTGCCATGCCGGGTCCTGGGGATGCAGAATGAAGAAGCTTGTGCCCCAGCTTCAGAGACCTCTCGGTGGAGATAAATGGGAAAATATATGAGTGCTCCCCAGTGTTAGAAACTCAGCAATGGACATCTGCACAGTGCATGATGGGTGTGTGTAAAGGAACTCCTGGGGAACTCAGAATGGCACAGTGTTAAGAAGGCAGACTCTGGTTCTATTCCTGCTTCCACCACAGATGGGCTGTGTGGCTGTGGGAAGTCACCTAACCTCTCTGTGCCTCAGTTGTAAAACAGTGTTCATTGTACCTGCATCAGTGAACAGTGTGTGAAGATTAATAATTTAGGACATGAGAAGTGTTTAGAACAAGGTCTGTCCCATGGTAGTTGCTATAGAATCAGTGTTAGCTCCTACGATTACCATGATTTCCGAGGGGGTGTAAGCCTGGAAAGGAGTCAAGGCACAAAGTTCAAGGATGACACCTGAGAACCGCATAGACCCAAGTGCCAAACTAACACAGGCCTGTTTTCAAGCAAAGAGTCCATGTGGAAATGCAAATCTTATACGAATATGGATAATCAGCAGTTATCACAAACCACGGTGAGGGAGACGGAACCGAGATCTGTCCACAAACCCAGATTCGTTGGGAAGTGAGAATATCAATTTCCAAGAAACGTTAAATTATATCGTTTTCTCCACACAGCTGCCAGGCCCCAGAGAGTAACTTCATGTTCAAATTGCTTTCTGATCTCCTGAGATTCCATCTCCCTGTTCCACGTCCTCACCTCCCTCCCCCAAGGTCTCTGGAGGATGTATTTGTACATGTCACTCACTCCTATGCTGCAGAGAAAAGTGAGAGCCACAGATCAGGTGATGATCCCATGTTCCCACTCTAGAAACACAGGGGAAATGAGCAGAGCCTATGGATGCCTTTACCTAGGGAATCCATACGCATAAATAGGCTGTCTTTACACAGGCATAGGATTTTCTGGTCAATTTCCTGTCTCTCCCTCCTGTACTAGGTCTGTCCATCATCACAGCTGTGGTCTGAATCCAGGTTCAGAAACACCCACCCTCAAGATGCTGGAGGAAGATGGTAGAGGTTTCCAATCCTCGCACCACCTCTTCTAGCTGTGTGACCTTGGTCAAGTTACTTCACCTCTCTGAGCCTGAGTGCCTTCATCTGTAAAATGGGAATAATATCACTTTCCTGGGGGAAGTTGTTGCAGAAACAATGAATATTCATGTGAAGCTCCTGGCACATAATAGGGGTTTATACAAAAAAAATCAAACCAAAGCTTCCCGAATTACTAAAACAATATCTGCTCCTGGCCCTATTTCAGTCTTGGATCTTCAAGTGCTACCTCCTGAGACCGCACCCCAGGGTCCCACATTCTAGGGGAGATCCCCAGCTCAGAGCCTCGGAACTCAGCCACCCCTACACGGTCCTCTACTTTGAGTAACCCTTGGGCAGCTGGGGTGTGCATCTGTCTTCCCGTCCCACTGGAGGCTACATGCAGCCCATATCAGCTCTCCTTCTGAGCCCAGTGCTCCACAGGGATGTTCAGCTGGGCCACAGAGGTTTTCTTTACAGATGAGGAAACTGATGTCCAAAGGCATTAGGTGACTTGTCTGAGGGCTACCAGGCCAGCAGGCAGCGGAGCAGAGATTCAAACCCAGGTACCAATGCCAAAGTCTCTAATCCACTCAACCAGTGATTCCCAAACTTGAGTTCCCCCCAGGAATTTTGCAATACCCACACCCACTGAATACCACCTTCATTCACTCATTTTACCTTCTCTGTATCCCACCTGTGCTATTCTTTTTTCTTTTCTTTTTTTTTTTTTTTTTTTTTTTTGAGATGGAGTTTCACTCTTGTGCCTATGCTGGAGTGCAGTGGTGCAATCTCGGCTCACTGTAACCTCCGCCTCCCGGATTCAAGCAATTCTCCTGCCTCAGCCTCCCAAGTAGCTGGGACTACAGGCACGCACCACCACACCTGGCTAATTTTGTATTTTTAGTAGAGACAGGGTTTCACCATGTCAGTCAGGCTGGCCTCGAACTCCTGACCTCAAGTGATCTACTCACCTCGGGCTCCCAAAGTGCTGAGATTATAGGCATGAGCCACGGTGCCTGGCCTCTTTCCTTCTTTTTTTTTTTTTTTTTTTTTTTTTTTTTTTTTTTTTTTTTTTTAAGAGACAGGGTCTTGCTACTTAGCCAGGCTGGGTGCCAATTCCTGGCCTCAAGTGATCCTCCCACTTTGGTCTCCCAAGTAGCTGGGATTACAAGTGTGAGTGACTGTCCCTGGCTTGTACTGTCCTTTATTGAATCTGTTTCTTTCAAATGACTTAAACCCAACTCATTTTTTAAACTTTGTCTTAAGCAGCACTGTTCAGGAAACCATGGGTTTTATGTGCTAAATATACTTCATCAAATACTCACTCAGATAACTATATAACCATTGAAATAAAAAGCATTCCAGTTCATGTGAGTGCCACCTAAAATTGTCTGACATACCACATGCCTCTTATTGCTAATACACTTCCTCCCTGCTCTGGAGGTGTTGAAGGAACCAGCTCGAAAAGTTATGTTTGATTTAGATCTGCCAAAGACTTCCCAGATTATTCAACCAACGTTCCAACAATTGTTGGAGAGAGTCTCTGGAATCAGAAAATGTTCTTTCAGCCCCAAGATGAGTTAGACAGATTTTTATAGTGGAACAAGTAAAACTGAAAAAAGGGCTTTCACAATTTCCTTTAAACATCCAAGCAAGTTTGAGGTTGTATCATACAAACACTACAGGTGTTGTCCTTAAGCAGTTATATTTCTGGGGCAAAGTTTGGCTTCTTGGACCCACCCCACCCATTCTAACAGATCTAGTGCAAGTTGAGCTGAAGTTGGCTTGTTAGGAATGAGGCTGGCAAATCCGGAACAGTGTCGTCCTTATCTGTGTGCTTCTCTAGCACTACGCACCCAACAGGCACCCAACCTAATAATTGTTAGGAACTACATATGTTTGACTTCATACAGTATAACAATGCTTTAAATATTGGCCAGGCGCGGTGGCTCATGCCTGTAATCCCAGCACTTTGGGAGGCTGAGGCAGGTGGATCTCCTGAGGTCAGGAGTTTGAGAGCGGCCTGGCCAACATGGCAAAACCCTGTCTCTACTAAAAATACAAATATTAGCTGGGTGTGGTGGCAGGTGCCTGTAATCCTAGCTACTTGGGAGGCTGAGGCATGAGAATCACTTGAACCCGGGAGGCGGAGGTTGCAGTGAGCCAAGATTGCACCACTACACTCCAGCCTGGGGGATAGAGCGAGACTCCAAAAAAAAAAAAAAAAGGAAAAAATAGTGTTCCCTCAAAATGTGTGTCTACCCAAAACCTCTGCATGCGACCTTATATGGAAAGAATCTCTGCGGAGGTCATTAATGAGGTTGAGGTCATATTGGATTAGAGTAGGTACTAAATTCAATGACTGTGTCTTTTTAAGAGGAGAGGAGGCAGAGAGAGACAGACAGAGAGAGAGGGAAGATGGCCATGTCATGAGAGTGATGCGTCTACAAACCACGGAATGCCAAAGATTGCCAGCAACCCACAGAAGCTGAAGAGGTGAGGAGAGATTCTTCCCTCGAGGCCTCAGAGGGAGCACGACCCTGCCAGCACCTTGACTTTGAACTTCTAGCCTCCAGAACTGTGAGAGATTACATCTTTTGTTTTGAGCCACCCAGTTTGTGAGTGTTCACTGCAGCAGCCCTAGCAGATTAACACAGAAGGCAAACATGGATGACCAGGGAGACCGTGTGACTGAGCTGAGATCCCACTATTAGCAAAGCTCAGCACAGGACTCGAACTCAATCTCCCTGGCCCAGGGCCCCAATCTCATCTTGAGAGGAACACGGGCTTCCTGGAAACTGGAGCCAGAATATGAGGTTAGGCATCAAGACCCTTCCCACCAAACTTTCCCTGATTTACCAGCATCCAGAGAATGCCTCTGTGGAAGCAGCTTACATATGTATTTACTTCTGCATCAAAAAGAGCTGTGAAATGTGGCCAGGAATGCCACCTGTCTTTAGCCACATCCCTCTGTACGTTCTCCCTGGCTTTCCTGACAGATGCACACAGATGCACGCATCTGCCGCTCCCATTTAGAGCTGCCTTTCTTTCTGCCAAGGAGACTCACCCAGGCATTGATTTGTCTTTATGAAAATGACCAGTCTTTATGAAAAGCGATAACCAGCTCTGTTTCTGCTGGGCAGCGTCCAGTGCCGGCTGCTCCCGCCCATGGTTGGGAGGACCCCCTCCCACTAACAAGGTAGCCAGTCACTCCTGATTCCCCCAACCAAGGGCGGCCACAGCTGCCCTGCTAACAGCCGACCAGGAGAAGATCTATTATTTCTCCACAAACTGACTTCTTCTCTGCATCCTCCCCAAGCCCTCCCCAGGTGGCTGGGCTTCTTGCTTGTCCCACTTAAACAGCCTGTTCTGTTTTTCTGGCTCTACCTCCGTCGGAACTCATAATGGGGTGGGAAGTGGAGAGGTTCTCTTGCTTTCTCCTTCTTCTTCTCTCCCCACCCCCACCCTTCCTCCTCAGAAATGCAATCCAGTTGTTGTTTTAGGCTGGGGTTTGTAAAAGCCTTTGGACTTGAAAGAAAAATTTAGATCCAGACCTTAAAGATAAACACACCCCTGCAAGCACAGCAGCTACCAGAGGGGAGCTCTGAAAACCTCAGCTTGCCAAGAATCCCTCATCGCTGCTCGCCAGTCCCCAAATGTTAGTTACGGAGCTTCTGAGGGCCAGGCTCTGTGCTGAACTGAGATGAATAAGGCATCCCTCCTTTCCTCCCTCCTTCCCTCCCTCCTTTCCTTCCTTCAGTCCACAAATATTTGTTGAACTCATCCATTGCCAGGTGCTGACTGTGCTGTATCCTGGGTCCACAGAAGTCAAAAAAGAACTGATGTGGCCTCTGCCTGTGGCCCTCAAGAAACTTACTGGCTGGGCGCGGTGGCTTACGCCTGTAATCCCAGCACTTTGGGAGGCCGAGGTGGGCAGATCACAGGGTCAGGAGTTCGAGACCGGCCTGGCCAACATGGTGAAACTAAAAATACAAAAATTTGCTGGGTGTGGTGGCACATGCCTGTCATCCCAGCTACTCTGGAGACTGAGGCAGGAGAATCGCTTGAACCCGGGAGGTGGAGGTTGCAGTGAGCTGAGATCGCACCATTGCACTCCAGCTCTGGGCGACAGAGCGAGACTCTGTCTCTGGGGGGAAAAAAAAAAGAAAAAAAAGAAATTTACCATCCAGGAGCAGAAAGAGACAAAGCAGCAAAGTAATGATGAACAGCAATGTAGTCTGATAAACAGCACAGGCAGGCTCAGTGAGCTGGTGACATTTCATTCTTATTTTTCAGGTGTAATAAATGCTAGTCAAACTTCCATCCAAGTGCTGAGAGAATACTGCTGGAATGGGGTTTTCATGTTGGAAGGCTGACGGAGTAAGAATCATAACATTTTTGCCCTAAGCTGAGTTTATCATCTCTCTGGCCCCTCTCACTAGCTTTTCCTCTATCCTTTGAGTTCCCACCATTTTTCTTAGTAGCCTCAATAATCTAAGCATCTCAGCTCAAATACACAGAGACTCAGAGCATTTCTGTTCTTGCCCCATCCAATTCATTCCAAAGTCCTATAGAGTTGTCCTGCTACCTCCTGCATCAGCCCCTCGTCTCCACCCCAGTGTCCCCTGCTCCACTCCAGGGCGGCAGCTTCTACTCCTTGGATCCTTGCAGTAGACAACTTGTTCCAGTCTCTCACTTCTTCAATCCCTCCTCTACCCTCTCTCAGAGCCATATCTCCAGACCACTGGCCTGGTCCAAAACCTTCAGACTCCTAATGACAGAACAATTAAATCCAAATTCAGCATTCAAGAACTTCTGTACTCTGGCCTCAACCTCCCTCTCTGATTTAATGTTTCCCTACTCCTGTACATGTTCCCAGAATCCCCACCCGAAGGGAGGATACCTTCTTTGCTGAAAAAATGCCCCCCCAACCCATGCTTTCCCACATCTAAGCACTGGCAAATGCTGTCCCTCCACCCAAAATGTCATCTTCCCAGCCCCAGTCCTTCAAGGCCACCTCAGTAAATCCTTTCTTGGCTTCTCTGTCGACTTGTCTTCTGAAAAGCCTTATCTGCCTGTGTGAATTTTGCTCCTGCCCTGTTTACATCCACGAACACTCACTTGTGTTGTGGTCTGCATACACTCCCTTTTCTTACTAGGCTGAATTCCTAGAGGACAGAAACTTGGTTTCATAGACCAGTGAATAACTTTTAACACCTAGTAGGGACTGGAATGTGTCAGGCCCTCAATCAATGGGTAGTGAGTGAAAGACTCACTTGTGCCCCATGCCTCCGCCATGACTCTCCCCAAACATGGGTCCCTCCACTGTCCCCACCATCTTGGAGCTGGTGCACCTGTTTATCAGAGCAGCTCAATGTTAAAATCAGAGCAATACTCTGAACAACAATAATAAAAGGAATGGGTCTGAGCAGACCCCAAGGAAGGCTTCTCTAGTAAAGCCCTTTGTATTATTTTGCTTTCACTATTTCCTCTTCCATTCCAGCATTTTGGGAACCAGTTTGGACAAACTGGACCTTTCATCTAGAGGCCCTGGAGTCCCCACCCACAGCCTTTACCACCTGCAGCCCCAGCCACCTCTTCCCCAGTTCTTGAGCCCACCCTGCCAGAGGCTGTGTGTGTGTGTGTGTGTGTGTGTGTGCAGTGCTTCCCAGCCCCCCACTCCCATCTGCTCCATCCAGTGGGGGCTGGGGAGGCAGCCCTGACTTCTATCTTCTCTGGTCTCTGGCTCCTACTTTTGCTCCAATAATCCATTCTCCATGCAGCAGCCAGAGGGATTTATTTAAAATGCAAATTAGAATCTGGAGCTTCTCTGCTTAAAACTCTCTGAAGGCTTCTCATTGCACTTAGAATAAAACCCAAACTCTTCAAGGCCCTGCAGCCCCCACCACTACCCCCTCACTCCATCTCCCACAGCTCTCCCCCCACCCACCTCAACCACTTTGTGCTTCGCTTCTCTGGGTCCCAGAACCCATCTCAGAGCCTTTGTGTCTGTCTGCTGTTTCCTCTCCTGCAGGGTTCCTGACCCACCAAAGACCCCCAGGGGCTGCCGTATTCCACTGTCCATTTCCCAAACTCCCCCTCTATTGCCTTTTCCAGCTTGAGGAGAGACTCTCCAGGTCCTAATGTGCTTCCCAGTGAGGTAGGTCTAAGACCTAGCAGGGAAGTGCATGGATGATGACATTCTTGAACACTGATGGCTAGAATCTTTTTATGTTCGAGACAAGGTCTCACTCTGTCACCCAGGCTGGAGTGCAGTGACTTGACCATGGCTCACTGCAGTCTTGACCTCCCAGGCTCAAGCAATCCTCCCACCTCAGCCTTCCGAGTAGCTGGGACCACAGGTGGACACCACCACACCCAGCTGATGTTTTTTATTTTTGTAGAGACAGGGTCTCACTATGTGGCCCAGGCTTGTCTCAAACTCCTGGGTTTAATTGATCCTCCCACCTCGGAGTCCCAAAGTGCTGCGATTACAGGTGTGAGCCACTAAAGCCGGCAGCTAGAACTA
This sequence comes from Homo sapiens, assembly GCF_000001405.40. NCBI lineage: Eukaryota > Metazoa > Chordata > Mammalia > Primates > Hominidae > Homo > Homo sapiens. The sequence continues at coordinate 44,801,739 of NC_000011.10, read as the reverse complement.
TTATTGCCACCATTCTACAGGTGAAGAGATAAAGGCTTGAAAAGGCTAGTAACTCCTCCAAGGTCACTGGGAAAACGGAGCTGGGATTCAAATGAGGCAGTTTCCTTCTGTCTTTGGAGCTCTTAACCACCACCCTGAGGCACTGCTAACTTATGAAGATATTTTTTTCATTTTTTCCCATGATTCCCCACCAACTCCTTGAAACTAGTGTGGTTTCTCTGGATGCTATATGGATATTATTTCCTTCCACAGGTATGTACTGGGTACCTTCTGTATGCCCAGCTCTGTGCTGGCAGATAAGGAGATACCTATAAATGAAGCAAACACAGGAAGCTCCACTCCAGAGACAGAGACAGACAGGGACAGATAAGAAAAGAACCTCACGTTAGAGTAACTTCTATGGAGGAAGCAAAGCAGGGGCTGTAGAGAATGGCAATCTAAATTTTTGTTCTGCAAAAGTCTTTCTGAAGTGGTAACATTTAGTTTATCACGTGAACTCTAACTTTTGGCAGTTTTCAAGCACACACAGAGAGAATACTATAATGAACCCCTATGTACCAATTGCTCAGCCCCAACAATCCGACAATCCTGATTTGGAAGCTATTTAAACATAAATAAATAAGCAAATGCTCTAAGGGCCTTGAGCACCTGCAGATTTTAGCATCCATACAACCAGTCATCCATAGATATGAGGGGACAACTGTACAGTTTAAAAAGCTTCAGCCTAGGGGTCAGAAGATGTGAGGCTTGGTCCTGCTTCTGCCCTTGTCAGACTGTGCAGCTCTGGGCTGTGGGTCAGGCCCCCAGCCCCTCGCAGCCCAGGCGGGCCCCTGCATGGTAAAGACTCATTGTGTCCTCTTGGCCTTTTCCCAGAAGACAGACTTTCTGGGCAGACACTGTGCCTCTGTGGAAGGAAGCTTTGCAATTAGCCCGATTTATGACCCCACTGACTGCCTGAGAAGTCCCTGCCCCCACCTGTCCCCAATCCTAGGAAGGCCCCTTCTCAGGAAGAGACTACGAGGGGGTTGGGCCAAATCTGTTCCAGGTAGGGAGACCAGAAACTTCTGCAAACAGGTGTCACCGGGCATCCTGCTGCACAGCCCAGAAAGGGGCTCTGGCAGAGAACAGCTGCAAATGAGCTTTGAGCGAAGCCTCCCATCACTGCGCAAATACAGGCCCTATGGAAGGGGAACTTCATACAGCCAGGTAAAGCCCTGAGCCAGGTGGCCCGTTCTTACCCAGACAGAGGGGCTCACCCAACCCTGGTCTCTTGCAGGTAACCAGGCTTTCATTTACGGCACAGGTATTTAGTCCTGACACTGAGCTGAGGGCTCAGTTGAGATGTAAGTGAGGCAGAAGAGGCTCCAACCCCAGATCCGCCAGATCCCCCAGCTCTGGGGCCTCTGGCAATACCTTTCACTTCTTTGAACCTCAGTTTCTCCATCATCAAAATGGGTCCTCTAATACCTGCACAGTCATCCTGAAGACTGTGGTCTGAATGTATGTTGTGAATCTTAAAGCACGTGCCCTGGGGAGAGGCTGTTCTAGTGGCAGAGAGTACCTGGCTCAATAAGTACTTGCCAGGCTGGGCGCAGTGGCTCACACCTGTAACCCCAGCAGTTTGGGAGGCCGAGGCAGGTGGATTACCTGAGGTCAGAAGTTTGAGACCAGCCTGGCCAACATGGCGAAACCCTGTCTCTACTAAAAATACAAAAAAAAAAAAAAAAAAAAAACACAAAAAATTAGCCGGGTGTGGTGGTGTGCACCTGTAATCACAGCTACTCGGGAGGCTGAGACACAAGAATCGCTTGAACCCAGGAGGCAGAGATTGCAGTGAGCCAAGATCGTGCCACTGCACTCCAGACTGGGTGACAGAACGAGACTCCGTCTCAATAAATAAATAAATACTTGCCAAGCATTCTAATAAATGCATGGGTTGTTAAGAGCAGCTCTGAAGGCAGTCTGCCTGGGTTCAAATCCTGGCTCTGCCACTTCCTGACTGTAACCCTGGGAATGGGTCATCACTCCTCATGCCTCAGTTTCCTCTTTCGTAGAAAGGGAAAATAGTAGCACCTACCTCATGGGTTGCTGTGACCACAGAAATCATCGCTGACACATAATAAACACCCAATCGATGTGCCCCACGCAATAGGCCTGGGAGGGTCATCCTTCTAGTCCCTCCACCACAGTGCCCTCTTCCACTGGGAGCTACTGCCCGCTCATTGACGTTCTCCCTTACTTGGAGGGCTAACAGATGTTTGTGGAATTGAAATGCAGTTGAATGGGGGCTGAGAAGAGCTGAGTGAAGAATGAACTTGCTAATCTAATAAAACTTTTAAATCCGAGGTTGGCATGGTGTCGTGGGTGTGTCGTTTGGACCAAGGTATAGGGTGTGCAAGGGCAGTGGCCGCTCCGAAGTTGGGGTGGGGTGCGGGACAGGCTCCTTAGGCAGACAAAAACCCTCTCCCCATGAGACCAGTTTAGTCTGGTTTTCCAAGGGGACGAGGGTTCAAGAAGGTCTCGGGCAAGGCTGAGGAATGTTGGACAGGCCCCCTGGGGAGGGGGCAGGAGAAGCCCACAGTTTCACAAGAGTTCCATTGTGTCCTCTCTGCACCGATGGCCCCCACAGTGGCCCACTCTCTGGGGAGCTCCCAGAGGAACAAAAAACAAGGGAGGGCAAGGGTGAGGAGGGGGCGGCACTGCCTGGGAGGGGGTGGGGTGCAGAGCATGACACAAAAAGTCACAAAGGCGGGGTGGGGGTGGGGATAAGTCCCATGAGATGAAGCTTCACTGCCCTGGGTCCCCTAGTTGGCCTCAGTCTCACCAGATTCAATAAAGAAGGACTTGGAAGACAAGAAAAACAAAAGACAGTCAAGCCTGGACAGGGCTGAATACAACTCCTTTATCTATCTTCATATCCCTGAAATGCACAAACTGGAAACTCTAAACCCTCCCTCTCTATTTCTTTTGGATGTGGCTGTGCCTGGCAGAGCTTCCTCACTCTAGCCTGAGCTCCTGACCAAAATTATACCAGTTTCCTGTTTAAAACTCTCCAATTCCATGGGTTTCTAATATACTCAGCATCAGTTCCAGGAAGGCCAAGGGGAGGGCAGGGGGTGAGGGCTGCCCAGGGGGGTCCAGACTGAAGCTAGCAATGCAAACACCAAATTTGGGGCCCCCAGAGTGGCTTAGCCATGGTCTGGGCCAGATGGGGGAGGCTACCAAGTCCCTCACAGGACAGGGCAGTGGTTAAGCTTGGGGGAAGGAATGCACTGGAGCTTTTCTGTGACTACATCTGGCTCTGCTACTTTCCAGCTGTGTGACCTTGGACAAGCGACTTAATCCTCCAAGTCTTGCTTTCCCCGTCTTTCCCTGTCTGTGAAATGAGGATGGTGATGACAGTACCCACATCACAGGGCTGCTGTGAGCCTTACATGAAAGACGCAGGAAAGCTGCTCACCACATTGCTCGGGAGTTTAAGGATTGAGTAAGTGAAGCTGCTATTATGATGCTAATGATGGTACCATCTTCAGAATAATCCTCAACAGCAGATAGTGATTTCCTAAGAGCTGAGTGTGGGAGGGCACGGGCCTCTCTGACCCTCTTCAGGGACGGCCAGCCACTGAGCACACAGGAGGGAGGCTGGCCTGAAGAGCCTTTCTAGAAGTGTGTTCAGATGTTAATAACCTCAGCAACAAAAAAAGGCACTGTGGTCCATGAAGTCTGGGAAATGCTGGCTTACCCCAAGTTAAACAGGCTCCTTTGTGCAGGACTTATCAGAGCCTTTATTTGACCCAACAAGCGTCTTGACTCTCTAGAAATGGAGGCAGAGTACACACTCGTTCCTAAACTTCTCTGCTGAGCAACTGTTTAGGGCCAAGCATTAGTGCTCTATGTCACCCACTTAGAGAAAGGCCAGAGGTCGCTTCACCTGAGGCAGGGGAGTGTTAATTCCTCCCAAATTTTTCACTTTCATGCCTTTAGGAGCTCCTTCCCCTCCCCCATTCACATGTGCTCTTGACAAACCAGTCCTGAGAATCTCATCCCGTCAGTGCCTTTGCTAGACACAAGGATAACAAAATGATGAATGTGGCACAGAACTGGTCCTTAAGAATCTTTGAGTCTCACCAAGGAGGCGTTCACTGTAGGTGTGTTTGCTCCCGTCCCCATTTTCATTAATGGCAGGACTTGGCTCCCAGGTGCTCAGGCACAGAATCCATTCATCAGTCTCCATACTCCTCCCCACCCCGCCATCATCCCTCACATCGCTCAGAAAGTCCCACCAGATCTATCCTATAAATAATAATGATGGGTACCGTGGCCCCCACCAAAGCCTTTCCCCTCTCATTCCCTCACCCACTCACCTGGCCTCTCAGCCTCTTCTATTCCCTAACACCCACCTCATCAGGCTACAGTGGGGGCTCAAATGTCCAGAGTCTGGTTTGTGAACTCACTGGCCACGTGACTTTTAGGGGCGTCAACTTCTTGGAACCTCTCGGTTCTCATCTGTAAAATGGGCAGAAAGAGTCTTTGCTTTGTCTGCCTCCTGGGTTGTGAGAAATCAGATAAGCCAAGGGTCCAACCTACTCAACAGACATGAGGGGTTGTTACTACGGATTTCTTGTGGCATCAATGAGTCACTCCTCCTAGGAACATCCAGAATATGGAAGGTGATGCTTATCTCCAAAGGAAAAAATCTCCACAGGTAGGATTTCAGGTCCTGTAATACCTGAAGTTGGGTGAGGATGCTACTCAGAGTCAGGACAATGTTCTCAGAACCCTCAAAGCCAATACCATAGGAAACCCACCAGCCATGGCCTTCAAGAAGCCACAGTTCTGAACATACCCTCTAAACCAGTGTCTCAACGTGGGTGATCATTTGCTTGAGAAAGTCCTTGCAGACTCAGGTCTGGGGGCTGGGAATATGCATGAGAATAGATACCTACACACCCTGCTCCAGCCAGAGCAGAAGCCTAGAGGACAGACAGAGGGTGGGTAGGCTCAGGCTGGCCCGGGCTCAGCAGGTCTGTATTTTGGTTGTTGCTGTGTGACTGAGGCTATCCTTGTCCTTCTCAGGTCATTAGTTCCCTAGTACATAAAACAAGGATAGGGGGAGACCTGTAGTCACCAACATTCTCCCTACTTTGACATGCTGGGTTCCATTCTGGGCGCTATGTGCAGGCAAAACCCGGAGAGGTGTTGCCTCTCCAAGGAGAAGAAACCCAGCTGGAAACAGGGACGATGACTCCACCAGTCCCCATGACCGACCCTGAGCTCCAGGTTCTTGCTTTTATCTCCACCGTGTGAAGGGAGAATAATTCTTCCATGGCAATGGAGGAACCCACAGGAGTGGGGCTAAGGCTGGGGCAGAGGACCCTGCCATCCATTTCCCATGAATCAGCAAAAACATCGTAAAAACTGAAAACCAATCTCCCACTGCCATGGCTTCTCCACTGCACAAAACATACACCTCAGGTCGCTTGCCAGTGAACTCTAAATAATGATCATAAATAATTAAAATGAAATTACAGTTGTCAAAATAAATTAGCAAAGAACCAGGAGCCTCCATTTTCTCCTCCTCCTTGCCATTCTGTGACATCTCAGCTTGTTGTTCTTTAAAAGCAGATGTGGGCAAAGCGTCTCCTGAACACTGGGGCAAATGAGTGAGATGCAGTCATGATGTGGCATGGAAAGGGCAACGGAGGGACCACAGGAAGGCCAGAGGGCACAAAAAAGGAATAGAAAGTGCATTCACAGCCATGGCTCACCCCTGAGGTTTGGGACAGGTAGTGACAGTGACAGGCTGTGTCTGCAGGCTACAGCTCCACATTTAGCAGGCCTGGGAGCAGGGAGCCCTGGCTAGTCCCAGATCACCCCAAAGCCTCCAAAGGTCCTTGGTGCCAGCCGGCAGTGGGCTCAGGGCACAATGCATCTCATGCCTGTACACCCCAAGGTCCCAAACCACATGGAAGCCAGTCAGGTTCTGAGAGGTCAAGACTCCAGCGGGGTCTGGTGAATGAAATGTATCCTTTCTTCCGGCTCCTGGGGCAGAAAATGGGGTCTGGGCCCCAGAAGCTTAGACAATCAGAAGCGGCAGGAGTAAGGGTGTGGCAGTGAGAGGGTGTGAACTCATCCCTGGAAGTCCAGTGCATGCCTGATCCTCACACCTGTGTGTCAGGCTGGCCACCGCCAGAACTCGCTTGGACTATTGCAGTAGCCTCCCAGCTGGTTTCCTGTACCCCCACTGCCCTACTGCTTGGATGAGTGGAGGTAGGATACCATCATGACCACTTTGCAGATGAGGAAGCTGAGCTTTAGAGAAATCATCTGGCTTACCATGACTGGGGCAGGCAGTGGGACCTTGGATCTGAACCCAGGCAGGGAAGCTCCAGGGCAGGCATCTTAAACATCGCCTCATGCCAACATCAGGACCAGGGGATGAGGCAGCAGCCCTTGGATGATGTCAAACCCTTCCATGCTGGAGTGGGCCAGTGAGGGAAGAGTGGTCCCAGGAAGAGAAGCAGCTGGCGTGAGGACCGGAACTGGCCCAGCTTGTTGAAGGAGCCCAGGTGGTAAGGATGAGGCTGGCAGGAGCCAGCCACAATAAGGAACTTAGATCTGACTCTAGGTATGATGGGAAGACCCCGGGGGTGGGGGTGGGGGTGGGGGTTCCAATGGCAGAAATGGCAGCAGGTCTTTGAGGTGGTCTTGGACAATGCCGATGTCTGCCTAAAGCCAGTGAGGACCCCCTCTTTATGCTTCAACCAAGCTGGCATCATTTTTCCCACTGATTCAGTTAATGAAAATGCATGTTAATAACTAGCATTTATTAAGCACCTACTATGGAGTAGGCACTGTGCTGAGCACTGTTAGTCACATACATTCATTCTCTCTTAAGTCCTCACACCCACTTCATCAGACAGGCGCTTTCATTATTATGCCCATTTATAGATGAAGAAGCTGAGGGCTCAGCAGGTTAAGTAGCTTATCCAATACCCCAGCTGCTGATAGGACCAGAATTTGAACTTACGTCTCGGAACAGAGACTGAGTTCTCCCTTTTTTTTTTTTCCTGAGACAGAGTCTTGCTCTGTTGCCCAGGCTGGAGTGCAGTGGTGAGATCTCAGCTCACTGCAGCCTCCGCCTTCTGGGTTCAAATGATTCCCATGCCTCAGCCTCCCAAGAAGCTGGGATTACAGGCGTGTGCCACCACAACCACCTAATTTTTGTCTTTGTAGTAGAGACGAGATTTCTCCATGTTGCCCAGGCTGGTCTTGAACTCCTGACCTCAGGTGATCCACCTGCCTCGGGCTCCCAAAGTGCTGGGATTACAGGCATGAGCTACCATGCCCGGCCAGAGCCTGAGTTCTTAATACCAAAGACCCTGGGCTCTACACACACATGCATCCACACGTGCACACACACACACACAACCACACATGTGTGAAGCTCCAGGTTCTTTTGGCCAGGTACTCTCTGGATACCAGGAAACACTTGGTAGGGGTGAACCTGGTAAAGGCTAGAGGGCTGCAGTTTCTCAGACAAAACTTGACCATGGTTCTTTCTCTGTCTTCCTCTTGCCAAGCGTCCAGAGGTAGCCCCTACTCTAGTTTATGAGACAGGATGCCAGGGGAAGGGGCCCTGCTTCTCCCTCCTCTAATGGCTGATTCCTGGATAACACAATCAGAGCTAAAGGATTAATGGACGTGGCTCTTGCTTTCAAGTCCCACCCGCTGACAGATCGCCTAACTCCCCCCACCCCCCTGTTCCTCAACCTTTCAGAAAAAAATACAGGCGGCTTGCTTATCTTAGAGTGGGGTTGCCGTGGAAACGGCATCCCTTGTGAGATGCACTGTCATAACATTTCAGTGCTGTTCGGAACACTTAAAGACACAGCCTCCTCCTCTCCAGGGCCTCAGCTCATGGGCAGTTGTCAAATGGCTGGGGAAGGGATGGGAAGGGAGCGCAGTGGAAGGTAAAGAACAGGAGGACGTTCCCCAGCTTTGGAAATGTCTGCTTTCATCATTCCAGGCCTTGGGGTCGCCCAGTGCCTGGCAAGTGGAGAGGAGGGCTTAGAGAACAAGCATTCCTGGCAATGCACCAGGGTAACGTGGTGACTCTCACCAGCATCCCCACAAGGTTGGCTCTATTATGATCCCCATTTTACAGAAAAGAAAACTGAGGTGGAAAAAGGTGAGCTCCGTGTAGCAACGCCGTTGCTGCTCTGGATGACCGACCATCCTGACTTCAGCACTCAGAATCCTACTTCCAGGAAACCCCTGGGTCACTGGCACACTGGGAGGGCTGGTCACCTTAGCTCAGCCATTTCCGTTCTGATGCCTGGTGCGTTTCTGAGTACATTTGCTCCTAACTCCTGCACCTAGGATTCTTCTTCAGCAGGTGGCCCTTGAGTCCCTGGAGTGGCTCTGTTCCACAAGCAAAAGTCAAAAGTGCTCTGAGCCTCCCCACCTCCTCAGCCAATGACCAGCAGGCGTGGGGTAGGAAAGCACAGCTCCCTTGCCACAATGTGGTACAAATAGGTGGGCGTGGTGGCACACGCCTGTCAGCCCAGCTTCTTGGGAGACTGAAGCATGAGAATCACTTTAACCCAGGAGGTGGGGTACAAACTCTGAGGCACAACAGACACCCTAGACCCCGCAGGGCTTGGCCTAGGATCTCACCCTTGTTTCACTGTCTCCCTTCCCTTCCCATTTTCCCAGCTCCCTCCCCTTCCCCCTGGGAGCATATCACATCTCAGGGTCTGTTTCTGGGACAACTTGACTTTGAGTCACACGAGACGCCTTGCAGGAGCTGGACCACTCCCCAGCCTCAGCTCCTGTGGCTTCCCCATCCTCCTGCAAACCCTGGATTTCCAGCCACGGTCACTGCCAGCCCTTGCCCCACAAGCCACACTCTCTCCCACCTCTTGGCCTTGGCAGGTACTGTTTGTCCACTCTGTTCAGTACATCCTTCCCAGGCTACTTCCCCGGGGTGGAGGTCCACTCCTTCAAGAGCTAACTGAGGTGTCACCTCTTCCGGGAGGAACCCCACTGAGTGAGGATCAGAGGGGCACAGAAACCTCTTGGTTTCTACATCACTCCACACAGCTCCACCAAAGCCCATGATGGAGAGGCCCCGGCTCCTTTCTGAATTCCCACCGCCCTGCGCAAGGTCTGCCACTGAGAAAGCTCTAATGAAACAGTGGTTGAAGGGAGGCACACTTAGGTAGCACCTACTGTGTGCCAGGCAGTCAGCAAGACAGACACCACACTCAAGTGCCCGCAAGGCCCCTCATGACCTTCCCTGGCCACCCCCGCTCACCTCCTTCCACTCAGCCCCTGTGAACTTGGCTCCAGCCCTGGGACTCACCAGCCCCTGGCTGCTCCAGGCCGTGCGTGCCTGCGGTCCCCTCTGCCTGCGACTGTCCCCGCAGATGCTCCAAGCTGTTCCCTCACTTCCTCAACACTGTTTAAATGTCACCCCTCACAGAGGTGTCCCTGACCTGCACCAAAAACAGCTTCCCCCGGCATCACTCACTGAATTTCTCAGGACTATTATGTAGATATATATAATTAATATATGAGCCAATAAGAAATATAGATTTAATTATGCACATGAAATTATATAATATTTATATAACATACAAACAAATACTGTCTATAAATAAATTGACATTGAATACCTATTCAACTGTCTGCCTCTCCTACTAGAGTGTCAGCTCTCCAAAGGAGGGGCTTCTGTCCACTGCTGCACCCCCCTATCCAGGACATTGTCTGCAGCCCACTGTAGGTGCTCAATAAGTATTTTTGAATGAACAAATAAAATGCTAGCCCCAAATTTACTGCTGGCAACCCATCATCTGCTGTGAGTGCTGTGACAAACCGAAGCTCGCTGGGTGAAATGGCTTGTCGAGGTCACATAGCCAAGAAGTGAGGGTGCCTTGAGTGCTACAGCCAGGGAGATTCACTGCTGCCCTTGGCCACGAGCCCTCCGTGAGCCCTCTCTGGCAACGCCACTGTCCACTGCACATTGCTCCCGGAGCCCATCCCCTCTTCCCAGAGCAGATGCCCAGACCTTAGAGACTGGTTCCCTGGAGCCTGGGGACACAGGGGGGACCAGGAGGAGGAGACAGTCCACAGAAGAAGTGACTAGGATGCCTCTGAGTGCCTCCCAGTGCCCAGGAGAAGGAGGCGGGGTGGGTGGCATCAGGGCGGTCATTATTCAGAATGGAAACAAATGCCCCACTCGCTCCGGAATCATTGCCAAGGCTTCTAGCCTTCACATGTCGGGGGACAGATGGATGCTCTCCAGCCTCTTCAGGGGACCTGGTGTATCCATTATTAATTAAACAGATGAGCCAATTAGTTCAAACTTGTGCATAAAGTTATTATAGATGCACTTCAGGCATATCTCCCCGGCTACCCCCCAAAGTGGGAGGAGCAGATTGGCTCCACGGCTCTCACCCTAGGTGTGTGCTGGAGTCTGCCAAGGGCTAGCACTACGTCCAGGGCACTTTCCCACTGGTGATGCCCCTGCCCCCATTCAGTGGTGTGAGGGGAGACTGAGAAAGGGAGAAAACCACCCCCAGGCCCAGTTCCCCAAACTCAGAGGGAACGGGGTCTCTCGGGAGGCCACTACTCAAACCAGACTTGAGACAGCAGCAGACTGGACACCAGGCCATGGGAACCAGGCTAGCCTTCATTTCTTGAGGGTCTGGAGAGAAGTCTCAGGATAGACTCTGCACTGATGCCCCCAGGAGAAGAGGGGACCCAGATAGAAGGAAACTCCAGCTTCAAACACAAAAATGACATCTCCTGAGGGGATCCACAAGAGGAAGCCAACTTTAGGATGACAGCCTCACCACGTCACCCTGTCCTGGCTATGATTTGTCCTCCTGGCCCTACATGGACCTGTTCTCCGACTCTGTGAATTAGCTACTAGCAGCCCCACTTTTCAGATGAGGAAGCTGAGGCTCAGAGGGAGAGGGAGGATTCTAAGCCTCATGGCATCATCTTTTTGGGTATCTCACTCTGCCTGATAAGGTTCCAGGTTTACTTAAACATCTGGCATCCCATGTTCTTTTGTGTTCTCCTATAGTTCAAGCAAGTGTACACATGCACACACACACACGAACACATGCACACACACGAACACATGCACACACATGCACACACACACGAACACATGCACACACAAACATGCACACACATGCACACACCAAAAACACATGCACACACAAACATATGCATACACACTCATGCACACACACGAACACATGCATACACACATGCACACACGAACACATGTACACACACATGCACACACATGCACACACGTACAAGCAAGAGCACATGCACACACACGCACACAAACATGCACGCACCCACACACACCAACACATGCACACATGCGTGCACAAGCATGCACAAACACATGCACACACACATGCACATACACGAACACATGCACACATACACATAAACATATGCACGCACAGGCACACACAAACACATGGACATACACAAACATGCACACACAGACACATGCACACACACATATGCGCACACACACACATGCACACACACACATGCACACACGCGGGTGGAAACATGCAGCAGTCACACCCCTTAGAGCCCAGCAGTGAAGCTGCTGCCCCGACCCACCAGGGGCAGTAAGCCCATGATGTCTGAGGTCTCAGACTCAGGGACAGTATGAGGACACCCCAGAAACCCTGAGAGACCCAGCTATCCTGTGGACTCACCAGATCATCCTTCATGCCCCTAACGCACTCAGAAAGGGGCACAGGCATTGGAGAAGAGCTCCAGGGGGCCTTCCAGCTCCTCTGAGCCTGGCACAGCCCCACAGAGACAAGAATTAGGAGGAGGGCAGGGCTGCCTTTTCCAAGGGCCCCTGGAGATACATTTTGAACAAGATTATTATTGTTTTTTCCTTTTCCAGTGCTTGTGGTGTCCTGTTGACAGTCAAGGAAAATAAAGAGTCATTTCCTACTGATCTGGGGTATTTTTTTTCTTCTCATTCCACGAATACCATCATTCTGGGTATCAGGCCCGCAATTCACCCCTGGCTTGCTCCCAGCTCAGAATCACCAATCTCGAAGCCTCCTCAAGAGCTCACCTCCCTCTGCACAATGTCATGGCTACTTTCAAGGATGAACAGAGCTTTGTTACTTGCCAAAGCCAGCCTCACTTTTTGTCTCATCAAATTTCTACAATCCCCCTTCAAGATAGGCCTTTGTCAGGTGTGGAAACTGGGGCTCAGAGACATTAAGGAACTTGTCCTAAGACACACAGCAAGTTCATAAAGGAACTGACAAATTGAAGAGCTTTTTTCTTGGCAGAAGGAAAAGCCAATAGAGCCATTTTTCTTCCAAAGGCTCCAAATTGGATAATTTAATCTCAGTTTTGGCTAAAGATGGGAAGATCCCTACAAGATTTGACGTTGGGTAGCTGTTTTATTCCCCTGCCTGTGACTTATTTCTGTTGGGAAATAAGAACCTCAGCTTCTCTGATGATCACGGCTCTGCGTCACGCAAACACTGGTAAGCTGTGAAAAGAATTCATTGATGAATTCATGCAACACTCTCTCCCTGGGTGAATGAAACCCAGAGACTGACACGAGGGTGTTATTGTCAGGTTAGCGCGAAGGGAAAATCCGCAAGTCTTCCTTCCCTTGCTGTTCCTTTTCCTGTCTGGACAACACACGTGCCTGCGTTGCTTTTTGTGGTTTTCTCCACATGCCGAGCCCAGGCACCCCACGTAGATGTGTTTGCAGAAAGGCAACACCAGCTGCATGCGTGGATTCTTCCAGTCACTTGGCCCTCTCTTCTCTCCATGAAGTGGCAGGGAGGGAATCAGTGTAAAATCAGCTCTGACATATGACCTCCTCTTAATCTTCAGGTACAGGAGAAACAAAGCCACCAGCAAGGTGCTGCCAGCTCTCACAAATACTTCCCTTTGCAGAAAACCCCTCCTCCAGGCCGGGTGCGGTGGCTCAAGTCTGTAATCCCAGCACTTTGGGAGGCCGAGGCGGGGAGATCACAAGGTCAGGAGACAGAGACCATCCTGGCCAACATGGTGAAACCCCATCTCTACAAAAATTAGTTGGGCGTGGTGGCACATGCCTGTAATCCCAGCTACTCCGGAGGCTGGAACAGGAGAATTGCTTGAACCAGGGAGTCAGAGGTTGCAGTGAGCCAAGATCACGCCATTGCACTCAAGCCTGGGAGACATAGCAAGACTCTGGCTCAAAAAAAAAAAAAAAAAAAGAGAAAAAAAGAAAACCCATCCTCCAACCTGCACTGACCAATATAGTAGCCACTAGTCACGTGTGCCTCTTGACGTTTAAACTCATTAAAATTGAAAAGCTAGTCCCTCGGTTGCACTAGTCAGTTTGATGTGCAAGTGGCTCTCGTATTGGACAGCGCACGTAGACAGCATTTCAATCCACACAGAAAGTTCCATTGAGCAGTGCAGCCCAAGAGCTGCTGAGGTTCTGCGGTGACCAATCCCGCCCATCTGGGGACTGAGGGTCCTGGGATGAGGGCTGCTCCCTGAGTCCCTGGCCCTCCAAAGCTTCAACCACCAACTGTGTACCGAAGGTTCCTGGGCCCCCGCCTGAACCATGGAGGAAAAGGCACGAGAAAAAGTTTGCCAGCCAGCTCCCATTTCCATGCTCAACCTTTTCTTCATCTGCAAAATGGGGATAATGATACTTGTCCCACAGAGAGAATGCCTGGAATGTCCCTGGGCCTGGACCAGGCTCCTAGTAGGTCCACAGTGAACAGAAGCCAGTGTGACTGTCTGCCTGTGTTGTAACGAGGGGCTTTAAGGCAAACACACAGGCTGGGAAGGGCGAGTTAAGTGAGCAGTAACATTGGGGTCTTCTGAGAACTCCAGAGAGCACCCTCGCAAAAAAGGACTGCTACAGATCCCCTCAAAAGCATCACCTGGCAGCTGGAGGACAGGTCAGCCAGATCCCTGGCTTTTGCCTGGGCACAGATGATCTTCACATCTGCCGATATCTATTCATTGCTTTGGGCCTGGCGAGTTTTAACGTTTTACATGCAGTCTCTCTTTAACCCTCGTAAGAAGCCTATTAAGTCAGATTGTTATTATTTACACTATACAGATAAAGAAACAGAGGCACAGGGAAGCCAAGAGAGCCAGGCAGTGTGGCTCTTACCCTCTAAGCCTGCTGCCTTCCCACTCTGTCTAAGAGGATGAGAATCAACCTGCACAGCCAGCAATGCCAGCACACTGAGTTGTCCACTGCAGGAATTTTTCCAGCTCTGCACCACCCATGACTGTGGAAAGATCCGAATTGCAGGTGGGGATGGGATAAGTTCAGGTTCTGGAATCCACATAAGGTGACTCTGAATTGCAACTGTGTTCCTCACTAACTACATAAGAATTAATTCTCCTCTCTGAGCCTCAGTTTCCTTATCTGTAAAATGGGAATCCTAAAAGTACATACATCACAGGGTTGATGTGAGGATTAAGTGAGTTGATGGAAGTAATAGTGGCACATAGAAAGCACTCAAATATCGGCAGCTTAGATCACTGTTTTTCAAGAGTTGAAATTTTTGCCCCAAACAATTTGCATAGATTTAGAATCCATTCTATTTATATTGTGTCTCCGTCCAAATCTTGTCCCCAGCCCACAAGCATCATATGTATGCCTTCCTAATTAGGCCCTGCCCTGGCTAATAGTCAGAGCAGTTTGCCTTCCTAAGATCACCCTAAATGGTGGCAGAGGAAAATGGAGCAAGGGTTAAAAATGCTAACTGGACAGGCCAGGAGCGGTGGCTCATGCCTGTAATCCTAGCACTTTGGGAGGCCGAGGTGGGCAGATCACTTGAGGTCAGGAGTTCAAGACCAGCCTGGCCAACATGGAGAAACCCAGTCTCTACTAAAAATACACAACTTAGCAGGGCATGGTGGTGGGTGTCTGCAATCCCAGCTACTCAGGAGGCTGAGGCAGGAGAATCGCTTGAACCCAGGGGACAGAGGTTGCAGTGAGCCGAGATCGCACCTCTGCACTACAGCCTGGGCAACAGAGTGAAACTCTGTCTTTAAAAAAAAAAAAAAAAAAAAAAAAAGTAAGTGGATAATCCTGTGCAGGTAGCAGGGAAGTGACCACATCACCCTAGATCCTGGGGCAACTTCCACTCACCAGCAGGGTCCGGGGGAGGAGAGCCCTCATGCTTGCCCCCTAGGGGTAGCAGATGCCACAAAACTGGCAGGGAACCACACTGAGGACATCACCGAGTTTCACTCTGAACCTACCCAACGCCAGCTTTCAAAGCCCAGACCCACAGAGTTTCTTTCCCTGCAGCCTCTTCTACCCTCTGTCCCCAGCCCCAGAAGCCCATCTGGCCCCTCCCCATGAGGAGGCCTGGGGCAGGCAGCCCACAGGACAGAAAGGAAGCTCCTGCTGTGCTCTGTCACTTACCAGCAGGGACCATCCTCTGAGCCTCAGTCTGCTCATCTGTCAAACAGAGATACAACACATGCCCAGCCTACTGGGCACAGCATCAGGAGCCTGAATGATCATGGTGGGTGTGCCAAGCTTTTTAAATCTCAGACTGCCAAACACCACGGGGCCCTGTGGCATCACTTGGTGCCCTCATCTCACCTGTCCTACTGACAGCTAGCTGGGTGGGGCCCTCGCTGTGCATGAGGCACAGTGCTCAGCACTTCACAGGCTCTGCCTGCCTAACCCTCAACATGGCCCAGGTAGGCACGACTGCCGTATCCACCTTGTAGAAAGGGAAACAGGAAGAGTTAAGTGACTTGCCCTGGGTCACACAAATAGCAAGTAGCAAGTGTTTGCAACCCTCTGCCAGCAAGTTTGTGGGCACCTCCCACTCTTGCCCCTCGAACCCCAGCATCGAAGCTGCCCTGGCTCCACTGCTTGGCAAGGTGGCAAGATTGAGAGACCCCAGGAGTGAAGTTATGCTAAGTCCAGTCCTGCTAAGTACAAAGTTCTACAAAGTCCCGCCAAAGACCCAAAATACATAGACTGAAAAGGAAAGGGGCAGGGGGAGGCCCCAGACAAAGGGAGCATTATCAACATTATAAAACCACCTTGCCAAAGCCACAAGTACTTTGTGGAAAAAACTCACAGGGGGCTGCAGTTTGGGCCAAAGCACAAATGAGGCATTTGAGGGGATAAAAGCCTGCTTCAGGGGGCGGTGGGGGGCAGGGGGCATGTACCATGAGGATAACTTTTTTGTACGAGGGGGGAAAAACACCTCTATTTCTTCCTTTTCAACAACTGCACAGCTACAGGGGTGGGATTCGGAAGCTCTGTAACTCTATCCGTGGTTGCAGAGCTCAACAAGCATTTGCCGAACGAATATATAAATGAATAGAAAACATTAAAGTAACGGATGTGAAAAAGCTATTAAAAAAAATCAAGAGGGAATACATGGAAAATCTGGGATGGGAAAAAGGTGACTTCAGGCAGAGCATACAGGGTTTTCCATGTCTCTGGATCTGGTTGGTGGGTACTCATGTATTCAGTGTATTGTTATAATCCATCCCCTGCATTTATTTTGTAAATATCCTTTTGCATCTCATCAACATTTAACAAAAGCATTCACAATGCAAAATATATCAGGCCCCTAGGAAACATCTGGATTTTAGCACTAGCCCTGCCCAGATTTAGAACCACGCTTTGTCTCATTACCGTGGTTAGGGATGATTAAAATCACCATAGATATTCTTAATGATACATTTTATTTATACAGCACTCCACATTTTTATAGCATTCACCACTCACATTATTAGGTTTAAACTTAGTAGTGCAGTCGCCTTAGGGTAGAAATATTCAAAACCAGATCTGCTGTTCACTCACAACCCTGCCTTTTGCCAACTGTGAGACCCTGAACAAGCCATTTAACTCCCGGAGCCTTGATTTCCCAATTGGGAAAATGGAGAGAATGTACTTGTGCTGTCTACCTTGCCGGTGGTTGCTGGGTTATCATCACTGATTGACCAAGTCATGGAGTGATTCCTGTGTACCAAGCACAGCCCCAAGGGCTGGGGACGCAGCAGAGAACAAGGTGGGGGTGGCAGCTTCCTTCACAGAGTCTTCTGTCCCGGGATGGAGACGGACAGTGAACAAAGAACACTGCCACAGTATTGCATTACACTGTGATAAATAGGGGAAGTGATAGCACAGAGTCTCCAGAGCGGTTAGAGCACGGAGTCCAACCCAGTTTGCGGGGCCGACCTAGGGGCATTCATGCCTGAATACATTCTCAACATCTATGGCCTTTGTGGAGAGGTAATGGATGGACATGACTGTGGTAAAGACAAGAGTAAAAGCAAGACCATGAGCTGAAAACAGAGGCCCTGGGAGCAGGGCTGAGAGCCTGCCTGTACACACCAGAGAAAAATGCTGACATACGCTGGTACAGGTTGGTCCTCATATGTCACTGGGAGCCCCACAGTCTAACTACAGCCTGTTCGGTCCCTCTCCATTCCCTAGAAGCTAAGGCAGGAATGTCTGCCCCAGAAGGGGACTCTGGATCTGGGACTATGGCCCCGTATCCTCTCCATTTTGTCAGTACCAGCACCCCCTTATTAATGGCATGTTGCATTTTACCCCCAAGTCAAGGGATGACTTGCATTTTTACCCCCAAGTCAAGAATCCCAAGGGATGGGATTCTAAATTGTACTACAATCTCTCCCTCAGCCAACAAAGCAGGCTGTGCTCTGACCCCTCCCTGGCTGTGCCTCTGGGGTCCCAGGAGGTTTTCCTTTGGAAGAAACATTGAAGCTGAGCCCTGAGACGAGAGGGGTGAGGGAGCTTTGTGAACAGCCAGGAAAAGTATGTTCCAGAAAATAGCCTCTGTGAAGGCAGCTGCCAGGGTGAAAGAGTTTAGAGCCTTGAGGGACTGACAGGCCATGACATAAGACACTGGCACAGACATTGATGGGCAGAGGGGCGGGATTTGTAGGACCACACAGGGTCAGGCAAGCGCCTGGCATAAGGAAGTCCTCAGAAATAGTCTTGGGAGGCCGGGCGCGGTGGCTCACGCCTGTAATCCCAGCACTCTGGGAGGCTGAGGCAGGCGGACTGCGAGGTCAGGAGATTGAGACCAGCCTGGCCAACATGGTGAAACCCCGTCTCTACTAAAAATACAAAAATTAGCCGGGCGTGGTGGTACGTGTCTATAGTCCCAGCTACTCGGGAGGCTGAGGCAGGAGAATCGCTTGAACCTAGAAGGTGGAGGTTGCAGTGAGCCGAGATCACACCACTGCACTCCAGCCTGGGCGACAGAGCGAGACTCCGTCTCACTAAAAAAAAAAAAAAGAAAAGAAAGAGTCTTGGTATATCATATTGTTGTTGTGATTATTTTCTTCCAGTCTGTAGCTTTCCTATTCATTTTCCTAACAGTGTGTTTCGATGAACAGTGGTTTTTAATTTCAGTGAAGTCAGTTTATCAAGTTTCCCTTTTATGGTTAGGTATCTAAGAAATCTTTGCCTGCCTCAAGGTCATTAAAGATATTCTCCTGTGTTTTCTTCTAGAAATTAAAGAATTCCTTTAAAAAGGACAAATTATATAATAAAAATTGGGCAAAAGAGGCCGTGTGTGATGGCTCACACCTGTAATCTCAGCACTTTGGGAGGCCAAGGCAAGCGGATCACTGGAGCCAGGAGTTCGAGACCAGCCTGGCCAACATGGTAAAACGCCATCTCTACTAAAAATACAAAAATTAGCCAGGCATGGTGGCGCACACCTGTAATCCCAGCTACTTGGGAGGCTGAGGCACAAGAATTGCTTGAACCCAGGAGGCAGAGGCTACAGTGAGCCAAGATCTTATCACTGCACTCCAGCCTGGGAGACAGAGCAAGACTGTCTAAAAAAAAGAGCAAATGACTTGAACAGATATTTTACAAAAGAAAGTGTTCAAATGACAATAAGCCCATGAAAAGATGCTTAATATCAGTAGTTAAATAGGGAAGTACAAATTAAAACCAGAATGCGATACCGTTACGCAACTATTAGAATGTCTAAAACTCAAAAGCTGACCATAGCAAGCATTGACTAGGATGTGGAGAAACTGGAACTCTAGTACACAGCTGATGGGAGTGAAAAACAATACAAGCATTTTGGAAAACAGCTTGGCAGTCAGTTTCTTTTCTTTCTTTTTTTTTTTTTTTTTGTGGAGACGGAGTCTCACTCTGTCACCCAAGCTGGAGTGCAGTGGCATGATCTCTGCTCATTGCAACCTCTACCTCCTAGGTTCAAGTGATTCTCCTGCCTCAGCCTCCCGAGTAGCTGGGATTACAGGCGCCCACTACTACGCTCAGCTAATTTTTTGTATTTTTAGTAGAGATGGGGTTTCACCATGTTGGCCAGGCTGGTCTCGAACTCCTGACCTCATGATCCTCCCTTGACCTCCCAAAGTGCTGGGATTACAGGTATGAGCCACCGCACCCAGCTGGCAGTTTCTTCTAAGTTATACATACACCTACCCTATGATGCAGTCACTATATTCCAGGATACTTCCAAAAGACAAAGTAAGGCATGTGTTCACACAAAGACTTGGACTCAAATGTCCATAGCAGCTTGATTATGTAGTAGCCAAAAATTGACAACAATACTACATCCATCAAAGGGTGAATGGATACACAAATTACTATATATACATAAGATGGACTATTATTCAGCAATAAAAAGTAATAAACTACTAAAACAGGCACCAATGTAAATGAATCTTAGAAACAGTAAGCTGAGTGAAGGGAGACTGACAGGAGAGTACCTACTGTAGGATTCCATTTATAGCAAGTTCCGGAACAGGCAAAGCTAATCTATAGTGATAGAAAGCAGACCAGTGGTTGCCTCTGGGGAAGGAACAGAGATTAACTGGGGAGGGCTAAGAGGGAACTTTCTGGGCTGATGGAAAATTTCTATCTTACGGGGACTGACATATACAAGGTCAAAATGGATGTTATTGTACAATTTATGTCTGTATATAAATGATAACCTCAGTAAAGTCTGTAGCTCTTTAGGGGGAAAAGGAAAAAAGTTGCTGGGTAAGTGTGTATGAAGGTACTCAGGCTATGTTAAAAGACTCCAGAGTCCTGGGTTGTTACCAAATGTGCCCGGGGCTGTGGGAGAAGACAGATGCCCAGCGCAGGCTGCTGGAAGATTCCAGTTATCCATCATCCAGCAAGGATGTGCTGTGTCCTACTATGTGCTGCTACTGCACCTTCTCCTGCAGCCTCTAGAGCAACACAGACACAATAGTGTCCCACAGTGTCCCAGCCATCGAGAAGGTAACAGTCCAGTTTTCCAATGACCAATTAAGGTTGTTGTAACATTTTAACAAACACAAAGCAGCCACTTAGCCACCTCATGGTTTCCCCAGGCCCTGGGCAGCCCCGGCTTCTGGACCTGCATGGAAGAGCTCCCTCCCTCCCAACAAGAGCCTCATGCTGGACACTGGGTGATGGCAGGCAGCCACCCACCATGCTCAATATGCTGACATCAGCAAGATTTTCCCAGCCTTCACCAACAGTCTTCCTATCTCTACTCTACACATGGGGAGAGACTGGCCAGGGCCCTCCAGCAAGGCTGCAGGCACATGATGAATAAGCCACCAGTTCCTGGCTGCTCCTCCGGCCCTCTGCAGAAACCTCTAGAGCATCAGATGTCCTTAATGTTTGTGATAAGCCAGTCCTTTCGCAACCGCTTTCTCTTAAAGGGACAGAAAAAATAAGCTCACCGCCGTGTCTGAAAAGCAGGTACTCCACAGATAGGCTCAAAGTCTCACCAGGAATTCAAAACTGTTTCCCAGGGTCCCCACCCTAGCCTTAGGAAGCTGGCAAGTTGTGGGGCCCTGTTTTAAGGAAGGTTTTGTTGATTAACACAGAAGTTCCCAAGTCTGTATTCACAGCTACCATTCACAGGGCTCAAGCCCCTCCCCAGGAGTGAGGAACCATGATCCCTATTTTACAGATGGGGAAATAGACAGAGGCTTGGGGGTGACATGACATAGCCAAGGTCTAGCAAGTGGATTCCAGACACAGACTGGATTCCAGGACTGGAAGTCTGGTTCCAAAAAGCAAGCATCAAAGTCCGACGTCATTTTCTCCTCAACAAATATCAGAACCATGAAGGAAATGATGAAGTTGGTGGACTGTAAGAAGAAGGGAAGCTTTGTCAGGGCAAAGGCCATATTTTTGTCTGGATCGCTGCTGTCAGTAAGTGTTGGAATGAACGGATGGTAGGTGAATGAATGAATGAATGAGCAGAGGAAGGTATGAAACAGGACTCAGAAAATGTACCCAGCCTCGGAGGGCACTTGTACTGGGCCCAGATTGTCCCTGTCTCAACCTTCCCATCCTCCCTGGAGCCCCTGCTGGGCTTGGCATCCAGGTAAATGGATAATCTGGAGTAAAGAGATAATCCTGAGTCCTGCAGGCCCACAGCAGAGAAACAATCAATTTCATCTAATAGCTTGGTTGCAGCTTGTGAACGTGTGTGTGCATGTGTGTGTGTGTTGCATACAGTGGGGGAGAGGCAGGGAGGACATATTTGAAGTGAATGAATCTGAAGGAAAATGTGTAGGGAAGGATGTGTGGGTGGGTGCGTAGGAGCTCGGGGGTGGTGAAGGAGAGGTGTGTGAAGACGTTTGCACAAATGGGTGTGTGCATGTGTAAATGTGTACAGGTGTATGCATAGATGCGCATAGGAATGCGGAGGCAGGTGTGTGCAGGTATGTGCAAAGGCAGACAGGGATGCGGGTAGGTATGTGCATAGGTATACACAGGTATGTGTGTAGTTGTGCACAGGGATGTGGGCAGATGAGTGCATAAGTATACACAGGTATGTGTGTAGGTGTCCACAGGGATGTGTGCATGTGTGTGCATAGGCAGACACAAGGATGTGGGTAGGAATGTGCAGGCACTTAGGAGTGTACATAGACATGCACAGGCATGTGGATAGGTGTGCACAGGTATGTGGGGGGTGTGCAGGTATATATGTAGATATGCACCGGTATGCAGGTATGTGTGCCAGTGTGTGTGTAAATATGCACAGGTATGTGGGTAGTTGTGTGCATGGAAGGCAGGCATTAAGGCATAGCATGCAGCAGTGTGTGTACCCATTAGCAGTAGAAGGCCATCCATGTCTTCACAAGGCCATGGTGGTATACTCCATTTTCTCCATGAGATTGATGAATTTCACCCACAACTCTAATCTCAAAGGCTCCCAGCCTAGGACGCTACTGATCCCATTAACCTTCTCCAGGGTCTAAAACCAGTTGACCATTCCTAGTCACTCCTGCCCAGAGCAGGTCAAGGAGGGGCCTTCACTGAACACAAAAAGGACACAGTGTTTTTATTGGCATCTGAAAGCATCTGGCCCCAGGGAGTGCCTAGATAGTTCAGAAATACCTGGCCTTTCCCTGGCCCTATTTCAGAATCCCGAGGGTAAAGGGCTGATCTCACTTGACATGACCTGGGGTAAACTGAGAACACAGCCATGGAGTGGGTGGGGAGGAATGGTTGAGGAGGAACATGCGCACCTAGAAGGAAACGGAGCACAATGGAGGCCTCTCCCTTGCCAAAAAGGGCTGTGGGGGTCAATCCTGGGGCAGGCTCCCAGGACAGATACATGTGGCCTGGGGCTCTTTCAGGATCCCCAGTGGCCACAGCTCCTCACTTGGCTCAGCAGGACCTGGGTCCTGGCTGTGGCTCTTACTGCATAGACCGAGCCTAATGGCATCTAACCATCCTGGGAGGATGCCCGGTGTGTGGGCCCAGAGACCAAGACTAATGTCCCCAGAGATCCCCAGGACCTCCAGCCACTGGACAGCTGGCTGCACTGGGTGCCATCTATCTGGAAGAATCAAGACAGCCCTGCCCTTGGTGTCAGCTGACCTCAACACCTGAGGTTCTAAGAACCACAGACTGCCAGGACTGTCAGCTTCAGGAGGCCAGGTCTCAGCTGCCAGGATCACCTGTGTATCCCAGGGCCCCACCTGGCACCAGCCAGAGTAAGTGCACACACGCTTAATGGAAAGACTAAATAAATGCGGGTATTAACAAATGCTGGCTGGCTAGCACTGGGAAAGTCCTCAGAGACCAAGTGAGCCATCCCTCTCCCCATTTTACAGGTAGAGAAACTGAGACACAAAGAGATTTCCTCCATTGCAAATTCATTGATGGGGCTACCCTAAGGTCCAGCCACCCACCTACTAGAAGGCCCTTCACCTTCCTTCTAGAAGGCCAGCTGGAATCAATAGATAGTGCCTGCCTAGCTTGTTTTCCAGAGGATTCTGGAACCAACAAAAGTGCTGCAATTGATTGGTGATGTCTGCGGGGAAAAAGAGAGGGAGGAGTGACAGACCAGAGACCTCCCATTTACACCTCTTGGCCCCAAGGAAAGGGGAGATGAGGGAGAAACTCCCCTCTCCCCATAAGAGGCTACTATTTGCCAACTCAGGCCCTTAAACAAGAGGTGTGCTCCTTCTGGCTAGCTACACAAGTTGCACCATCCTGGGCAATCTCTCCCCTCTCCCCACCTTCCTTCCCCACCTCAGAACTAGAAAGAACCCAGCCCAGCCCCCATTTCTAGTTCTACCTCCTTCTTCCTCCCATGGGTGCTCTAACCACACCAGAAGACTAACTGCCCCACCCCCCACCTGGAGCATAATTCCCATCTGCTCAACCTCTCCAAGGGTTCTCCTGTGCTCTACCCCCTAGGGTATCCTTTCTGTTGGGGGGAAAAATCCTTTAAGAGGCACCTTCTCTCCTGAGCCAGCTTGCCCCAGAGCCCCGCAGACAGAACCCACACATGTGGTGCCTACCTGGGTATCCCTAGTCCCTGAACCAGGGCTTGGCATACAGTTAGCGCTCAATAACTGCATGGTAAATTAAATTGGCACGTCTACCCGGACACCCTCCTGGAGCTGGCATAAAGACTACAAGGAGTTGCAAGAAAGAAAAGGGGGGGAGGTGGGAGGCAGGCTTCAGGGAACCACAGTGTGATCTATTAACAGTGGGAGAGGAGAGAGAATGAATTCATTTCCTCCCTGTAGTAATTTGCCTGTAAATATTCACAAACCATGCAATTTCTCTCAGCCTTCCCATTAAAGACAAATGCATAAATAAACCAGCCCTACCCAGGGGCTTTGCACACAGGCTGTTGTTCCTCTCCTAAAATAATAGGGTGACTATTCACTTAGCTGCAACCTCCCCATCCCCACAGAATTCCGGAGGGGTCCTGGGAAGTGGGTGAGCTGGAGAACAAGGCAGCAGCTTGGCATAAGTAGGTGCTGGTGACCGGGAGCTGAAGCAGAGTTGCTTGCAGGACCCAGGAGGTGGCTGAGCCAGCAGCCCAGAGGCCAGATGAGGTGGCCTCACCTTGGCAGGGTGTCCTCCCCACCCCCAACCCAATCCCCCATAAAGGGTTCAGAGGTCACACATAGGTCTCTTCACTCCATGGATCCCTTGATATGGAAAAAAACAAACACCTCTTGAGATGCTAGAAATGTATGACATATGGGGGAGCACAAAAGTTCCCAAATAGGGAAGCTATTTGAGGGCCAGCATCCCCCAGGCAGGGTACCCTACTTCAGGGGCCATGGCAGGGCAGAAGTCTCCCATCTAGGTCCGCTCCTAAGCTACCCTCAGGTCTCTCTTAACATCTTTCTTTAGAACCAGGCCTGGGGAAGCACCCAGAGAGGGGTAAAGTGCCAGACAGTGCAGGAAGCCAGCTTGTGAGAGGGGGTATCTTTCTCCTCCCCAGGCTGCCCATGCAGGCTCCTGGGGCACCAAAAGGGAGCTTGGGTCCCAAACCCAATCCCTTTAAAACACTCAGAATATAAGCCAAATCTAGAGAAGCATGGTGAAACTAGACACACTCAACCAGGTCCTAGGATGACAATGGCCAGCCCTGACCCAGCACTTCCTCAGCTACCTTCCCTGGAATCCTCATGGCAGCCCTAGGAGGCAGGTTTCGATCATTATCCCCACTTTATAGACGGGGAACTGAGGCCCAGACTGTAGTCACACGGAGAGTCGGGGGCAGAGACAGGGCTCAAACCCAGACATTCCAGCTGCAAGTTCTGACTGTAAAACCACCAACACTCAGAAGAAGGACGGCAGAGCAGAAAGAAGCTGGACACAGGGTCCCAGCACTGGTATGTTGATTTCTTCTTCAGGAGAGGTGCTATTTTCCCTTTAAATATATGACGGCTGTGGTCTGCAGCCCACCCACATCCTCACCCTTAACCCCAGCAGTAGCTCTGTAGGGAAAGGTTATCGTGCCCAATTCACAGATAAAGAAACCAAGGCTCGTGAAGCTTAATGGTCTCCCAGCCAGCAAGTGAGAACCAGGATTTAAATCAGGGCCAATACCACAGCTGTCTCTGCTGGCTTCAGTCCCAGCCCCTCCACCAGCCAGATGTGACTCGGGCCAATCTTTCCCCAAGTGGACCTCAGTTTCTACATCTATACAGTGGTCTTACTAGTTCCTTTCCTGAGTCCCGGCCCAGGGTGGCTGGGCAGATAGAATGAGAAGACAGCGAATGTGAAGGCCACTGCAGAGCACACCAGCCTGCACTGCAGGCTGTAAAGCCCAATAACTGGGCCACTCGGTGAAGACTGACATTTACAACAGTGTGCCCAGACGCCCCACAGGATCCTCTGCCAGCAGAGAGATTCAATTATGGTCATTATGGTGCACTTAGGAAAACCAGGGAGCAGCTAATACATTTTAGAAAGATTGGCAACAACAGAGGTTGAATCAAAACGAGTTTTCTACTTAACCCTCAGTTAAACAGAAAATCCATTTAACCACAAGGCAACACCCTGTCTTCCCAGCCTCCAATCACTTTTATAAAAAAATCGTCTGCCACTTAGCTTTATATTTTTATCACCCTGAAAGCTGCCTTGGAATGAAAAATAAATTCATTGATGGAGAGAAAGATGTCATCGACCTCTATAGGTTAGCAGCCTGGAGCAACATCCTCAAGCCCTTGCTCCCTCCAGCGTGGCAAGAACACAATCCTTGTTTCCATCCCTGCCAAAGATGCTGGCGGACGCTGGAGAAAGCAGCCCCAGAGGCCCAAGAGGAGTGCAAATGTACACCTCCCACCCCCGCCACTAGAGGGAGCAAACCAAACCTTTGCAGTCACCGGAGGCTCCCAGAAGGAGGCTGGCAATGAAACGTGCCTGGAGAGGACCTATAGGGATTCGGTGACCTCCAAGTACGCTAAGCTGCAGAGCAGTCCAGAAGTGTGGGCAGGAACAGGAGCGATTCAAGTTAGGAAGAGTGTTCCCAACAAATGGGGAGAGGAACATATTAGCCAGATAGTTCTCCCTATTATTAAGTAAAGCAGCATTGACTACACACGTGCAAAAAGATACTCCAGGTACGGGGTTCCCAGATAAAATACAGGATGCCCAGTGAAGTGTGAATTTCAGATAAACAACAAATAATCTTTCAGTGATTCTTCCTAAATAGTACATGGAACAAATATTGCTTGGGGCAGATTTATGCTAAAAATTGAGTCATTGTCTATAGGAAGTCCAGATTTAGCTGGGCATCCTTTAATTTTATTTGCTGTACCTGGCGACCCCTCCCAGGAGGTATGCAGGTGACAGCAGACACTAGACACAGCTGAGTGTCCAACAGTAGGGGCCCTCCAGCCCTGTGATGCCCAGGAAGGAATCTCACAAACTGTAAGGCCAGGAGAGATGGGGAAAAAAAGCAGGAAGCCCAACTGAACGGACTTTCTGGTGTCAACTATTGAACACATGCCTGAGTGTGAACAAAAGCAGGAAACGAAGGAGGCTCTGGTCCTAAGAGAGGAAGTGAATGATTTCTTTTCCCTTCATTTTCCAAGCTCTGAATTGTTTTATTGTCTTAACAAGAACAGCCACACACACACAACCAAAGTGCTCAACTTTTCTTATCTTTTGAGATCAACCTGGTTGTTCTATCAGGTGGTGAGTCCTTCGAACTCAGGGAGTGGGAGTTTTTCATCTCTGAACCCCAGTGGATGCCTAGTGAATGGAGGAAAGAAAAAAAGAAGAAAGGGAGGGAAATAAGGAGGGAAGAAGGGAGGATGAAGGAGGCTCTGTCCATGCAAAAGCCAAGAGCTGGGAGGTCCCCAATTGCAAGGTGACTTCTGAGGACCACAGGGACCTCCAGGCAGAAGGAGCCAACTCTGTCACCCCAGGTCTCCTTGCTACCTCTCCTGAATAGAGAGGTTTTGAGGTCAGGAGCCTGGATGCTATCTGGACAGCAGTCAGCCCAAAGCCTGGCCCCAGGCCTGTGGGCCACCTGCCATCACTTCCTCTGCATTTACTAAGAGAAGCTGCCCAGCATGGGGACACACTGTGAGATGCAGGAATGAGCCTGTCTGAGGAGCTTCCCCCAGGGACAGAAAGCAGATACCACACCCCTGGGCTCTGCCCCCTCCTTCTCCCGTGGGACATGCCTGCCTGCCTCTTGGTTCAAGTTCAGTTTAAACAGATGTTCTGTTCCTAAGAAGCCCTGTCTTTGAAGTCCAGGAGAAAAATCTCAGCTCCAAAGGGACCTTTCCTACTGAAGAGACTCTCTGGGGAGTCTCGGCAGAAATAAAAAACAAAACCCCTGGATCCTTATCTCCTGGTATTTATGAGATTTTTAATTAGAACAGCTGCCTCCATGGGCTACACTGCTGAAAGGGAAAGGGAAGGAGAGAGAGGGGCTGAGGGTGGGAGTCCGACTGAGGAGCACAGGACCGGGAGGGAGGCAGCCTCGCAGGCTCCAAACTGCCTCTGAGATGAAGCTTTTAGTGCCCAGCTCTCCATAACCCCAAGCACGGGTACACAAATGGTGCTCAGAACCCTGGTGGCTTTTACGAACTGCAACCAAATACTTATTGACCCAGGGTTCCCAGGACGCCAGGGGTTCCCAGGCTGGTCTTGTGTCCATCCATTCCACCTGGAGACTACCTGGTCCTATTGCAGGACTCAGCTACAGGGTCTCCCCAACCTTCTGACCACCGTTCCATCCCATCCCCCCACAGCAACCCTCTTGGAAGCATCTTGCTATGGGCATGCCAAGAGCGGGGCAGTGGAAGCCGTCCTTCCAGGGAGCTGGCAACAAAGGGATGAACTGCCTGTAGGGAATTTTGAAACAAACCTAAAACCCACAAAAAGCTGACAGTTCTAAACAATGTCGGTGATAAAATGCTCTGCTTTGAGAAAAAAAAAATCTTTTAGTGATCTAAGTTCTAAACAATTGCTGCAGTCACTGGTGGGTTTGTTTTTTGTTTTTTGGGTTTTTTTTTGAGATGGAGTTTCACTCTTGTTGCCCAGGCTGGAGTGCAATGGCGCAATCTCAGCTCATCACAACCTCCGCCTCCCAGGTTCAAGCAATTCTCCTGTCTCAGGCTCCCTAGTAGCTGGGATTACAGGCATGTGCCACCACGCCCGGCTAATTTTATATTTTTAGTAGAGACGGGGTTTCTCCATGTTGGTCAGGCTGGTCTCGAACTCCCGACTTCAAGTGATCCACCTGCCTTGGCCTCCCAAAGTGCTGGGATTATAGGCATGAGCCACCGCGCCTGGCCAGTGAGTTTTAATAATGTGTATGTAAGCTTCAAATGAGCATATTTTTATTACTTAGGCTTTAAAACACATTGTGTTTGCATAGGTGTGAATTCAGAGAGCACCTACTTATTCAGTCAGAAGCCAACATGTGTGGATCCTGTGATACCTGTTCATTTGGAGAATAAGAACTCAAAATCGGGCTCAGTGCAGTGGCTCACGCCTGTAATCCCAGCACTTTGGGAGGCTGAGGCAGGTGGATCGCCTAGGTCAGAAGTTCGAGACCAGCCTGACCAACACGGAGAAACCCTGTTTCTACTAAAAATACAAAATTAGCTGGGCGTGGTGGCACATGTCTGTAATCCCAGCTACTAGGGAGGCTGAGGCAGGAGAATCACTTGAACCGGGGAGGCGGAAGTTGCAGTGAGCTGAGATGGCGCCATTGCACTCCAGCCAGGCAACAATAGCAAAATTCCATCTCAAAATAAATAAATAATCAATAAATAACAATGCAAAATAATACAGAAACTCCCAATACAGTGTATTACCTATCATGAATAAACTAGAGATTATTTAAAGTATACAGTATATAAGCAAATACTACTCCATTTTATATCAGGGACTTAAGCATTAATGCATTTTGCAAGTTTCTTCATGTATTGTTTTCTCTTTTGTCAAAATATCTATTAACGTAATTAAGAACTGTTGACCCGTTACCTTTTTACATTTTCCATGTCATAACGGTTGTTTACTGGCATGGTTATACATACAAAGTTCACAAAAATTTCAGTCTGTTTCTTTTCTGGCCATTATTCTAATTGATTTTATTTCATCATTATTATTGAAAATAATTTTGTTGTATAGAGGAAGCAAGTATACAAAAATCATGTGCTCTAGGTGTCATATATCCTAGAGTGATGGATAATTTGGGTCAAACATTATTCTGGGAGTGTCTTCCAGGCTGTTTCTGGATGAAATTGACATTTAAACAGGTAGATTGAGTAAAGCAAATGGCCCTCCCCAATGTAGCTGGATCTCATCCAATCAACTGGAGACCTAAATAGACCAAAAGGCTGAGTAAGAGGAAACTTCACCAGTCTGACTTCTTGAGCTGGAACACTGGGCTTCTCCTGCCCTTGGACTGGAACTTACACCATCAACTCTCCTGAGTCACAAACTTAAAGTGCTGATCTCAGGATTTCTCGGCCTCTATACTCACATGAGCCAATTCTTCATAATAAATCTCTTTATATAAACAGTCATCTCTTAGAATCCACGGAGGTATCCATCCCTTGCTTCTAGGACCGTCTTTGATATCAAAATGTATTAATGCTCAAGTCCCTGATATAAAATGGAATAGTATTTGCTTATAACCTATGCACATCCTCCTGTACACATTAAATCATCTCTAGTTTACTCATGATAGCTAATACACTGTATTGGGAAGTTTTTGTATTATTTTGCATTTTTTTCTAGAATATTTTTGGTTCACAGTTGGTTGAATCCACAGATACAGAATCCATGGATACAGAGGGTTGTATATCCTATCAGATATATATCCTGATATCCTATCTGTATATCCAGCTGACTGTATATTCTACCAGTTGTTTCTCTGGAAAAGCTGATTAACACACCTAGGAATGCATCTGCTGCTCCTGTCACATTTTATGTCAGGCATCAACAGCTGAATGGTGGCCTCCTCCAGCTCAGGCACTACATGTCATTTACATCTGGGGCCCACAGGTAAATAGCTCTGTGCTTCCAGCACAGTTGACACTTGATAAGTGTTTTTGTTCATATGAATGAATGAATGAATGATCTGACAGAGACATTAGAAGATCCAGCCAGACCTTGCAGCAAGGCATAGAGCTTCATTTCTCCACTCATCCTCAAGCCTCTCACCTTTGCCCCTGCCTAAGGTGCACACTTCTGTTCAGCATATCCGCCCTTCCCTGGGACCAGAATTTTCTCAAATAACACATGACTGCCCTTGACAGTGGCTCAGTCCTCTGTCATCTTTTGCATCTTCACTCACTACCTGAGTGATCTCATTATGGTCAAAGGTTTGAAATACTCTCTATAAGCTGATGGCTCTCAAATTTGGAGACCAGCCCCACCCTCACCCCTGAACCCCAGGTGCATATCTCCATCCACTCCTCTCCACCTCCACTTTAGTGGCTAATAAGCATCTCAACTTAAAATGCCTGAGAAGAACTCAATATGCCCTCCCTCCACTCTCTGCCAGAACCCACCCTAGGCTCTTCCATCTTGGGCCAGAAGCTGTGGTTGGCCTTGACTCCTCTTTCTCTCATCCCCATCCTATCAGCGAGTCCTATCAACTTTGCTCTCAAAATAGATCCTGAATGTTGTGGCTTCTCAGCACCTCCACCACATTCCACCTTCCAAGCCACCTTGCCTCTCCCATGGATTCCAACATCAGTGTTTGTACTGGTCTCCCTGCCCGCTGCAGACTGCCCTCCACCCAGCAGCCAGAGTGATCTTAGTAAAATATAAATTTCATCTTGTCTCTTTCTTGCTTACTGGCTTCCTGCCAAACTTAGAGTCTTTAGATTCAAAATCCAAAGTCTTCACCCTAGCTAGCAGCACTGTGCAGGCTGGGCCTCCAATTCACTCCTGGCCTCCTCTCCATCCACACTACCCTGGGTGTAGCACCCCAGCATCCTCACTGATCCTCCAACATGCCAGCCAGCCTAATGTGCCTTACCCTTGCTGTTCCCTCAAACAGGAAGCCTCTTCCCCGAGATTATGTCAAGGCTTGTTCCTCATTGCCTTTAGGTCTCTGCTCAAATTACATCTGATTAGGAAGGCCTTCCCTGTACCTCCTATCCATAATAGCAATCCTCCCCCAACCCACCACCCGAGTCATTCCCTGCCCCTTCCTGTCATTATTGAACTTCATAGCACCTAATAGCACCTGATATTCAATGTATTTGTTTGGTTTCTGTTTCCCTCAACCAGAAGGCAAGCTCCATAAGGGCAGAGACTCTGCTATTTCATTCAAAACGATATTCCCAGCATGTAGAGCAGTGCCAGGTACATGGTAGGGGCCCAACAAATATTTGCTGAATAAATGAATGTGTACTCACATTTGACCTTTGCCCTCAAGCCAACTCAGGGCTAGGCATTGTTATCGCCACACCCATTCCGCAGATGTAAAAATTGAGATGCAGAATCAACGAGATTTACCCCTAAGCCTCAGATACTTAGTGATAGAGCCACGATTAAAACATAGCCTTCAGAAAACAGGAAATCAATTCAACAAATCCAAATGCTGGTTCTTTGAAAAGATCTATAAAATCAATAGAACTCTGGCTAGGTTAACTAAGAAAAACCAGAAAAGACACCAATTACTAATATCAGAAATGAAAAAGGGGATATCACTACAGTTCCCATGGACATGGGAATGTCCCATAGACATGAAAGGATAAAAGAAATACACAACTCTATGCCCACAAATGTGCACAACTTTATGCCTACAAATTTGATAACTTAGATAAAATGTACCAATTCCTAGAAAGACACAATCTGCCAAAGCTCACACACAAAAAAGAAATTGACAATCTTAATATTAAAGAAATCTAATCAATAAACCTTGCAAAAAAGAAAGTATCAGGCCCAGGTGAGTTCACTGGTGAAGTCTACCAAACACTTATGGGAGAAATTATACCAATTCTCAATAATCTCTTCCAGAATATAGAAGTGGAGAGAATACTTCCTAACTCATTCTGTGAGGCCATCATTATGCTGATACCTAAACCAGAAAAAATCATTACAAGAAAAGAAAACTACAGACCAATATCTCTCATGAATGTAAATGCAAAAATCCTCAACAAATATTAACAAATTAAACTCAAGAATGTATTAAAGGACTTAGATACCATGATCAGGTGAGATTTATTCCAGGTACACAAGACTGGTTCAATATTAACAAATCAAATAATAGGCCAGGTGCAGTGGCTCACGCCTGCAATCCCAGCACTTTGGGAGGCCGAGGCAGGTGGATCACGAGGTCAGGAGTTCAAGACTAGCCTGGCCAAAATGATGAAACCTCATCTCTACTAAAAATACAAAAAAATTAGCTGGGCATGGTAGCATGCGCCTGTAATCTCAGCTATTCGGGAGGCTGAGGCAGAGAATTTCTTAACCTGAAAGGCGGAGGTTGCAGTGACCAGAAATCGCACCACTGCACTCCAGCCTGGGCAACAGAGTGAGACTCTGTTTCAAAAAAAAAAAAAAAAAAAAAATCAAATAGTATAATCCATCATATCAACAATCTAATGAAGAAAAATTGCAGGATCATATCAATAAATGCAGAAAAAGCATTTGACAAAATCCAATATCTATTCATGATAAAAACTCTCAGCAAACTAGGAATTAAGGGGATCTTCCTCAAGTTGATAAAGAGCATCTACAGAACACCGATAGTTAATATCATACTCAATTATGAGAAATTTGAGGCTGTCCTGCTAAGATCAGGAATAAGGCAAGGATGTCCCTTCTCCCACATTATACTGGAAGTCCTAGCTACTGCAATAAGACAAGAAAAGAAAAGGCATACAGATTGAGAAGGAAGAAGTAAAACTGTCTTTTTTTGCAGAAGATATGATCATTTATGTAGAAAACCTGAAAGAAATTACAAAAAAAAAATCCTGGAACAAATAAGCAATTATACTAAGGTTGTAGGATAGGAAGTTAATATAGAAAAGTCATTGCTTTCCTATCTACCAGCAAGGAGCAAGTGGAATTTGAAATTTAAAAACATAAAACCATTTCTATTAACACCTAAAGAAATAAAATACTTGAGAATAAATCTAATAAAATATGTGTAAGATCTGTATGAGGAAAACTACAAAACTATATTGAAGAAATCAAAGAAGTAAATAAATGAAAACACTGATCAGTGTTCAAAAATAGGAAGACTCAATAATGTCAAGATGTCAGTTCTTCCCAACTTGATATACAGATTCAAGACGACCCCAATCAAAATCCTGCAAGTTGTTTTATGGATATCAACAAACTGATTCTAAGGTTTATTTGGAGAAGCAAAACACCCAGAATAGCCAATCAAAAATTGAAAGAGAAGAACAATGTTGGAAAACCTGACACTACCCAACTTTAAGAGTTACTATAAAGATACAGTAATAAAATGGTGTGGTATTTGTGAAAGTACAGACAAATAGATTATTGGCACAGAATTGAAAGCCCAGAAATAGAGCCGCATATATATGTCAACTGATATATGACAAAGGAGCAATGGCAATACACTGGAGAATAGACAGTCTCTTCAACAAATAGTGCCAAGGACAAGTGGATGTCCCCATACACTAGAATGACACTGAATCCCTACCTCACACTATATATGAAAATTAACTCAAAAAGAATCTATGACCTAAATATAGGAGCTAAATAAAACTCTTAGAATAAAGCACAGGAGTAAATCTCCATGATCTCGAATTTGGCAATGGATTCTTAGAATACCAAAAGCTTGAGCAACAATAACAAAAAAATAGATAAACTGAAGCCTGGGGAATCCATAGAAATTGCCTTCTCTCACTCAGCCTGCCTCAGGCCCTATGGGCAGGGGAGATAAAAACATCAGGAGACTTTCATTTCTGCCTGAGCTCCACACTCAGTGCAAGACTGGGTGGTGAATTGGAGAAGAGTGCCACCATGGGCACAGAGGGCACCTCTAGATGCAGAGAATGCCATGAGGAGCTCCCACAAACACTGTCCTTGGGCTAGGAACCCTGTGTTTGGGTCCTTAACCTTGCTGCTTTTTAGACATGAAGCCTGGAGTCATTTAAATAGCTTATTAATGCTCGCCTTCTGGGGTGTGGGTAGGATTAACAATCATCTACAGAAAGACTCCAGTAAAGATGGCTGTGAGTGAAGTGTCAGCCATCAGCTAGAGGCTTGGGATGAACTGCTCATACTTGAGGTAGCTCCAAGTGATAGCACATCAGGACAGGGAGCTGACACAACCCAGGTCCCTCTCACAGCCCTTTTTTAGACCTCACACAGAAGGAGTTATGTGTCTCCAGGGTAACCCCACTGTTTGGTTACAAACACCCAGCTCTTACATCCCAAGAGCCTGGCACTCTTCAAAGAGGTCACCTTGGGAGGCTACACTATTCCAAGGGGGCTGCCATTGTTCAAAGCAAACAGGGGCTTCCCATGGTAGTCACCTTGACCTTACAACCACCCTGTGGGGTGCATGCTCTTTGCCCATCTTACAGATGAGAAAACTGAGGCTATGGGGGATCAAGTCACTCACCCCCAAGCCAAACAGCTACTGAAGGGCAGAGCTGGGACTCAGCCCCCAATCTTCTGGCTCCAAAACCCCAGCAAAGCTTTTCCATGACAGCACATGCCTCTCTGCCTGTTGCTTTGTGGTCATCTTTATATTTTCCCTGTGATGCTATAATGTTTATCTGTTTCCTGGCTAACAAGAGGGGCAAGGCTAAATAGCTCTGCTCCCTGGGCTGTCCTCCTGAAAGTAAACCAAGAACAACAGCACCCCTGCTGCTTTGCTCTGCACTTAAAGAGATTTTTTACTCTTATACACCGAGGCTTGAGGCCCACGACTTCCCCTGATGGAGAAACGTCCCTGAGAAGAAAGGTCCTGGGGATGGGAAGGTTTTTCTGACTCACTTCAGCGCCTTCTCCAGATTAAGAATACTGGGCAGGATCCAGGCTCTGTGATAAGGCAACCGCTTCCTGTGGGGATCAGGGCAGCTGCTGCCAGGAGGTTTACAATTAAGATTATGGTCCTGGCAGCTGGCAGGGTGAGCCGTGGGACACAGACGCTGTCAGTGAGGGACAGCCTGAGTAGGCCCCAGGCCTCACTTCTCCTCCCACACTGTCCACTAAGGCCTCAGCCTGGCCCTGTTTTTATCTGCCCCTGGGAGCCGGCCACCCTGTCTTGGATTCCAGCTTAAAATAATCTAGGGCAGCCAGTGGCACACTCCAGAAGGGTGAGTGAACTATCAGATTGGTGACTAAGAAAGTGGCCAAGTGCTTTCTGACTATGGGCACAGAGGCAGCCAAAATAGAAAATGCCATTAGGCAGTGGTGCAGCACTTTACAATCTGCACACCCCAACCACCTACCAGCAACCCAGGCAGGGAAGCAGGTGGAGCGGGTGTTGAGGGCACATGTACAAGAAACAGTGCGGGGAGCTTCCTAAGTCTTCCTCGTCTTCCCCAAAGCAACCTGTGAGTAGGTGTCACTGTCCCATTTTAGAGATCAGAAAATCAAGGCCTGCAGGGATTTCATGAGATGCCCAAAATTTAAAAACAAAACAAAACAAAGTATAGGACAAGGAAACAAACCATTTTTATGTTTTTACAGGACATGGAACTTCAGAGAGATGATTTGGCTAATTATTTTTAATCTTAAGCTTCAAGTCACAGACTGAAGTAAGCAAAAGACACAAGAATTGTATGGCAGTTCAGGCAGTGGCTTCAAATCTCGATGACATTACTCAGTGCTATGTGACCTTAGACAAGTCACTTAACTTCTCTGAGGCCTGGTTTTCTCTTCTGTAATGTGGAGGTGATCATAGTGGCAAGATGACATGACAGATGAGAGGACAGAATGGGATGGTGCAGTGAGTGAGCGTCACACTGTGCCTGGCGCATGAAGCCCTCCATCATATTGCTGGTTTCTCTTCTGATAGGCAGGGACTCAAACCAAGGTTCCTCTGCACCTCGGACCCTGTGATTTACCACCAAGGGTCGGAGCCATCGTCCTTTGCCCAAGACAGGCAATCAGATCTCCTCGGAGTTTTCAGATCCCCTCTCCTCTCCATGGCCTTCCACAACCTCCCAACCCCTGACCTGTCACTTCTTCTATTTCAGCCCTGGTCTTGGAATCCCAGAAATGGAGGGCGTGAGTGCTGGAACAGAGATTCAAGTTGCAGCTGCCTCATTTTACAATGAGAAAATGAGGACCAATGAGGGAAATGACTTATAAGTCACATTGGTGGCTGAGGCTGCTCAGAGGACAGACATCCTGGCTTTTCATCCAGAAAGCTTCCATGAGGCCACCCAGCCCACCACCAGTCCCAGAATCATGGTCAGCTCAAGAAGGACTTCCCAGAGCCTCCGAAACAGACCAAGGCTTTTCTGTTCTCAGTTTCACCATGGAATGTGGTGATTGATCCTAGTACTTGTGGATTTAGACTTTGTCCAAAAGATTATCGAGGGCAGAGGGAAGGTAATCACCCTAGGAAGCGATCTCCTTATCACGGTCCCAAGACTGTGGTGGGTATGGGGGAGGCTGAGGTCAGGGAGGGGTCCTTGATACAGATTCCATGAGCCCTCATGACCCTGCCTGGAGCCCCCAGGAGCTCTACTCTTCCTTGAAGGGCTCACTCCCTGCCATCCATCAACACTCACTTCCTGCACCAAGGTGGCCCCGTTGCCCTCACCCATGAGTAAATGTCTAGGGGTGAGGACAAGAGTGAAGCCACCCTTCTCCTGCCCTGCACCCCTTGGGCAAGAGCTGAGAGCCCTCTCACATGGAAGTGGTGGTTTGGAGGGCAGGAAGAGAAGAAGAGAGAAGAGTAGACCCTCTTGTTCGAGTAAGTGAAGATGCCACCCTGCCATGTTGCCACATCATACCTCTTTCCACTGGTGTCTTTCCCTTTGGGCCCAGAGGTGCCAAGGTTCTCTTACAGTGTCCTCCTGACAGTAGCTTCTGGATACACTCTAGAGAAAGAAGAGAGAGAAACACATTTCAAAAAGGCAGGAGTCCTTGGGGACCACCTCAGTCCACATGTGGCTCCCACTCCCCAAGGTCTCCTTTCCCCACTTCCATTACTGCAAGCACAGAAGCCAGACGGGGCACCCATGACTGGTGATATGGTTTGAATGTGTCCCCATCAAATCTCAAATTGAATCATAATTCCCAGTGTCGGAGATGGGGCCTCAGATCTCCATCCAGGCAGGTGGGAGGTGATTAGATGATGGAGATAGTTTCTCATGAATGGGTTAGCACTGTCCCCTCAGTGCTGTTCTCATGATAGTGAGTGAGATACCGTGAGATCTGCTTGTTTAAAAGTGTGTAGCACCTTCCCCTCTCTCTCTCTTTCTCCTGTCCCTATCTGTCACTATGCGTGCTTCCCCTTCCACCATGATTGTAAGTTTCCTGAGGCCTCTTCAGAAGCAGATGCTGTCATGCTTCCTGTACAGCCTATAGAACTGTGAGCCAATTAAATCTTTTTTTATATATAAATTACCCAGTCTCAGGTATTTCTTTACAGCAGTGCAAGAATGGACTAATACAGCTGGAAAGGCAGGACTAAGCACCAGCCCCACAAAGCTTCCCAGGATAGCGTCCCCAGAGCCTGTGAATGGGGGCATATTTTCAATCTTCC
This sequence comes from Homo sapiens, assembly GCF_000001405.40. NCBI lineage: Eukaryota > Metazoa > Chordata > Mammalia > Primates > Hominidae > Homo > Homo sapiens. The sequence goes on along the minus strand of NC_000011.10, from coordinate 44,763,757 downwards.
CAAGTCAGCCCGGAGCCTATATATCCATGTGATGGCATTGAACATGCTAATCAAAACATCACACTGTGTTTCTTTGCTTCCAGCTAGAATATTATCAACTTGGTGTGGGAACTCCAGTTTCCTCAGGCTGAAAAAAAGGCTTTCTGAGTCATTTTGAAACTAGGAAAAAGAATTAATCATTGCCTAATGAATACAGGCTCTTTGGGCAGACCCAACACTTTCAAGATCTGCTATCCATGAAGAGATAAGTAATAGTAAGGAAAGTCTCCGGTGGTAAAAAAAGAATTCAGTTCCAGAATGCCAGTGGGGTTAGAAGTCCAGCCTCTCCAACCCTTCCCTTCTGTCAGTTTGATGAAGCATCCCCAGGTCACCAGAGAAGGATCAAATTCACCATGTCCAGGCCACATACCTGCCAGCAGAGACAGGCCAGTCCCAAGAGATTGGCTCAGTCACATGCACAGCTGAGAAATAAGAGCAAAACTTACAGCCTCCAGAGCACAGGGGAGAAAGCGAAGTTCCCCAATCTCTCCCCTCCCAGGCTCCTCCTGCCCTCAGAGACTAGCTGCACAGTGGAAACCCTGATCAAGTTTCAGGTCTCTCGAATGATAATGATGATCAACCTGATGCCCCTTACAACCCCAGGAGAAAGTGTCACCACTTCAGGAATGAGGACTGTGAGCTCAGAGGAGTTAAATAACTTGCCCAAGGTTACACCACTGAAATGAGTCTGAGCTGGGACTAGAACTTTGGCTGTGGGAAGTCAAGCCCGGTGCTAGTGCCATCTCCACAGTGGGAGGGATGTTGGTTTCCGTAGTGTAGTGGTTATCACGTTCGCCTCACAGTGGGAGGGATGTAAGCAGGAAGGTGATGAGTTCGAGGTCTACCCCACAGACCCCAGCATCAGGGCAGCTCAGGCATGCAAGGGAGTCTCTGAACTCCCATTAACTGATGGAAAATAGGGATTGGCTGGAGGATGGGACCTCATTTTATTTAGCTATCTGGGCCTCAAATGTCCATCCAGGCAGTGTCAGCGCAGGGGGACCTCATGCATCATGAACCAGACTAAGGCTACAATCAGAGGAATTTGTTACATTTATAAACCCATAAACACACACACACAAACACACACACACACACACACATATGTGTATATATAGGTATGACCTTGGGCAAGTTATTTATACATATATAAATTTTTCATTTTTAACTACAAAAGTACATGTGCTTCCTTACCAGCCATCCTGTTTAACAGAGAGAACCACTGCAAACGCTCTGGAGTGAGACCCTCTAGACTTTATTCTACCTAATCAAATACGTGTATGCATGTGTGTGTAAGCATGTACCTATGTGAGCACACATGCAGTGTGACTTTTTACAAAAGTGGGATCTTACCACACACATTCTGCAATATCATTTGTCAATGATATCATGTCCAAAATGGATCTTGAGTCCTTTTCATAGCTGCACAGTATCCCGTAGTACATGTGGGCCATAATTTATTTACCATTTGTTTATTTCCCACCATGGCTGTGTCGAATATTTCCATTTCTGGCCTCTATAGCCTTGCTGCAATGACCCCTTGGGTGCCCATCTTGGTGTAGAAATGTTCATGCAATTCCAAAGCCCAGAAGTTTAGAAGTTGGCAGAGGAGAGGCTGGCCACATCCCGCCTTTGGGTAGTGCTGACAAACTGCCTTCCCAAAATGCTGGATTGAGTCACCTCACAGTGCAGGGCAGAAGGAACCCCTTTTCTTTGATGTAAACTTGAACCCAGGGTTCTGCCTATGGAATGGCTTTCCTAGGCACATTCCAGTGGCCTGGTAAGCCAAGGGCCCTGGACAAAGGGAGGCGTGTGGGACTTGGCTGGCGCAGATGTCCCTGCTCTACTGTCTGCAGCATCGCAGAGGAACTCGGGCCTACCTGAGCCAGGAACTGCATTTATTGGCTCAGAACTGATAATGAGCTTTTATGAGCTCCAGGGACTGCACGGAACACGTATTAGTGTCAAGAGTGCCTGTCAGCCACGCAGCCTGGGTGAATGTCACACATTAACGGAATTAAAAGCTGCAGCCATGCCGGGAAGGAGCTGCGGGCTGCATGTCAAGAGGTGTGGGCAGCGCCTGTCAATAACAAAATTACTTTCCAGGTTTTGCGCTCCAGAGCCTTAAGCTGTCTCCCGTCTTCGGTGGAATTTTGCCTTCCTGCAGCCTCAGAGGAGATTAGTTTATTACCAGCCTGCCAGAAGAGGCAAAACCCAGCACTAATCCTAATTCCCATTTAAGCAAATCTGCATTGTGTGAGGGAAACCAGCTGGGCTGAGAATGTTTTCCCCCTTGCCCATGAGATCTCATTGCAGTCCCCTCCTCTCTGCGGGGGAGGGGAGTCACTACAGATGTTAGAGCCAGAGCTGTCCTGGGAGATGGAGAAAAGAATCCCAAGGTTTAGGGCTAAGAGCAGGAACGGGTCCTGGGTGCAAGTGGCAGAGTGTAAGCCTGGTGGGCAGGCGACAGGGGTCACCCTTGACCCGATTAGTCTTGGGCTTTGGGAAGTCCCGACAACCCTCCCAGCCCCAGACTTGATCTTGCTCTGTGCACAGTTCTCCCGAATGTTTGGGGTGGCACAGGTTGAAATCCTAAATCAAATTCTTACTAGCTGTGACCCAGAGCAAGCGACCTATCTACGTCATGCCTGGACTCCTCAGCTATGACACAGGGCTAACAACAGCTGATGACTCACAGGCTGTTGTGAGATTCGATAAGAAATGTGTAGCAGGATTTAGCAGAGAGCCTGGCACACGATATCATGGCTCTTGAATGGAAGTCTCCATGGATTATAATGACACCATAATTTTAAGTACTTCTAAGAAACAGAAAACACTACCAATTAATTAAATTAACTATGATATCACTTTTTGCACAATGCATCCTGGTTTTAGAGACATTAAGATGTTAAAAAAAAGTGTGCCTTAGAATCTGCAAAATACCAGAGCTTAATAGGTGGCAGTAACTACGATGAGTATAAGCCAATTTCACCCATTTTGCAAGGCCTGGCTCAAAAGTTAGAGCTTCTTCCTCCTCTTCTTTCTTCCAAACTAGGGGTGGAGCTCTCAATTTACAAGAAAAATTTGGTCAGCCCACTTCAGTGTCCTGGATGAGGCCCAGATGAGAAACTTTAATATGTCTCCTGATGTTTCCTACTCTACTGTTACTGTTTTAATTGAAATATAACATACATACACAATAGCACACACACCATGAATATATACCCCACTGAATTTTCACAAACAGAGCATCCCTGTGCAACCAAAACCCAGATCAAAGACTCTTGTCTATTTCCCAGCTACTGATTCTATTCACCTCATGTGTCCCAAAGCAGCCTTGACTCTCCATCCTCATAGAACCTGCCAGTCCCTGGCTGGGCTCACCCTCCTTACTGTTGTCTGCTTGCTGCACACGGCTCCTGGCTGGTCTGCCAGCCTGCAGCCTTTGTTCCCCGCTCTGCCCTCTCCTTCATTGTCAGAGTGAGCCCATAAATGGAGAGCACTGTGTCTGTCTCCTGCTTTAGTGGGTTCCCTGGCCTCCCTTTGTCTAGACACAAGGCCTTTTATCATCTGATCCCCAATTCCTTTCCAGGCCCACCTTTAAGTCTTTGCCATATGCAAAGACCCCACAGTAAAAGTGAACTCACCTGGACTCAAAGTGTGCTCAGCCCAACTTCCCTGATGTTTGCTCTTCCTGGAATTCCTCTCTTCCTTTCCTAACCCTGAGTTTCACCCCTCCCCTCACTTGGCAAACTCCTAATCATCCTTCAAAACCTTCTTTCAGTTAACTCCTTTGTGAAACCTTCCCACTCTCTCAACAGGCATAAGTCATTGTTCTCCGGGCTCACATCACAAATTGTGTGTATAGGTAATAGTATATTTTTTGCTCATGTGATTTTTCCCACCTACCAGACTATGAGTTCCTCAAAGATATGGGTGGTATCTTACTCCCTCTGAGTCTCAGTTCCTGACTCTGCAAATAATAGCTGGATGGATAGACAGTTGCTAGGAGAAATGGATGGATGGGTAGTGAATGGATTTATAAAAGAACTTGAATGGTAGAAAGAAGGAACTAGGCTATAATTGGTTGAGGGATGGGAAAATGACTGGGTGGATGGAGAGATGGATGAACACAGGGATGAATAGAAGGACAGAGGGAAGACAAGTGGATCTATAAAACAATGAGTTAAATGAATGTGGGAAGGCAGAACTAGGTTAATGGTGAGAAAGAGAGAGAGAATGAATGACCCTCAACTACTTGTATAATTTTCTCTAGACCCTGAGAAACTGAGACTCTTAGGACTCTGAAGAGCCTAGCTTTAGTCTTCCAGAGTCAGTAGGTCTGAGGAGAGACCACGTCGTCAAACACCATCACCCCCTAGCTCACCCCACTGTACCACTTGTTGTATCCATAGATCTACAGGTAAGGCCTTCGGGAAGGAATGGTCAGAGCTGCCTCTTGTCTTGGCCTTTGCTGACCCAGGTGCTGAAGAATTAAACAGTGCCACAAGGAGACCAAAGCTTTCCTGTGTCTAAGCCAAGCTCCAGTATGCAGGGCAGTTGCTTTGCCAACTGTGTTCAATAAGCCAGCTTGTGAACAGGCATGGGATAGGCAAACTGCCTGATTTACAGCAGAAGGACAGCTGCTGATGGAAGCCCTGCAAAGATGCCATTTTGGGGGAACTATAAAATCGGTAAAGGGTCAGGATAACTGAACAGCATAGCACTGTTTGGATGGTTCCTGTGAATGGGCTTTGCACAGGGACTAATTCCCCAGTATAGCCTGCTGCCTATCTTCAACAGGGGTAGGAAACACGGTAGGAGATGAGGAGCCCCCAGCATGAAATCAATGTAAAGCACTGTGGTTAAGAAGCCAGGCTTTTGTGCCCCCGCAAACCTGAGTTTAAATCTCAGTTCTGCCTCTTGCTACCAATGTGACATCAGGAAAATTCTCTATCCCAGCAAACCTCAGGATATCCACCTGCAAAGTGTGGACAACCATAGTCCCACCTCACAGGCTTGAACTAGGGATTGGATGAGCTAATAGACTGCAAATGATTCCCACAGTACCCAGCCTATCATAAACACTCGATACACAGAAGCAGCAGGAATTTTGTAAAATATAATCTGCCGCTACTTTCTGTAAAAAGGGCACTGAGCTAAGCATTACTCTTATACCAAAACCAGACAAAGACACTTACAAGAAAAGAAAACTACAGACCAATATCCCTTATGAGCACTAATGCAAAAATCCCCAACAAAATATTAGCAACCCGAATTTGGCAGCATATTAAAAGGATTATACACCATGACCAAGTGGGACTTATTTCTGGAATGCAAGGATGGTTAAGCATACAAAAATCAAGGTAATACTCCACATCAACAGAATGAAGAGGAAAATACCCCCACACAATTATATCAAATGGTGCATAAAGCATTTGACAAATTCAACACCCTTTTATAATGAAAACATTCAACTAAAAATATAAGAAAACTATCTCAAAACAGTAAAAGTCATATATGAAAAACCCATAGCAAACAGCAGACATCATATTCAATGGTGAAAGACTGAAAGCTTTTCTTCTAAGATCAAGAACAAGACAAGGATGCCCATATTTGCCACTTCTATTCAACACAGTATTAGAAGTTCTAGCCAGAGCAATTTGACATTGGATTTTGTAATGATTTCTTGGATATGACACTAAAAGCCCAGACAACAAAAGGAAAAATAGACAAACCAGACTTCATGAAAAAAATTTAAATTTGTGCATCAAAAGACAATACAAACAGAGCAAAAATGCAACCCATGGAATGGGAGAACATATTTGCAAATCATATATCTCACAAAGAATTAATATCCAGAAAATATAGAAAACTCAAACTCAGCAACAACAAAAAAACCCAATTAAAAAATGGGCAGAAAAGATTAAAAGACATTTCTCCAAAGATGATATACAAATGGTCAATAAATATATGAAAATATGCTCAACATCACTAAACATTAGGAAATGCAAATCAAAACCTGCAATGAGGCCAGGCACAGTGGCTCACACTGCCTGTAATCCTAGCACTTTGGGAGGAAGAGATGGGCAGATCTCTTGAGCCCAAGAGTCCAAGACCCACCTGGGCAACATAGCAAAACTCTGTCTCTACAAAAAATACAAAAAGTCAGCTGGGCATGGTGGCACATGCCTGTAGTCTCAGTTCCTTGGGTGGCTGAGGCAAGATGATCACTTAAGTATGAGAGAAAGAGGCTGCAGTGAGCCAAGATCACACCACTGCACTCCAACCTGGGCAACAGAATGAGACCCTGTCTCAAATAAATAAATAAATAAATAAATAATCATTTCTCAGCTTTCTGGCTAAGATCAAGTGTAAACAAATAAATAAAACTGCAGTGAGATACAACTTCACACCCACTGGCATGGCTACTATAAAAAAAAATAAAAAATAAAAAATAACAAGTGTTGGCTAGGATGTGAAGGAACTTGAACCCTGTTCCCACTGTTGGTGGGAATGTAAAATGGTACAACCACTGTAGAAAACGGTATGACAGTTCCTCAAAAAATTAAAAATAGAATTACCATGTGATCCAGCAATTCCACTTCTAGGTATATACCCAAAAGAAAAAGCATTTGACAAATTCAACATCCTTTTATAATAAAAACATTCAACTAAAAATACAAGAAAATTATCTCAAAACTGTAAAAGTCATATATGAAAAACCCACAGCAAACAGCAAACATCGTAGTCAATGGTGAAAGACCAAAAGCTTTTCTTCTAAGATCAGGAACAAGACAGTAGGAAAAGAAAGTAGGGTCTCAAAGAGATATTTGTACACTCATATTCAGAGTAGGATTATTCACAACAGCTAAAACATGCAAATAACTCAAGTGTCCATCAACAGATGAATGGATAAGCAAAATGTGGTCTATCTACACAATGGAGTATTAGTGAACCTTAAAAAAGAAGGAAATTCTGACACGCTGCAACATAGATGAACCTTGAAAATGCTATGCTAAATTTTAGAAAGCCAGTCACAAAAGACAAATACTGCATGATTCCACTTACATGAAACATGTAGAATAGTTAAAATCACAGAGACCAGAAATAGAATGGAGGTTACCAGGGGCTGGGAGGAGAGGAAAATGGGAAGAATTATTGCTTAATGGATATAGATTTTCCATTTTACAAAATAAAAAGAGTTATGGAGATGGATGGCATGGACGGTTGCACAACATTATGAATGTATTTAAAATAACTGAACTGTGTACTTAAAAATGGCCGAGATGGTAAATTTTATGTTGTATTTTATGACAACTAAAAAAAAATGGGGAAAAAAAGGGAGTAGCTATGATTCATGATTCCAAGTTATTCTCCTGGGAACCCTTCCCTCCCTCCCTCCCTCCCTCCTTTTTGTTCTCACAAAGAACAGATGGGGGCTACACCCCTCCACACACACACAACACACTTAATTCACAACAATTGGACTTCACAATAATTTATATATTAACTTTCCAGATAACATTGAAGACCACTGGTTTAGAGTCTCCTGTTGTCCTAGAATCCCAAGTCAGTCGGATTTCAGAGGAGGAAGAGAGCCAGGAAGACTTCCTGGAAGAGGCAGCAAGGAACAAAGGAAGAGAGAGAGTTGACCAACCCAGTGATAAGCCTTTCCCTGGTTAGCTTCTGTTGGCAAACTCTCTCTCCATCTCCCTCTTCCCTCCTCCATCTCTCTCTCCATCTCTCTTTCCCTCTCTCTCCATTTCTCTCTCTGTCTCCCCTTCTCCCCACCCTGGCTCTGTACTCCCAACCCTAGTCACCCTACATCTCTTCCTGGCTCCTAGGAGAAATAGCCACCCTTCTGAGTCCCGAGGCCATAAGAATTTGGCCTTATGCCCCAAGAAGGAGCAGCGTCCTCAGGGAGACCCTGGATGCCAGCTCAGCCTCAGACCTCGTCTCCCAAGCCGATGCCAGGCCACAGGATCCAGGCTGGGCCACTGCCAGCCTGATGCATTGCTTGTTGACAGATAAAAGCTCTGCAATTTATGGCTCCAAAGCAAAGCCAGGGCTTTGTTTTGCTTTGTTTTAAATTAGCTACATAGGGGGTTGGTGTGGGGGCAGGGGAGAGGGAGGAGAGCCAAGGCATGCTCAGGATGTCTTGGGGCTGCGTCCCCAGCTCAGCAAACCCCAGGGCAGCCCTTAATGAAGCCACCTGAGCGCTGAGAACCTTGCAGTGTCTGCCGGGCTCTCCACCTGCACTTGTCTGGCTGGGGGAGGGAAGCGCTTCCCACCTGCTCGTCCTGTCACTGGGCCCAGCACCCTTTGTTCCCAGAATGAGTCCCAATCAGCCTGGTTAATTGTGCCTCAGGGTCTCAGTGGGGCTGAAGTGAAACCATGACATCCTCAGAAAGATGGGGATCTATTCCTGCTCAGAAAGAGGAGGCTGTTCCTTACTGTACTTGACACAGTGCAGCAGGCTCTGGGCACTGCCAGCAAGGGGCCCCAAGGGTCTACCCAGAAGCATGGGCCTTCCGATCTGAGCCCATTAGCTCTTGGTGGGATGAGGAGGGTGGAAGGGCCAGGGAGGGAGGGAATGTCCCAATCCCCATAAATGATTGCCTGAGACTGTTTATTCTCAATGCAACTGCTGTTAAGAATCATTTCCCCTCACGCCTCCCATCTGGTCTGGGGCTTTTCTGCAGACAGCACATGCCAGCCAGGGTCTCTGTGTGCCCTCCTGTGTAGGACCTGCCATAGACAGACACAGCCGCACTGGTCAACTGAGTAGGAAAGAGCATGTGTAGCCTGTGGCAGCCCAAAACCTCTTGCCATCGGTGGGCATTGTCCCACATCTGCTCCCTCTTTGTGCTGTCTGAAAGCACTTTCTCATCACTTCAAGGAGGTAAGGACAAGGACTATCCACTGGACCTCCCTTTTCATCTAAACTGCACTCTTCTTTCTCCTACACCGCACAGCTCAGAGGAGTCAGGCATCTTAACCACAGTCACAGAGCCAAAGCTGCCCAAGCCACGGCACTCATTAACTCCAGCCTGCATTAGAGGCCAGGTGTGGCCAACACCATAGTATTAATCCTCTCAAGGATACATCTGAGATCTTACATCTTGGGTCATTGGGCTGTTTGAGCAAAGATACCAGGCTTTCAAAGGTTACAAGCACAGCCAGTGCTTTGGCACATGGTTCAAGAAGAACAGAGACTGTCTCAGTGCTGAAGTTGGCTTTGGTATGAATTGTGTCTCAACATGTTCCAGACCCTGAACTCCACGTGGATGCAATGTGCAGTATTAAACACACAGGAACGCATGCCCAAGGATAGTCTGCCTCGGAGAGAAGCAGTATTAAAAAGCCACACGCCAGTAATAGAGATGTTTCTAAACTGGCCACCCTGCAGCTAGCAAGGAAGCTGAAGGCCGCAACTGGGGCTATTAATTCAGACTTTATAACCCACAGGGCTGCAGCGGAATACTGGGAAAACTGCACCCCAACTCTTTGTAATGCTTCCCTGCTCAAGTCCATGTAAATATATTCTAATGCAGAAAAGGTCCGCAGGAGGCAAGACCACAGAGTCATTAGCATTTTGATGGCTTTTCCCAGCACATGGAACCAGAGAGCTTTAAAATTCATAGCGTGGAGATTAATCCTTCAAGTCACACTTGTCCCTCCTAAGCTTTAGGAGGCCAAGAACTTTTTACCCCTTTAAGACCTTGATTAGCAAAGAAAGTTAGAAAACCAGAGAGCTCGGTCAAGGGAGTCCTAGTGAAAAGACGCATGACTGGTTTTCTAGACTAAGTGTGTTGCGTCCAAATACAATTAAATGGCAGAATTAGAGATGGGAGTAGTGGATAGGCTGTCACCCTGCATGAGAGGTGGGAGCTGCTTTGACTCAAATACTCCAGAAGAGGAGTCCCTGCCGATCCCTAACAGCACAGCTCATCCTTTTGTAACTGACGAAAGCCAGGCTTCTTAAAATCCATGTGTATTCACTCAGCAAGCCACACTGAAGTCGATCACTATGTGCTCACATAATAGATGCTTGGGACGATGGGATCAGGAAGCCAGTTCAGCTCAGCAAATCCATGATCTCAAAAAACTCAGTTCGAATGGAGAAAGAGACAGGGAAATTGGAGATTACAATAAAATGTGAGGGTGGCAGCGGCGAGTCCAGCTACCCTGGGACCCCCAGGAAGATGCTGGGGGCACCCACAGAGGGTGAGTCAAGCTGGGTTTATGAGCAGATCAAAACTTTCTTTTGAAAATGGATGCGCTGGCTGAGTGCGGTGGCTCAAACGCCTGTAATCCCAGCACTTTGGGAGGCTGAGGCGGGCGGATCGTGAGGTCAGGAGATCAAGACCATCCTGGCCAACATGGTGAAACCCTGTCTCTACTAAAAATACAAAAATTAGCTGGGTGTGGTGGTGGTGCATGCCTGTAATCCCAGCTACTCGGGAGGTTGAGGCAGGAGAATCGCTTGAACCAGGGAGTCGGAGGTTGCAGTGAGCCGAGATGGCACCACTGCACTCCAGCCTGAGTGATAGAGTAAGACTCTGTCTCAAAAAGAAAAGAAAATGGATGCGCTATAATATCAAGTGAGAAAGGTGAGGTCCGCAGTGTTTTCTAGCATGTGATCAAAAAGAATATATGGATACTGTTAAGAAAAGTCATCTGTAATGTGGCAAAAGGCAAAGAGAGGTCTGTGTCATTTCAACCTCATATTGGAGTACTGTTTAGCAAGCCTACCCAAGAATCCTGTAATTACCCAGGGGATTCTAGAGGAATGTAACTTTGTATAAAGTTACACATGAACTTGTAGATTTTTTTGGCTAGTAAAACAGATAAACCCCAAGGTTATGGTTTTCTGCCTTATAGGGCATTAACCAGTTTTATATCCAATCCAGCCATCATATTCAGGCATTCTTTCTCCAATGCCTACATAATCACTGTTCCTTGAATTCTCCTGAGAGCTAGCTTTTCCATCTTGCTGGCCTCCTCATTAAATCAATCTTTGACTCATGTTCATTCTAGATTTATGAGAATCATGGCTTTATTGTTTAAATTATACTGACAATACATACTCATTTATATAGAGATATATGTATGCATACATGTGCACGTGCACACACACACACACACAAACTGTCAAAGAAATGAAATTTCAACAAATTGAGTTGTAAAGATCTCATTTGTTTTTATTGTGATTCATGAATTGGGCAGCATCCCATCTACAAAACAGAAAGGTGCTCTGTTGCCAAGATAGAGTCACTGCGCTTCAGCCTGGGCAACAGAGTGAGACCCTGTGTCAAAAAAAAAAGAAAGAAAGAAAGTTGTTCTGCTGAGCTGAATAGAAGGGATGGGCTTTATAGACAGGAAAAGGCTAAAGAAGGCAGAAACAAAGAACAAAATGTGGATTGGTCATTTAAAGTCACTTTCCTTGTATCGGTTAAAACAGAGAGGACTTCATCACATCAGCTAAAACTAGCCTGTTTTGGAGATTTAGCTATCATCTTCCTCCTGATTTCCTGGAAGGTCAGATCTTACAAGTAAACAATTTAGGTTTTAGTTTGATAATGTGACACTTCAGCTTGAATGACTCCATTTTGGGTTGGTGTGTTGGGGCCTAGTGCTAGAGTTCAGTCCAAAACACTGGCTTCTCATATATTTTACTTAACAACATGCAAACATACACAACACACAGGGAAAAAACTGGGAAGAAACATACGCAAAATATTAGCTTTAGGTAGCTGAGATATATATGACTTCTTTTTTTTTTTTTTGAGATGGAGTCCTGCTCTGTCACCCAGGCTGGAGTGCGGTGGTGTGATCTTGACTCATTGAAACCTCCGCCTCCCAGGTTCAAGGGATTCTCCTGCCTCAGCTTCCTGAGTAGCTGGGATTACAGGCACCTGCCATCATGTCCAAATAATTTTTGTATTTTTAGTAGAGATGGGGCTTTACCACGTTGGCCAGGCTGGTCTTGAACTCCTGACCTCAAGTGACCTCAACTCCTGACCCACCTTGGCCTCCCAAAGTGCTGGGATTACAGGTGTGAGCCACTGCACCAGCCTTATATGTGACTTTTATAATCAGAGAAAGTGATAAACATTATTATTTAAACGCAGAAACAATCGCACTCCCTTCTAAGATGCCCTAAAGTAACAGGTAATGCAAACTGCCTGCTGACTCCATCAGGCACTTCCTAAGCATGTATGCTGTGGATTGTCACATTAGGACCTCACCACCACACTGTGAGAAAGGTACTGTTACTATCCCCATTCTACAAGCACAAGCAGTTAGCCAAAGATCACAGATTCATGCAGTAAGAGCCAGCATCTGAACCCCAGGCAGCCTGGCCCTGGAGCCTGTCTGTCTCCCAAGTAGAAAAGGAAGAAATGAAATCTGCCAGGCTGCCAGGGTCAGGCTTGGAGAAGACTGTGTTCTCCACCCACTCCCAGAACACAAAGTGTGCAGGGAGCCAAGCACGAGCCTCGCCAGCCTTGAATTGAATTCACATGTGTTTCTTCCACACTTGCTGGCAGGCACCAGGTCTTCTCTGTTCCTGAACCTCCCATCACTCAGGGACAGCCGGACACACCTTGGGTGATCTCTACCTGCTCTGATAGTATTGCCCATTTACGTGCCCTAAAAGTCATCCTCTAATTAACAGCTCACTCCCTCTCTCTCTTTGGCCACACTAAAGAATTGGTTTATTACCTCCATAATAAAGCAAAGGGCAGCCTGCTTTCAGCAAAGAAATGGTTCAGTGTGTTGGAAAGGGCCCCAGCCTAGGAACCCTAGAGGATGAGGGCACTGCCTGTAAGTCACTGTGTGACCTTGGGCAAGTCACCAAGCCTCTCTGAGTCACTTCACCTTGCCCTTAAACATCCAATGTCCCAGATGTCTTGCAAGCATCCATCTTTCTTTCGCTGCTCCTCATCCTAGCTGGGATGTTTCACATGCAGCTGGCATAGAGCCCACTCCAGGGATCTCGCCTATTGATTCTCACTAAAGCTCTTCATGTAGCTGGTCACTGCTGGCTAAATCCATGTGGAAATTAGGTTTTGAAGGAGGAAGACCACGTGGTCTAGAACACCAAATTGATGTGGGGGCTGCAAAAGGGGGGATGTGGGAAGTGGAGGGAGATGTTGCATTCAAATAGGACTCTTAAGATCCCCTACATACCGCCTCATGTGGGGATTCACTCTGGTCACAATTTTTATTCATTTATTTTGTCAAATACATTTTCCTGGGTCTCCAAACACCTGCAGACTCAGGCAGGATTATTTGGGTAAATACAGTGTTTCAAAAGCTTCCAAATAAAAAGCCCCATTTTCCTTGCTTTAACAATAAATATCCATCCAGCCTTTATCTATGGCTATGAGGAAGGCAGGAGAGGGAATAATTCAGAAATGTCAGCTGCTAAGTAAGTGTCAATATTGAAAGACATATCTCTAGGTGATTAATTAAGATCGATGGCCAAAAGAAACACAGGAAAGCCCTCTTATAAAAAAGGAAAACGATGCTGCTAATGAAAATAATTCTAACTGAGTGCCTGCTTCAGGTTCCTGGGTGAGTTACTGCCCCTTTCTGGGTCTCAATTTCATCATCTGTCCCCTGATGGCCTGTGGTTTTCAAAATGGGTTCCCCAAGGATTCCCTAGGAGATATCAAAGTGAGGAGGTGAGTTGGGGAGGGTGGAGCAGCCCCCATGCCTGCTTCAACAGGGCAGCTCCATTTTGAGCAATTTCACATTTGAAAGTTCCACATGGAGCCGGGTGCAGTGGCTCACGCCTGTAATCCCAGCACTTTGGGAGGCCAAGGCGGGTGGATCACGAGGTCAGGAGATGGAGGCCACCCTGGCTAACACGGTGAAACCCCGTCTCTACTAAAAATACAAAAAATTAGCCGGGCATGGTAGCGGGCACCTGTAGTCCCAGCTACTCAGGAGGCTGAGGCAGGAGAATGGTGTGAACCCGGGAGGCAGAGTTTGCAGTGAGCCGAGATCGCGCCACTGCACTCCAGCCTGGGCAACAGAGTGAGACTCCAACTCAAAAAAAAAAAAAAAAAAAAAAGAAAGTTCCACGTTCTGTGGCTACAAGTAAAGTTGAATACCACTGCAGTAAATCATCCTTCATTCATTCCACTTTAGTGCTTGAAGTGCAATCCCCAAGACACTCTGGTGGCCAAATGGGATTTATACAAAGGCATCATGATGACCCTTGTGCAATGTCACTTGGGAATGAATCCTTCTAACTCCAGGGTGGGGCCCTGTATGCCAGGTAGCAAGCCCACATGCCTAGCAAAAAAGTTTGCCAAGGCAAATCAGAAAACCACAAAAAGAGCTGACATATGGAAGCACTCACATTGTCCCAGGCAGTTTACCTCCCTCATGCCTCCCAGCAATCTTGAGCAACAGGTTTTAGTTTTCTCTCCATTTCGCAAATGGGGAACCTGAGCATCAGAGGATAAGAGACTCGCTCAAGGCTCATAATAAATTAATAGCAGAGCAAGATTAAAACTCAAGCCTTTCATCTTGAAATCCTGTGTCTTTCCACTCCACCTTGACATAGGGCCACTCAAGACTGCAGGGTGTGGTGGTCAAAAGCTTAGCTCAAGAACCAGAGCACCCAGGTGCAGATCCAGCTCTGCCAGACATGCAGTATGATGCTGGGCCAGGTACTTACCTAGCCTCACCATGCACCAGTCTTATCATCCCAAAAATGGGAATGGATCCACACTTAACCTGTAGGGTTGTTGCAAGGATTCAACAGGGCGGTACACACAATGTGGTACGCTCTCAATACATTCTAGCTCTCTGTCCCTGGAAGTGGGTGGGAGGAGGGATACACACCAAAAGGAAGTGGATCCTTCTGGTGGATGTGGTGCAGGAAACGCAAAATCTTTGTCTTGATTTCCGCCGCCCCTCCCCCATTCACAGTGGCAACTTGACCGCTGCCTCTGTTTCCCTAAGTCATCTCTGCTGGTGCATGAGGAGGAAATGAGAAGAATAAAAGTGCGGTGCTATGACACTGTGGCTTCTCTAAAGTGAAGAGTAAATCACGATCTTGAACTTTCCATTTTCTCCTGACTTGTGTTAATTTCTAGCTTGAAATCAAGCAATGTCTCCTCAGTACCAGGAAAAGGCTAAAATACTGATATAATTCCAGGTTGGCACACGGTCTGCCTAATGAGATCCAGTCCACTCACTGGCAGAGTCATGGAATTTAAGATGTAGTAAGAATCTTATCTCAGATCATCTGAAATACTGTGGAAGAAAGTGATGGTCTCTTTTTTTTTTTTTTCTTTTGAGAAAGGGTCTCACTCTGTCACCCAGGCTGGAGTGCAGTGGTGCAATCTCAACTCATTGCAACCGCCGCCTCTGGGGTTCAGGAAATTCTTGTGCCTCAGCCTCCCAAGTAGCTGGGATTACAGGCGTGCCCAGCTAATTTCTGTATTTTTAGTAAAGATGGTGTTTCACCATGTTGGCCAGGCTGGCTTCGAACTCCTGGCCTCAAGTGATCTGTCTGCCTTGGCCTCTCAAAGTGCTGAGATTACAGGTGTGAGCCACCATGCCCGGCCAGAAAATGATGATCTCTCTAAACATAAACCAGTGGTTTGTCTCTTTTGAGAGAAAGGAAACCAGGGCCCAGAGAGGCTGAGTGACTCGGCCCATATCACACAGCCACAGAGCTGGCTAGTAAGAGACAGAGAGAGAACCGAAGTCTTCTGACCCTGCAGCTCTGCTGCAGGTGAGGGAGGGAACTGGGGGGATGAGAGACAGGGAGAGAAGTTTGAGTGTGAGAATGACCACACATACGTGTTTGTGTGTGTGTGTAGTGGAAACAGTGTGAGCCTTTGAGGTAGAAGGAAAAGTATTTGGGCCACTGGAAGTTCCACCTGCACTTTGAGTGTGGAAAGATGAGAGTGAGCAAGTGTGAAGGTAGCGTGTGAGTGTGCATGAGGAGATGAGTGCAGGAGTGAGGAAATCTGAGTGCTGAGAGAGAGACGGGAGGGGGGAGGAGAAACATTTGGGCCATTTTCAAATTCCCACAGTAGAATAAATCAAAACAGATTGTTCTGAGACACAGGCAATTTCAAACCACATCCTTTATACCAAAGTCGACCCAAATGGCTTCCCCTGATGCTGCCTCATAACCAGTCGTAATGGCAACCGTCATATTCACGATCATATTTAAGATTCCTGAGCAGCTCAGTACAAACCAGGCTCAGTACAAACAGTCCCTCCTCATAGCAGCCCTAAGAGGCCTCTATGATTCACGCCCATTTTCCAGATAAGCCTACTGAGTCTTAGAGGAGGGAAGTCCCTTGGTCCCCACATCTCCCTGCCCAAGGGATATCTGGGATTAAATAAAAAGTCGAGAAGGCAGCTGAGATCCAAGCAACGAGCTCCTTGCTGAAGTTCTGTGCCCCAGAGAGCTGCCTCTTTTAGGCAGGGCTGCTCCTGGCTGCTGCAGGCAGGATGGAGAAAAGATGCCAGGGAGCTGGCATGTTCCTAGGTGCCAGCTGCCCCACAAGGCAAAGCAGATGCTCGCCTGTGAGAGGGCCTGGCGCTGTGACCAGCAGAATTAGCTGCTGGGAGCTGCAGCCACCACCTCGCCTGGGCCTCTAGCCCTGACCAGTCAGAGAAAGGCCCCGTTTTTCAATGCCAGCTGGCTGGGGACACAGGGCTGGGCCAGCGAGGAGGGAACCGCCAGGGCCCCAAGAATGGGTTTCCCACATCTCACCCTGACATGAGCAATGGGAAGGCTGGGTCCAGGCGACTACTCCCTAAGAACTGAGTCTCCCTTCCTGATAGGCACAAGGGGTAGCACCAGGCAAGCAGTGGGGGAAGTGGGCAAATGAAGCTCTGCTGAGCATCTCTGCTGCCCAGGCACACCGTGTATTTTCTAATCATAATCTTGTCCTAACCCCAAAATAATTATTTTTTGAGAGAGGGTCTCATTCTGTTGCCCAGGCTGGAGTGCAGTAGTACAATCATAGCTCACTGCAGCTTCTAACTCCTCGGCTCAAGCAATCCTCTCGCCTCAGCCTCCCAAGTAGCTGGGACTACAGGCATGCACCACCATCTGCAGCTAATTTTTATTTTTTTATTTTTTGTAGAGAGGGCCCCCGATGTTGTCCAGGCTGCTCTTGAACTCCTGGCCTCAAACAATCCTTCTGCCTCACCTCTCAAAGTGTTAGGATTACAGGCATGAGCTACTGCTTCTTGGCAAAACAATATTTTGGTGTGGGTACTACACTCCTTGCTTTACAAGTGGGTAAATTGAGGCTCAGAGAAGCTGAATAACTCACCCCAAATCACCAAGATAGTAAATTTAGGTGGAGTCAGGATTGAACCCCAGCATGACCAGGAGACGTCTGTTCCCTTCTAACTCACCCAACACTCATCTGCAAAGACTCCCTGACAGAGGCTGGGAGTCCCAGAGAGAAGCATTTGTCTTGGGTCTCATACTCAAACCCCAACAGGAACTCTGAACCAAAACAGAAGAGAGCAACGTGCCCCACCCACGGGGGGCAGCTGCTGCTTATCCCCAGCCCATATTTGCCACCAGACCATGCCATGTGTCAAGGAAACCAGAAATCTGGAGTTTTATGCACCTTCTCTCACTTTTTCAACTGATTAGAATCAGCTTTGCTGTTTTTTGTTCTTTGTTTTTGAGATGGACTCTCGCTCTGTCGCCCAGGCTGGAGTGCAGTGGCACGATCTGGGCTCACTGCAAGCTCTGCCTCCCGGGTTCAGGCCATTCTCCTGCCTCAGCCTCCCAAGTAGCTGGGACTACAGGCGCCTGCAACCACGCCCGGCTAATTTTTTGTATTTTTAGTAGAGACGGGGTTTCACCGTGTTAGCCAGGAGGGTCTCGATCTCCTGACCTCGTGATCCACCCGCCTCGGCCTCCCAAAGTGCTGGGATTACAGGCGTGAGCCACCGCGCCCAGCCATGTTTTTTGTTTTTTAATAGAATTTTTTTCGTTGAAGTATAACAGAGAGGGAACAGTACACAGATCTGAAGTGTACTGCTCAATGAATATTCACAAACTGAGCATACCTATGTTCCCACCAGCCAGGATGAGAAGATGAACACACCAGCACCCAGAAGTACCTCGTGCCCCTTCTGGACACCCCCCAACTCATGCCCAAAGGTCATCACTGTTGTGACTTTGACTCCCTTAGATTCTCTTGCTGACTTTGAACTTTATATAAGTAGAATCATACATGCCATCATTTTGTATCCTTGGCCTGTTCACTTCATTTATTTTAGCCACTGGTCAGACCATCTTCTCTGTGAGCTCATTAGAGCCTCAGGGCTCCAGTGCTGTGCAGTGAGGAAAACCCTACTCTCTACTGATGAGTGAATTGGAGCCTGAATAGGTTGTCAGTGGTTATACTTACTGTTTCTCCACCAGGATGAAATTATATTAAAATCACTTGAATGGCCTCTTCAAAATACACATGCTCAGCAATGCACTAGCTCAACTGTACAGTACCAACCAGACTTCCTGAAGAAGAAAGATGCCCACGCATGATTATTTTATGATTATTTTGAAATCCAGCCCCATATTGGACCCTCACCTTAGGTCATATAGCAACAAAGCCAGTGACAGGGCATTCAAGTGCCCCAGTCCCTATGCTCTATACCCAGCACCCCAAAGTTCCCCACATCTATTCCCCATCTATTCTTTGCTAGCATTCCACCCTCCTCCAACCATGACAGACGTCAATAATTGATCTTGGCACTCCTTCCTGCTGAGCCTGGGTAAAACAGGCTCATCCACCCTTCAGCTGCACTCAGGCAGGCCCTACAAATCGATCAGCGTTGGCATTTGCGATGAAAAGTGTCTGCCATCCAGGTACTACCACACCATGCTACCCCTGCTCTTTGGAAGTCCTTGCTACTTTCTTAAGCAGCCCAGCCTTCTCATACCCAGGGTGACTATAAGAGAAGCAGGGAAAGAACCAAATCCACTCCTGACCCCATTCTTCGGCTTATTTGATTCTATTTCCCACACCAACCCTGCAAAGCTAGCTGTGAAGATAATTTATCCCAACCCTGGCTTGTTTCTGTTTGTGCATTAGGTTTGGGTTTTTTGCCCTGGTTTTTATAGATGGCAAACAGGCCCGGAGAGGGGTACTGCCTTGTCTAAGGTCACATGATGAGTCCTGGTCAAAGCTAGAACTTGAAGCTACCCCCCCATTTCTAAGCCAGAGCTCTCTCTCCCCACTCCATGGAGTTTCTTGCAACCAATTAGGAACCACTGGGAAGGCCAGAAACATGACGGTAACCTCATTCATCTGAAACCAATCACATCTGTTTCACTTCTTTCCAGCTAAGCAGTAAACAGTGGAGACAGAGCCCAGGCTGAGACAAGACTGCAGTCCAGAGCAGATGTTCCCCTGTTGATCTCTGGGCTAGAAGAAAGAGGTTTTCTCGAAAGCAACTGAGATTGGTGATCTGACATCCCTGAAAATTGGCCTTTTCCGAAGCGATAATACACGCAAACCCAGGGAGGAGGCCCCACTGTGGAGGTGTTTCCAGCAGCAGCCCAGGAGGCCTCTGTTGTCTCACTGCTTTCTGTCTTTATTAACATTTGCAGAAAAACTCACAGTGCATTTTGCTGCAAATGAAAACCAAGCAATCTCATTTTCTCCCCTCAACCAGGCCAGATGGCTCCTTCTTGCTCTTTTCCCCTCACTCATACTGGAAATTAAAAAACAAAAATAACTAAAATAAAATATCTAAAAATTCCCTAACAGCTGCAAATCTGCCTTTCTGAGGGCATTTTCAGCAAAATGTACCCCAAACCGGGTACTCGGATGGTGTTACAACGCCATTTCCTCCATCAGGATCAGTTTTATCTTCATCTCTGAAGTCTTTTCCTTCTATGGAGCTCTGGGCCCAAGGAAGGCACCTGGCATGCCCATCCACAACCAGGAAGTAAGGCAGGACTCCAGCAACACAGAAACTCCCGAAAGGGCTGCAAGCCTTGGGAGTCTGCGTGTTGCTCTCAGAGGTGGCAGAACAGGGGTGGCGGGAAATGCCCAAGGGCAACTTGAAAGCTGGAGATTTCCTAGCTCGGAGCACACATCTTCCCACGAGGCCTCAAACTTCCGAGGACTCGGCTGTTCCTGCAGAAGCCCCACCAGCGCCATTCTCGGCTTCTCCCCAATCACTTGCCTGCTGTTGTCCCATGTCACATGGAAGGACAAGGATGCCCCAAGACGTAATCAGCCCAAGGTCACACAAACCAGAGAGAGACAGGGCTGGAATGCATCCATGATGTCCTAAGCCTAGGCCTCGGCTCTAACCACTGCACCCCACGGCTCTTTCCATTGCCCACTGAACTGGCAGAAGCACTTGGTCTGATCCTGCTGCTCTTCACCCCAAAGACATTGTCATGCTCTGCCTTTAATGTCACACTTTTCCTGACGCAAACCTTGGTGATGGCTTAAGGCCATCACCAAGTTCAGGGCCTGACAGAACCCATCTGAGTGCATTCGTATGTGCCCAGATGCATCACCGGCTACTGCATTTTTAGGGGGAAGTGCTGCTTTTGTTGACAGCTTCCCCTAACCAACAGGAGAGGCAGGCAGGCAGAGGTGACTCAGGAAGATGGTCTGCCGGTCCCCAGGGGAGGACTCTTAGAAGGATATTTCCTAAGAAGCCTCCATGTATTGATGCATAATTCAGCCCTGGGGAATCAGGCAGCATCCAGGAGTATGAGAGCAGATGCCAGCCCCCCCATGAAGCTGTCCCTCTGCAGATCCAAGACAAGGAGGCCCTGGCCTGGTGGGTCCATCCATGTCCTCAGCCAAGGCCCCAGCCAGGGCCCATAAGAAAGGGTCTCTGTCAATGGGAGAGTGGATGGCAGGAAAGGATGAGGAGTCGGGTGCTGGAGAGGCCATCTCCTCCCACCCTCTTGCTCTCTTTGCATTAGCGGTACCAAGCCTGAGTCAGCACGCTGGGGGCAGGGGCTCCTCCAAGCGAGAACAGGGGAGCAGAAACACTCTGTGTCCTCAACTGGCCTCTGAGAGAGGGACAGAGCAGGCCCGAGACAAGGAAGAAGCTTGAGACACGAGAAGTGAACAAGAGGAGTCTGAGTCAGGGACCTGGGAGAGCTCCTATGGCGGGTATGGCCGAGCAGGTTCTAAGACAGACCAGTCCACTGTGCACTGCTGGGCTGGATGACTATGCCACTACCTTCTGGATGGATGACCCTCAGCTTCAAACCTTCGGCAAAAGTCTAGTGCACACAATGCAAGGGAGGGAGGAAGGAAGGGAGGGAAGGAACGAAGAAAAGAAAAAATGGGGGAGGGAAAGAGGTAAGGAAGGAAGGAGGGAGGGAGGAAAGGAAGGAAGAAAGGAAGAAAGGAAAAAAGGGAGGGAGGGAGGGAGGGAAGAAAGAAGGAAGGGAAAAAGGGAAGGGAAGGGGAGGGGAGGGGTGAGGCAGGCTACAAGAAGCAACACCAAGGACCCTTTCTGCATTCCACATACCTCCCAGGCAAAAATTTCCATACAACGGAAAAGGCCAGGTCTTGCTATGCTTCAGACAAATATTTCCACTTTCTCATACCCCCTCCACCTGCTGGGTGATCTACCCGATTCCATAGCTGCAGCAGGTTTCCATTCTGTAAAATGGAGATAAAAATCCCACTCCGGTTGGATTGCTGGGCATTGAATGAGCTACAACGTATATGGGTCTGGTGTGTATATGGAAAAACTCTGCTGTTTCTGGAGAGGCAAAGGAAAAAAAGGGAAGGGAGTGGGGAGAGAGCAGAGAGAGGAGAGGAAGGAGAAGGGTGCAGAGGGGAGGGGAGGGGCCAACCTGGCAGGTCGTTCCCATGCCCAGCACCAGGCTAGGCACTTGATCTTGTTTTTGCTGTCCCTTTTTTCTAGATGAGGAAACTAACGTTCAGAGGGAATAAATAACTTGCCAAAGGTCATGTGGCTGGTAGGGACCGACCCAGGATTTGAACCCAGATCCATGGGACTCCAAAACTAGAATTCACCTCTCTTGCTCACAGCACCCATTCAAATGCCAGGAGGACTCTACAGCTGCCTTCAGAACTTCCTTCTAGCAGCACGTTTCATGTTAATCCCGTATGTCTCACCAGCAGACACGCACGAACTCACACACACAACTTTAGCTACATTATCATCATCATTATTTTTTTTTCCAAAAATATTCTATCAGTAAGGTCATTTTTCTTTACACACACACACACACACACACACACACATACATGTCTGAGACAGGTTTGAATAGACCTTTGTGAGTGGCTAGACTACGAAGAAACAAAAATTGCCCATTATTTAAATTCGATTACATAGCAACCACATTTTTAAAAGAATATTTTTATTTGAGCTCATTGTGCAGCCAATCTTCAGACACTTTTCTTTCATTAAACTGCTTTGAGAAGGAAAAATTATCAAATGAAAGGGAGGAAATGTTATGCATATCATCCCAGCTCTTGAAAAGAATGCCACGGATTGTCCTCTTTGGCTCTTAATTTATTTAAACAACATCCCCATTTCCATCAACAACCACGCCTCGGCTTCCTGAGAGCTTTTCTCCAGGGGACACAAGGCTCCGAGGTCATGTTCCCCGTTCAAGACTCTCAGGGGAGACCCAGAGGCTCTGGAGTTAAAAGGAGAACAAGCAGCCCCACTCCCGTGATGCGGATGGGATATCAGAAATCCACAGGGATGGCAAAACCTCGTCTCTACTAAAAATACAAAAAAATTAGCTGGGTGTGGTGGTGCACGTTTATAGTCCCAGCTACTTGGGACAGGAGAATCGCTTGAACCTGGAAGGCAGAAGTTGCAGTGAGCCAAGATCTCAACCCTGCCCTCCAGCCTAGGTGACAGAGAGAGACTCCATCTCAAAACAGAAGTCCAGAGGGAACATGAGAGTTTGTTAGAACCAAACCAAGACTGGACTTAAAGATCAGGCTTTCCGGACTCGCAGTCCAGTGCTCCCTCCATCACTCCATTTGAGGAACAATGGAAGACAGAAATTCACAGGCTAGGATGGGGTTGTGGGGGCAGCTCCCCCAATTCTTTGCTAATTCTCTGCATTTCCAGGTGTCCCTGTCTTGCTGAGGGCCCACAGCCTCTGAGCTCGGCCACTACGTCCCCATCAGCTTCTAGGTGCAGAGTCCCCCAGGGAAATCTCCCACCTGTGGCCCAGTCCCAGCCCCTCAGCAGCACCAGGTGCCCCATGCCCCTGGCTGGCCCTGCCCTCTCACAGGACACACAGGTGGCAGCTGTTCCCCTTGGTTGTACAGCCTGCTTTCCCAGCAAGAAGGCTCTGGAAAGGAAAATAAAACAACAAAAAGCCCTTTGATCTGCCAACCGACACCCTTATCACACAATGGAGGAAGGTAGAGATGCCCTCTGTCCTGACCCACGGGTCTCCCGGTCACACATCCTCCCCAAAGGGTCCCAAGGGCTCTTTCCCAAACCCTACCTAGCCCAGGCCCCTGCACCCCACAAGATGAAAAGGAAAAGATGACATTTGCGGGGACAAAGCAGAGATAGGCAAGGGGCGGGCAGAGATCGGAGAGGGCCAGGCAACCATGACAAAGAGAATAAGCCACTGACCCGGTAGCCACCCTACCATAGGTGTCTCTGCAGATTGTCCATTTGGTGGGACATCAGGAAAGGGGCATGCATGAAACAAGCAGCTCATTCCACTAGTCGGGAATGACTGCATCACGGCTGGCCATGCAGTGGCACGCCAGGCACCCATCCCAAAAGGACATGCCTCTCCCATGTCCCATGGTCCACCCAGGAGAACCTCCATGGCTTCGGTGAATAGCTGTTCCCTCCGGTTCCTCCAACCTCAAGCACCAGCTTCAAACTCTTGGCCTGAAGGCAGGCTGGAAAAACCCATAGGAGCAGCCCAGGGCTGTCTCTGGGCCCAGAGACTGGTGTAAGATTGAGAGTGACCTTCCATTGAATATGCTTTTGTTTTATTTCCATATTCTCTTGCTATGTTACTCTTTATTTTTTCCTAAGTCTTTCACCAGGAAGACATGATTACTTTCTTTTCTTTTTGAGACGGAGTCTCGCCTGGCTCTGTGGCCCAGGCTGGAATGCATTGGCGTAATTTCAGCTCACTACAACCTCTGCCTCCCGGGTTCAAGTGATTCTCCTGCCTCAGCCTCCTGAGTAGCTGGGATTACAGGCACCCGCCACCACACTCGGCTAATTTTTTCTATTTTTAGTAGAGACAGGGTTTCACAGTGTTAACCAGCATGGTCTCGAGCTCCTAACCTCAAGTGATCTGCCCGCCTCAGCCTCCCAAAGTGCTGGGATTAACAGGCATGAGCCACCGCACCCAGCCAGACGTGATTATTTTCAAAGAGCAGTTAACTCCTGGAAAATCCAAAAAAAAGATACGGAGGGAGGGAAACCCTGGAATCAAGAAACTCCCCTCACTTCCTGGGATGTTTGACTACCTTCCCACCCTGTTGCAGCCTCCACCTCCCTCACAGCCTAGGTGCAGAAGTAAAGGTCCCCATCCCCTAGTAGTTTTGGCAGCTGCCACCAAACGAGGGATTCAAGGCTGGACGGGAGCAAAGGGCCAGGAGAGAAGTCACCAAGACCCCTGGATCCTGATTTCCTCCCAACCCTGCTGTTAAGAAACAAACCAGCTCCAAAAAGGGAAGACTGTGAGGATCTGCAGAGGAGAAGAGCCAGGAAACAGACCATCTGGCGGTGGAGTGCAGGCTCCAGGTTCGGACTACCTGGGTTTTACACTCCTATACTTGTTCAGCAGCTATGTGACCTTGGGCAAGTAACTTAACCTCTCTGTGCCCTGGTTTTCTCAACCATAAAATGGGGATAGAGTACTGAATTAGAAGATGTTACCGGCTAAATTGTGCTTCCTGCACACTCATATTTAAGCCCTAACCCCTAGCACTTTGGAATGTGAATGTTTTGGCAATTAAGTTATAATGAGGCCTTAAAGGGTCCTAATCCAATCTGACTGGTATTCTTAGAAGAGGAGCTCTGGACACATGGGAGACACCAGGGAAAGGCTGTGCGAGGACACGGTGAGAAAGTGGCCATCCGCAAGCCAAGGAGAGAGACGTCAGAAGAAACCAAACCTGCCAACACCATGGTCATGGACTTCCAGCCTCTAAAACTGGAGAAACAAATATTACATGAATTAATTTATGTAATCCTCACAACTCATAAGTTATGTGTTATATTTAGTCCCATTTTATGATGGGAAAATGAGGCACAGAGAGGTTGAGGAGCTTGTCCAAGGCTGCAGAGCAGGTACGTGATAAAGCTGGGGCTCCAGCCGGGGGGGCTCCAGCCAGGTGGGCTCCAGCGTTCCCACTGTAAAAAACTCTTCTATTGGTGGATGAGATCTGATTTGTGAGGGCCTGGCACCCTGCAAGTAATCAACACATATTAGCTGTGATCATCCACAAGCCAAAGAACACGGAGGATTACCAGTAACCACCAGAACAACCTAAAAAAGACTGGCTTGCAGAGGAGAAAATGGAGAGAAGGCAAGAGAATTTCTCAGGCACCTTCTGAGACCCTACCAGGTGCCTTGGATACAAGGAAGAACAGACAGGCACTGCCCCTGCCTTCCTGGGCTTACACCAAAGTGGAGGAAATAAATGTTAAAAAAAAAAATTACACAGAGAAGTCAACAGTCATCCAAGAGTGACAAAACACCACTAAGGAGAGGACTGTGGAGCCATCTGAGCCTACAGATGGGAAATTTGGCCCATTAGGAAGTCAAGGAGGACTTCCTGGAGGAGGTAATGCAGGGGCTGGGATCCAAAGGATGAGGAGGAGTCAGGTAACTAAAGAGGGAGGAAAAAGCAGTCCAGGGGAGGAAGATCACAAAGATTCATTCATGAAGGTAGGGGCGAGAGAAGAAAACAAGCGGCAGATGGGCTGCAGAAGAGGTAGTGAGGCTTGCGTGGGGAGGGGGCAGAGGTCACATGAAAGCCTTTTGAACACAACAGAGAATCCATCGAAGGGTTTTAAGCAAGGCGGCTAACATGACCACATTACACAACAGATGTTTTCCTAACTAAGTGTGTAAGCTGAACTTCTGTATTTCTTTTTAAGGCAGAAGGAAGCAGTGGGAACTTTAGAGTTAACTTGCCTATAAATTGAATGCAGACTTTCAAATCCAGCTGGCATTTTCATAGATCGGGCTCCCTAAAATGAGGTACGCCTATTGATTTATCACACTGGAGAAGGGTGGGCCTCTCTGGTGTGCTGGAGACGTCAGGGAGTGCCTCTGGTGGCTGCGTCATGGGAGAAACCCCACATTCTGAAAGTGATCTTCCCACTCAGCCACCACGACCTGCTTCCTGCGGTGACCACAATCTTCCCAGACCCCCTTCTCAGCTTCTCCTCATCCTCCAACCCAGCTTGTCCTTTGGGTCCATGAGGTGGCCTTTCTGTCCTGGATGCCCTGAGCATTTTCATGGCATTCTACGGCTCCCTTTGGGCTTTGGTGCTATGGCCTCCCCATGCCCCCACATAAGAGGGGCTTAGGGGCAGAGGCCTTGGTACATAGCAAGGAGGGATGGAATCCCAAAGAAGCTATAGCTAAGAATCTACCCATTCAATCATCCATTTCCTCATTCATTCAGCATGTGAGCATCTGTTCAACCCCAGGCACTGAGCTCCACGCTGCAGGCTCCATGGAAAACCAAACAGAAACATCTCCGCCCTCACTCTATGGAGGAAAACAGATGACAAATAAAATATTTAAAGTAATCCTAACATTCACTGAATACTTTTCATGTACCACATTCCATCCCAAGAGATACATTTATGCATTTTAATCAAACCCTGTGAGTTAAAATGGAGTCAGAGAGAATTTAAGTGATTTGTCAAAGATCAAACAAAGGTCATAGTGTGAAGCTGAACTGGCATTTGAACCCAGGCGCTGTGTTCAGAATGTGTCCTAACCCTCCACAGCAGGTTGCCTCCCCTGCTTCCTTGCACCCAGATGAGGCTGCATATCAGAGTCCTCCAGCCTCCACAGCTAAATCCCTAGACCCTTCAGGGCCCGGAGGGAAGGGCTCTGGAGCTGAGAGTCATCTACTGAGCCTCCCAGGGACCCCCCCTATTCAGATGCCCAGACACCCTCCTGGGGAGAGAAGCCCAAATTGCAAAAGTCACCATGACTTCTGATGCTAAAATGGAACCCAAGAAAAACATCAAGCAAGAAAAATCCATCTCAACTGATATTCTCAACTTGCGAGGAGACGGAGCTGGCAGGCAACTCCAGAAAGGCGAGTTGAAAGAATGCAAATGGTGCCTTTCATTCGGTCAACTCAAACAATTATTTCTAGAAAACATTGTAGCTCCAACTGGTTGTAATTTCTATATGCTGATGTTTCCTGGGAGACATCCCATCTAGGGAGCAAAGATGAATAACACGACTGGCAAACACTTAGCTGCGGACAGAGTGTGTTTTGACACAGACATTCACCTCCTTTGATGCTCAGGACTAGGCTATGAGGTAGGTATATAAACCTACTGTAATAGTAAGAGGAATGAAATGTATAGAGAGTAATTTACCAGTCACTTACTAGTTGTATAGGTGTATGAACTTGGGCAAATTACTTAACCTTTTTGCACTGACTTCTTTGACAGTAAATAGAGCAATGATACTACCACCTCTATGGGTTGATCTGTGTACCCCAAAACGATATGTTGACAGCCTAACCCCTAGCTGTCAGGAACTTCGCAGATATAATCAGGTTAAGAGGAGGTCATGGCTGGGCGCTGGTGGCTCACGCCTGTAATCCCAGCACTTTGGGAGGCCGAGGCGGGCAGATCATGAGGTCAGGAGATCGAGACCATCCTGGCTAACACAGTGAAACCCGTCTCTACTAAAAAATACAAAAAAATTAGCCAGGCGTGGTGGTGGGCACCTGTAGTCCCAACTACTCGGGAGGCTGAGGCAGGAGAATGGTATGAACCCAGGAGGCGGAGCTTGCAGTGAGCAGAGATCGCCACTGCGCTCCAGCCTGGGTGACAGAGCGAGACTCCGCCTAAAAAAAAAAAAAAAAGAGGAGGTCATTAGGGTGGACCCTAATCCAACATGACTGGTGTCCCTATAAGAAGAGGAGAGGCAGACACACAGGAAGAATGTCATGTGATGATGGAGGGAGGCATTTACCAGCCAAAGAACACAGAGGGTTGCCAGTAACCACCAGAAGCTAGGAAGAGGCAAAGAGGACCTTTCCCTAGAGCCCTCAGACAGAGCATGTTCCTGCCAACACCTTGTCTGCAGGCTTTTAGCTTCCAGAACTGTGAGAATAAGTTTCTGTTGTTTTAAGCCATCTAGTTTATGGTGCTGTCATGGCTGCCGCAGGAAAGCAATAAGCCGCCTCAAAGGGCTATGGAGCTGCCTCAGAGCTGCTGCCCTGCACCACAGAAGCCGAGGTCTGGATGCAGGAGTGAGTGAGGTGTCTGAGGGCCCCAAGGTGCCACAGTCACAGCCTTCCCTGGCCTCCGTGCCTGAGTCAGCATAAATCCAGCTGCAGGGGAAGGCTACACTCTTCAATGACCCCAGGAACAAGTGTTCACTATGCTCAGGAGAAGAATGCGCATCTCAGAACCCTGTCTTCAGAGACCATCCTCTTCCTAACCACAGGCCCCTCCACTCCCCGTGTCCAGCCTGCCCAGCTTTTCTCCACAGGGACCATGGAGGGCGGTGTTTCTGTTTTGACTGGAGAAATGCCTCATTCCCCAAGGGCTAAGACACCAACCAATGAGCAAGTTCCCTGGGCCTGCCCTGCTGGGGGAGCCCTAAATGTCAGGCAGCAGGTGGCCCAGTGCACTTGGCCCACTAGAGCACGCTGCAATCTGTCCCCCCAGAAGGAGAGGCAGCAACACAGGGTGGGGTGGGGGAGCCTCTCTCAGCAACACCCCCAGCCCTGAACCCACTGTGGGAGTTAGACATGAAAAGATGGGCCTAAATCCAAGACCCAGGGCTCCAAATTCTTGTCCCGTTTCAAATGGAAGCCATATTAGTTCAACACAAGAGTCCAGCCCAAGGTTGCTGGGAAGGGAAGTGGGTACCTCTCCTTCCAACGACCAGGAGTCCAAGCATGTGTGCCCACTTCTAGCATCTCCCCAGGCACTGTTCCCTTGCCAAGGGCAGCTCTTCCTCTTCCTCAAGGGGGAGAGAAGAGGTGCAAACACGACACCTACTATGTGCCAGGCACTTGACTCGCTTTTTAGCTTTCCTATATTCTTGCCATTTTGCAGAGGAGAAAACTGAGACAGGCTAAGAGAGATGAACAAGTGTTAAGTGGAGCAGTCAGGATTTTAACCTAGGTCTGGACATCTTACTATCCACAGAAAAGCAGACCTGGAAAGCCTCCTAGGGCCCCATCTTAGTCCGTGTGTGTTGCTACAAAGGAGTATACAAGGCTGGGTAATTTATAAAGGAAGAGGGTTTTTTTGGCTCATGGTTCTGCAGGTGCCAGCATGGTGCCAGTATGTGCTTCTGGAGAGGGCCTCAGGCTGCTTCCACTCAGGGCAGAAGGTGAAGGGGAGCTGGCATGTGCAGAGATCATGTGGTGAGAGGCAAAGCAAGAGAGAGGGGAGGGAGGAGCCAGGCTCTTTAACAATCAGCTCTCCTGGGAACTGACAGCATGAGAATTCACTTGAGGAAGGGCACCAGGCCACTCATGAGGGATCCGCCCCCATGACCCAAACACCACCCCCACAACCTCCAACAGTGGAGATCAAATTTCAACATGAGATTTGGAGGGTCAAACAAACCAAACTATAGCAGGACCCTCCGCTTCCCTGCCCACTCTCACAAGGACACAATGGGCCAGCATGGGGGTACACAGGTGGATGGGAGCTGCAGGTAGCAGCACCAGGTGCGCCTTGGAAGGGTACCCCGAAGCTTGGCTGCACGGCAATTCCCAAAGCGGCCCAAATGTGGGTCCCAAATTCTTATGGCTCTCCCTATGAATACCTAAGACTCTGGCTTGTCTCACCTCAAGGCCAGACCCTTCTCCGTTAGTTTCCAGATAGTTCCTGCAACCTCCCCTCCTCACCATCCATAAAATGAATACAGATACTCTACCCTATTGAGGAATGCAGGGAGGAGACAGGAGCAGAAGTGGGTTCTGAAAGATCCTGGGAGACATGCTGGAAAAAGTTCTCAGAGCAGTAAATTTCAGTAAGCCAAAGGAAGTCATGGGAGAACTGGGCTGAAGATCCAGGGCCTGGCTTATAGTGCCCTTGCCATGCGTGGACTCACCTCCCTCTGGTATGTTATAGGCACAATATGATCTGCCCAGAAATAATCTCAATAGACACAGTCTGTAATCTACAAAGAGCAATGTACATCGGGGATTATTAGGGAAAGGAAGCTTCTATGTGTTAACAACCAGCAACATACCAGCTCTATACTAGAAGCTTTAAATGCATCATCTCAATTGATCCTTAAAGCACTCTACTAGGGTAAATGTAAATGCAGAGACTTAGTGCTCATCAAATATCCATGTACTTCCTTACATTCTCAGCCTCCCTGGGGGCTGGTTTGGGGCCAGATGACAGTTCTGACCAAGGTGCTGGAGGTGAAGTGATGTGTGTCACCTCCTGGCCAAAGCAGTTGAGTATTAGTGTGGCTTTCCCTTCTCCCTCTTCCCCATCTGCAGTAACTTTGGATGCCACATGCTTTAGAAGGGGCAGTTACAAAGATGGTGGAGTCATCATCTTTGGAGCCTGGGTCCCTGAGTGACCGTGTGGAACAGAGACCCATATTAGACAAGTAATGTGATCAGGAGTTAATCATTTTGTTAAGCCACTGAGATTTTAGAGTCATCTGTGGTTGCTGTTATTCTGATTTTCACAGATAAGGAAGCCAAGGCCACACAGCCAGTAAATTGCAGAATCGGGATTCAAATTTCAGATCTGTGACTCCAATATGCATCCTCTTTCCATTACAACCTTTTGTTGCTTAATAAGATCATTCCCCGCTCTAACCCCTCCATAAGCAGCCATGTCCCAAAAAACTCTTACTCATCACTGTCCCCAAAATGCCTGAGTAATCCATGCAGGACAGAAACGGAATCTCATAAGGTGCCCTGAGCCTGCGAGATTATCAAAGGTGGGGAGGAGGGGGCTTGATTCAGTCTAAGAGATATCATTCCTGGGGCTTTTCGGCTCACAGGAGGTTTTGATACATGAGGAAATATAACACAGTGGTTTAGCACACAGGATAAGAGAATCAGATCAACCGAGGATCAAATCTCAATCCCACCACTTACTCTGAATTCTTCCTGAGCCTTCACTCTCTAATCTACAGAATGGGGGCAGTATCCAAACCATCCTTGTAGGCGGAGACAGGATGAAGTATTGTCAAGCACCTGGCGGGCGGCAGCATTCCCCAAGTGTCTGCCCCATGATAATCATCTCTGGGATATCTCAGAGCAGCAGCCTTGCTGGAACAAGATGAGGCAGAGGCCCAGCCTGGCCTGGCCCCTCCCAAGCCGCTGGAAGAGGCTGCCCCGGCCAGCATGGCCAATAAGGTCCAAAGCTTTAGACCACGGACCGGGCCCAGCCCACGTCCTTGGAGCAGACCATGGGCAGAACACAAAAAGGGATTCAGGGCCAGCCAGACATAAAGCAACACAACAGAAGAACCAGATTATTTATCTTAAAGTCGAAAGTGTCTTCTAGGAAGATGGCTTTTTATTTGGGTGACTCTGGGAGAGGCTGATCAGCTTAAACACATTATCTGCACATATGGTTTTCATACCATGGTGAAGGGTGGGAAACAAAGGGTGGAAGGGAAAGGACAGGCAAATGCTAGCTGATGAAATATCATCCCTCAACTGCCAGGAGCCAGGATATTGTCAGTGACGTCAAATTGGGCTTCTTGCCATGGGGACGGGGCTACCATGAGCCTAGTCACAACATT
This sequence comes from Homo sapiens, assembly GCF_000001405.40. Classification (NCBI taxonomy): domain Eukaryota; kingdom Metazoa; phylum Chordata; class Mammalia; order Primates; family Hominidae; genus Homo; species Homo sapiens. The sequence goes on along the minus strand of NC_000011.10, from coordinate 44,731,743 downwards.
CAGGAGTCCCTCAATGAGGCAGAGAAAGGAAGAAAAGAACCAAAAAAGCAACTTATTCACCCTTACCTTCTACCCCAAAGACAGATTTTCTCTCTCTCTCTCTCTCTCTCACACACACACACACACACACACACACACACACACACAATCCAGGCCCCAGAAAACTAGAAAGGACCAAAGTTAATCCCTCCCATTTTACAATAATAGTAATAATGATAATCATGACAATGATGATGATAGTGAACACTTATTGAGCACTTACTATATGCCAGGCATTATGCTAAATGTTTTACTAGTTTTATCTCAAAGACTATCCACAACAATCTGATGGGGTATTACTAGTTCCATTTTACAAATCAGGAAATGGAGGCACCAGGGGTTGAATGGTCTAAGGTCACACAATTGATATGAAGTTATGATAAAGCTAACAGGCAAATCCAGGCAGTTTAACCACCACGCACTGCTGCCTCTAAAGAAATAGAGAAACCGAGGCTCAGAGAGAGGCTGTGACTCACACAAGGCCACATCGCTCCATCTGTAACAGTATCAGGGCTGGAACACCAGTCTCCTAATGCCTAGTTCAGCTACCTTTCTGCTCCATCCTGTTGCCTTTTGTACACACTTGCCCACCACCAGTGAACATGTTTTTGCTCATCTCCAAGTTGTTGAATTCACTAATTAAGCCAGCAGTCTTGGGTGCAGACCAGGGGCAAGAGCTGAATCTTAAGACAACAAGTACCCAGATGAAAGACCAGCCCTGCCAGCTGCAAACACAGGCTCACCATCTTACTCTCCCATTCTTTATAAAAAGTGTTTCAAAAGCCAAGTGCAGTGGCTCACGCCTGTAATCTCAGCACTTTGGGAGGCCGAGGCAGGTGAATCACGAGGTCAGGAGTTTGCGACCAGCCTGACCAACATGGTGAAACCCGTCTCTACTAAAAATTCAAAAAAAATTAGCCAGGTGTGGTGGCACACACCTGTAATCCCAGCTACTTGGGAGGCTGAGGCAGGAGAATCGCTTGAACTCGGGAGGCAGAGGTTGCAGTGAGCCAAGATCGCACCACTGCACTCCAGCCTGGGCGACAGAGCAAGACTGTCTCTCAAAAAAAAAAAAAAAAAGTGTTTCATGATCCACCCCCACTCCCTCAGATGGAGCACTAATGCAGGTCCAAGGTGCCAGCCCGGGTGGCAGGAGGAGCCCAAGCTGGTACATTTGCTCAATGGCATCAGGTGGTAGAAACGCCTGATCAATGGGCGTCATCTGCTCAGTGGGACCAGAGTGCTGGTTTCCAAGGCCCCCTCCCTGTGCTGCACCCCAGCTGAGCATGAACAAATGTTCCTGATTTTCCCTCTCAATGGCTGATGAAATAGACCAGAAAAGCAGCCCTCTGGAAAGGGAGAGGTCCCTAAAACCTGCACCCCAGGAACTGAAAGGGCTCTTCCCAAGAAGAGTGGGGAGCGAGCCTGCAGACTAACATGGGGCTCCCAGCAGGGACTGGTTACAGACATTCCCCTCTCTACCCAAAACTGCTGGGCACTTTGTCCTTCAGCTCTGATGGCAGGAGCTGGTTTCTGAAGCTGCTGCATTCACTCAACGCAGGATTTTGCTGTGTACAGGCGGGCAGAGAGAGGCAAGCCAGCCCGGAGAGGCACCTTCCACTGAATGGAAGGCAGAAGGAATGGAGCAGGGCTGCCCAGCCCCCTAAAAGGTTAGACTCTCCTGCTCTAAGTTGCAAGATAGCTCAGAATCTCCTCAGCCAACATATTCATTTTACAGACGGAGGAAGCAGGCTCAAGAGGGGAAATAACCTGCCCAAGGCCACACGGATGACTCAGAAGAGCTAGATTTCAAATCTGCTATTTTCCCTCTTCCTGGCACCCCCTCCCACACATCCTTGAATTAATCCTGTGTCCCTACCCAGCACCCTGCCCTCCAACACACCCCTCAGACCATTAAAATCTCATTTTTTAAAGGGCAGAGGGTTCCTTCCTGGACTCAGCCCAAGGTGTCCTAAACCCAACCCCAAGGTATCCTAAACCCAACTAACTTCGGCTTCTAGAAAGTGTCCTGGAGCTTTCAATGATGTGCTACCATTTCAGACTGGGGTTGGGTAAAAGCACCACATATACTGGCTGTTTGAATGGGTTTGGGGACAAGGGAGACAAGGAAACAGAGTGCCCAAGACTTGAAATGTTGCTAAATCAGAGATCTTGGAGTTTGCCTGGGAGAAGACTGAGCCCACACAAGATACTTTAAGCCCAAACACAGACTTTAGTAGCCCTTGGGGACCTTCAACTCCCTCTCCAATTCAGGAAAAGTGGGGTGGGGGTAGGGAGAAGAGGGGAGGGACAGAACACGGGAAACGCTGGCCTTCTAGGGGCCCCATGCTCCCAGGCAGGTTCCAAGGCAGGGCTGGTCCATGCAGGCTTCCCTCCACAGAAAAACAAGAGTCACTAAAAGCAAAACACAACAAAAAAAAACTTCTTTTGTTTTCCAGCCCCCTGGAATGTCTTAAAGACCTATCCAGACACAGCAGGCTTCTCCACCCTTTCCTTTCTCTCCTCTCTCCTCCTCCTCTTCTATTCAAAATAAAAATCATGCTGATCTGTCTTTATGGCAACTTTGTCCTGGAGCATTTCAGTAGCATCCAACAAAAACATGTGGCAGACTACATTGAACAGAGGAACCTCATCTCTTTCAGGGACCCCCATTTCCCCCACCTTTGTAAGGGACATTAAGGACATGGGAGCAGGAGGGGGGCTGCCCAAGGAGCACAGGTTACCAGCTAAGAGAAAGATGAAAACTTCTACCAACCACAATGAGGCCACGGCACAATCTATGATTTGCTCCTTTGCACTCACTTGGGGTGATGGGAGGAGGGAGGGAACTGGAGAGAAAGATGAGGCAATAGTCCCTCCAATGTCCCTTCAATGTTAGCCCCGCACATGACAAAGATGACAGTCCTCACAGATGCCAGCAGCCGTCGACTTCCCAAGGCACAGACACACAGACTCAACATACAGGGACCCTGAGGCCAGACAACTGGGACCCAGGGCAGATTTCCACCAATAATTGTGAAATGACCAGAAGAATGTGGCCTAGAGACCACAGACCCAGGGGATGAGGGTGGGGGCCAGGGCTCGTTGACTGCTGAGAAATTTAACACTTCTGCCTGGACTGCTGAAGTCTTTAAGGCCCCATCCCCCACCGCCCGCCCTGTGCCTCCCAGTTTACTTGTGCCCAGAGAGAGGATACCCCAAGACCCCCATCCTGCCTTCACCAGACAGGGATTCGACCAGATCCAGGAAACAAAGGTGCAACTTTTACAAAAAGGGTGCATGCATTTTGGGGTTTGGGTTTCTGCAACTCCAAAAACCGTCAAAAAGTTAATTCCCCAACCCACTCTCTCTGCACCAATTCGCAGTTGTAGTTTCTTACATCTTTTTCTGGGGGTAAATTTCTTACTCATCCATTTGCCCTGGCAGCCTTCCCGAGAAAAATCACATCCTGACTCCTAGCCTTTCCAGCCCACGGCGCAGTTATAACTGTGAACCTTTCGCCTCACTCTTGGTCCCGCTCCCCCGTCTGGCTAGTGTAGGGCGGGCTCCTCGGGGCGGGACCCCGCGTAAGTTGGGTGTCTGTGGTCCCTGCGTCCTGGATGTCGGCGCGGTTGCCTCGCAGGAGCCAGAACGCGCTTCCTGCTGGCGAGGGCCGGGGCAGTGCGCCCCCTGGCGGGAGCCCAGTCACCTCACTCCAGCAGGACCCGGAGCCGGCGCGATCCCACCCGAGCCGAGCACCGTCCCAACTGGCTCCCACTGCCCCCTAAATCTGGACGTGCCCGAGCCTCCCACCCACCCAGCACTCCATGGAGTCTCCACTTCCCCAAACCGCACACACCTAAGGAATAAGGGGGGTCCTGGAGGAACGAGTGGCGCCTCCGCCCCGCCCCGCCCCGCTGCCAGGGACCCCAAAGGCAGCCCGCCCTCCATGCAGCTGCCGGGCCCCACAGCCCTCCCGGCCCCGATCGCCGCTCCCAGTCCCTGGTCCCTCACTGTCTTACCGGGTGGCGTGGCGAGCAGCCCCTTTCCGGGCGCAGCCCTGGCCGAAACCCCGAACCTTGTAACCACACCTGCCACCCCGCGCCGTTCTCCAGAAGCCCCCACTCCTCCACCCGGAGCACTGGGAGCCCACCGGCTCTGCACCTGTCCTGGGCGCAGCCCCCGGCCCTCAGCGGACTCCGGGCAGGCACGGGGTGGAGACCGTCCCCGGCCCCCCAGCCCCCGCGTGCTAGTTTGAGTGGAACTTGGTTGCCGGGCTTCCGTCCTGGGATCCCTACTCCACCCCAATTCCCCGCCGCGTCCAGCAGCACCCCCGGGGCGGCGCGCGGGGGGGTCCCCAGGTCCCCGGGGGCGCGGCGGCGGCGTGCGGAGGGCACGGAGGTGCGGAGCCCCATACCTTCCAGCGGCGGCTGCCGGACCCCGCGCCAAATCCCGCCGGCGGCCGGGGGGAAACTTTCCTGGTCGGAGGGGCGCGCTCGCAACTTGCCCGGCGCCGGCTGCCTTCCCGGCGGTGGCGGCGCGTCCGGGGACCCGCAGCGCGAGGCGGCGGCGCTCGCTCGGGGCTCGGGGCCGGGACCGGGGCCGGGGCCGGGGCCGGGGCCGGGGCCGGGGCTGGGGCCGGGGCCGGGGCTGGGGCTCGGGCGGCCTCGCGCGGCTCCGCGGTGGATCGCTCGGCGCTACGTCCGCCCCGCAGCCTGGAGCCCCGCGACGCCGGCGGCAGCTGCACGCCCGCCAGCCCGCCGGCCCCACCTCCGCCGCCGTCCGTCCCTCCCCTCCCCCGCCCTCCCTCCCCCTCCCCAAACCTCCGCCCCTCCCGGCTCCAGACGCCGTTGCTGCCGAGAAGCGCGTCTCCTCTGCGGGCTGCCCCTCGCCTCCCGCCAGCCTCCGCCTCCTCCTCCAACCCCGCGTCCAGGCCTTGTCTGGGGGTCCCTGGGCCCACCCTCTGCCCATCTCCCCTTCCTCCGCCTCCGACCACCTCCCGCTCTGCTCGCGGGCCCTCTCTGCGTCTGAATTCGGAAGATCGTTGCGGGAGTGGGGAGAGGGGCATGCTGGACCCGAAGTGTTTATTCCAGGGGAACTTTCAGCTGACCCCGGGGCCCAAACGCAGGGGTTGGGGTGAGATCCTCGGTCCTGATCGGGCTCCTGGGCTTCCCGCTGCCGGGGGAAGTACCTGTTGAAAGCCTGGGGAACTCACCCTCCTCTGACTTGCAGATAAGAAAGGGGACTTCCTGCATGGAGGGGCCTGACCCCAGGTCAGATGCAAATGACTTGATTGCAAGGGGCCAGATCTGTGTCTCCGGCCTCAGGGCTGAGGTTCTTGCGGGGCTGGGGAGCTTATCTTTTCTTCTCTGTACTGCTGCCACAGCAGCACTGGCTCCCAACCCCTGACATGACTTGCCTGAGACTTTTAACCTCTGAGCCTCCTCTAAACAACTACCCGACCCTGCCCCAGACAAAACGGACAAGCAAGCAGATCAAAACTGACAGCCCAAGTGAAAGTACTGATGACAGGGGCTCGGGTCGCCCACTCCTCTTCCCTTGGCAACTCTGTTTTGAGTCCCAGCTTGAAGCTTCCACACCCCATCCCCGTGGGCCCTAGGCATTCAAGCACACATCAGCTCTGCAGGAGGCCCCTTGGCCAGCTGATTCTCACTAAGGGGTGACTGATAGGAAGGAGTTGACCCTACTCCTGTCTTGTATATGGATGTTGGTAGTCAGGCCACTGGGCAGAGTTTGGGGGGAGGGGGATCTTCTTGTTTTGTTTTTGTTTTGTTTTTGAGACAAGGTCTCGCTCTGCTGACCAGGCTGGACAAGCCTGGTCAACAAGCACAGCTCACTGTAGCCCGACCTCCTGCACGGCTTACTGTAGGCTCGACCTCCTGGGCTCAAGCAATCCAATCCTTCCAACTCAGCCCCCTCGAGTAGCTGGGACCAGAGGCATGTGCCATCATGCCTGGCTAATGTTTTCTGTTGTTTTTGGTGTGTGTGTGTGTGTGTGTGTGTGTGTGTGTGTGTGTGTGCGTGTGTGTTTTGTAGAGCTGGACTCTTACCATGTTGCCCAGGCTGGTCTCCAATTCCTGGCCTCAAGTGATCCTCCCACCTCAGTCTCCCAAAGTGCTGAGATGACAGACGTAGCCACTGCACCCAGCCACCAGCCAGAGTTTTGAGAGGCAGGAAGTGGCTGCCTTTCCTTGCCCACATTCCAGGAAATGGATTCGTCCCTGTAAGGGGATGTCCCTGTAAGGACTTCAGGGATGTCTGGTCCTTTAAAGAACTTCACCGCGTCACCGGGACTCTTAGAGTAGGCACGTGGCTGGAAGAAAAATCCCTGGATCCGCGGTTTCAAAGGGACCCAGAGTGAGCAAAGCTTCACCCAAGGGGAGGAAGTCCCTAATGGTGGAATTTCTATAAGAGGAGGACAAGGAGAAGGGCTCCACATTCACCCTTCAGCTGCCAAAACAGAATGGAGGGTGGAGGCTGAACACCCCACAGGCCCTGCACTTGTGGAATGCTGCTGGGAGAGGCCCCGTGTGAGCCTCCTTGGACACCAGGCGCCACATACATTTAAAGAGGAAAAACGGGAAGCCCACAGCAAGGGTGCTGGAGCTGGGGAAGTGGAGACCAGAGACAGGCAGAGAGAGGGATAGAGTCTCTAAGGGTCTGGGGCTTGGCAGAACGGGGCAGGCGCAGGGGAAGAGAGTGCAGACCCGCTGCACAACTTAGACAACCAGCTCGGTCCCTGACTCCAGTTCCAAGTCAGTTTCCTGGACCTCAGCCTCTCTCCAGCCTCCATGGAGGACCTGGCCCTATCTGTGCATTAGCTAAGGACATCTGCTGAATAGGCTTCTCTAAATCAACTCTTATTTTTTCATTCTTTTTTAATTTACTTAAGTGAGCTTGTTTTTAAAAAGATATGTTAAATTATTACCATAAATGGAAAGCCAGCATCACATTACTATAAATAGAAGGTAACCATCAAAATAAATACAATGAAAATAAGTGTTATTAAATTCTAACAATGTATCTTTAACCACAATAATAATAATACAGTCTAACAAGATACTGCTGCCTGAGGAGGTGTTGAAGCTGAGGTCCCACTTTCTCTTTGAAAGGAAGGTTACCAAAGGCTAGAAAGGTGTTAAAGACACATTAGCAACAAACTCTTCATCAAGAGCATTGATGAAAAGAGAATTGGGAAGGGACCCCCTCCACTCCCACTCCTCACCAGGTCAATTAGGGTATTGGAGGCCCTTGGATTACCTCCAATGACCTTAATTTCCTTGAACATCTCGAATGTCCTCTCAATTGGGAAACATAATTCTATGTATTGGTGCAAAAGTAATTGTGGGCTGGGTGCAGTGGCTCACACCTGTAATCCCAACACTTTGGGAGGCCTAGGTGGGTGGATCACGAGGTCAGGAGATTGAAACCCTCCTGGCCAACATGGTGAAACCCCGTCTCTACTAAAAATACAAAAATTAGCTGGGCATGGCAGCACGTGCCTGTAATCCTAGCTATTCGGGAGGCTGAGGCAGGAGAATTGCTTGAACCCGAGAGGCAGAGGTTGCAGTGAGCCGACATTGCGCCACTGAACTCCAGCCTGGCGACAGAGCTAGACTCTGTCTCAAAAAAAAAAAAAGAAAAAAGTAATTGTGGATCTCATCATTGAATGTAATGGCGAGAACCACAATTACTTTTGTACCAACCTTATATTAGGCCAAAAAAGTACTTTATTTTTTTAAAGTTAGGCGCCCGAAAAATTTAGTCCTGGACAAGATAAGGCTGACTCGGGTTACAGGAAGACCGCACCTCCCTCTCACAAGGTAATCTTGAGGAAATCCCTCCCTTCTCTGGCCTCGGTCCTTACATCTGTAAAATGGAGGCTTGGGCAAATGGCCCATAGAATCCCTTTGGCTGTTTGATGAAAGCAAGTAAGACACCAAGATTGTGGCTTATCAGGAAACTTAGAGGGTGAAGTCTCCACCAAGGAGAGGGGCTAAAGAGGGGAGAAGCTGGGAAGGAACGAAAGAGCAGGTGGTGGGGCTGTGGATGGATGGGCAGTCCTCAGGAGGGAGAAGGAGCAGTGAAGGCCAGAGCCGACCCACTGGAGTCTAGGTTGGCAGAAACCCGGAAGTGGCCTGGCCTGAAAGTTCTAAAAAGATTCGGGAAGGAAACTTGTGGAGAATTCACTGTAATCCAACCACTTCATTTCACCAATAGGGAAACTGAGGAAGAAACATAGACTAGATTCTCATCATGGTTAAGAGCTGGGCATTGAACCCAGACCTCCTGACTCCCAGGCCAGGGTGCTTTCAATACCTCTGGAATTGGGGCATCTAGTGGAAGTGGTTCTTCTGAAAATACTCACCTTTCCCCTAGGAAGCTCTTAGGCTTCGCTTTCTCCAGCATCTGGAGAAAAAAGTTGAATTGGCCTAAAAGCCCCAAATTCACCGAAGTGTGTCTAGTGCTGCACCACCCAGGTTCTACGCCCCAATCACTGTACACAGGATTTACAGTGATTGGGGTGAGCATTTGCAGACCTAATGCCCAGCAAAGATCCCTGAACCAGGAGTCCACAGGCCCACGTTCCAGTCTTGGCCATCTGGGCGATTCCTTCCCCTCTCTGGGCCTCAGTGTTACCATCTGTGAAATGAGGCATCTGGACAAGATCAACAGGTTTCAAGTTGGGTTGGTAGGTACTGCTCCTGGGTATCTTAAGAATGAGAATATCTTAAGAATGAGAGTGGTGAGAGAGGACGAGCAATCCCCCTCCCAGCTTTAGCCAGAAACAGGTTCCCTTTTTATCTGTTTTGCATGATGGTGTCTCACATGAGATTTCAAGGAGAAAGTGTCCTTTGCTTAAAAGGCATTTGAAATCACTAGAAGGGATGACCTCTGGCTTCTGACATTTATAACGTGATGGCTGATTAGGCTGCGCAATTCTCAAGGTCTGGGGCCCTGCTTTGTTCATCTCTGGGTCTCCAAGACCCAGTGCAGAGTTGGTACTCAGGGGAATTTTTTTTTTTTTGAGATGGAGTCTGGCTCTGTCGCCCAGGCTGGAGTGCAGTGGCGCGATCTCAGCTCACGGCAAGCTCCACCTCCCGAGTTCACACCATTCTCCTGCCTCAGCCTCCCAAGTAGCTGGGACTACAGGCACCCGCCACCACGCCTGGCTAATTTTTTGTATTTTTAGTAGAGACGGGGTTTCACCGTGTTAGCCAGGATGGTCCTGATCTCCTGACCTCGTGATCCGCCTGCCTCGGCCTCCCAAAGTGCTGGGATTACAGGCATGAGCCACCGCGCCTAGCCACTCAGGGGAATTTTTTATGCCACCTCATAACTGTGCCACCTTGAGCCAGCCACCTAAACTCTCCCATGCATTTCTAAATGGGAATCGTAACTGCAACTCTAGCATGGGGTGGCTGTGAGGGTCTCATAGAAACTCCTTGGTATAGCTCCTGGCACATGATAAATACGCAATACAGGTGAGCCCAATGCTTGAATGGCTGTTTGGATAACACTAGACTTGGCAGATTCTTTCCCCAGAGGCATGCTGACCTTACAACCTAGCTTTGCCAAGGCAGTCTGCATTTTAAATGTTTAATCATTGCCTCCCTGATTTTTTTCTGAATTGTCTCCTTTTATATGTAATTTGCAATCATTTCCAAAACATGACAGTTCATTAAATATACAACTGAGTGATTAAATTTGTTTATCTTTGCAATGACTTTCATGGAAATAAATTCACAAATCTTAGGAACACCCTGTGGAGGTTAGAAGGTTGTGGTCTTGACACTTCTGGGCCTCGACTAGCTCAGGGATTCCTCCACTTTCTCTCTTTTTCTCCCTTCAACAAGCTACACACAGGCCAGGGCCAGCCTCTCTGAGTGTTTTTAGCACAAGGTCCAAGGGTCTGCCTGCTCCTTCACCCTCAGGAATGCTTGCAATTCCCAGGGACACACGCGTGCACACACACACACACACACACACACATTATATACACCCCGCCACACACACACACACACACACACACACACACACACACACACACACACACCCTGCAGGAAAAGAGGTAGAATCTGGATGGCTTTGCTGGGAGGGGTCCAGGGTCAAGCTTCCTCTGAATGCATTGTGGCTGAGCTTTCCAAAAAGTAACTCCCTGGGAATAGCAAGGGAAGGTCCTGCTGGATAAAGAGATTGCTGAAACTTCATCCTCCACCTTCGCTTTTAAATTAACTGATAGTCAACAACACAATACCAATAACTGCCATTTATGGAGTGCTTACCTGGGTAGACGCTCGGGTTGCGAGGTTAGATAAACCCAAGTTCAAAGCCTGTCTCCTTTGTTCACCAGCTGTTTGGCTTTGGGGAAGTTACTTTGCCTCCCTGTGCTTTAGACTCCTAATATTTAACATGAGGCACTGTGATCAAGCCTTTAGAGGCCTGCAAGCCTACTTAAGCCTCCAAACAACTCCATGAGGCACAGATGGTCAGGAAGCTTGTTTTACAGAGAGGGAAGCTCAGAGACCTGCTCAAAGTCACCCAGCAAATAAAGTACTGGGATTCCAACCTTTCTCATTATATTTACATCCGGACCACATCTTCATGTGACAGGGAGAGAGGAGTGGGCAGGGAGGTCAGGTGACCTGGAACCAGTCCTGGCCTTGAACCTCTGGCTGTGCAAGCTTGGACGAGTGGCCTAACTTCTCTAAGCCTGTCTTCTCATCTATAAAGGGAGATGTTAACACCTACACAACTGTCGTAAACACTGAAGGAGATGACTTCTGCAAAGAGGCTTTGAAAACCAGCAAGCATGTAACAAATGTAAGACTTTTAAAATCACCATTATCGTCTGTGTAGAGCTGCTGAGATTACAGGTTTAGCACTCAGAGTCTCACAGGGCACCTGGTACAATTCAGTCATGCAACAAATATTTGTGAAGGTTCAACTGTGAGCCAGGAACTGGCTGTGTATGTGGGCACTCACTTTTGAGTAAGAACAAAGAATGCATATGGTCCCTGGCATAATCAATGCAATCAGTGAATTTTTAAACTTCAGCTAGGCTGGGCACGGTGGCTCACACCTGTAATCCCAGTACTTTGGGAGGCTGAGGTGGGCAGATCACCAGAGGTCAAGAGTTCGAGGCCAGCCTGGCCAACATGGTGAAACCCCGTCTCTACTAAAAATATAAAAATTAGCCGGGCGTGGTGACGGTGGGTGCCTGTAACCCCAACTACTTGGGAGGCTGAGGCAGGAAAAGCACTTGAAGCCAGGAGGCGGAGGTTGCAGTGAGCCAAGATCGCACCAGTGCACTCTAGTCTGGGTGACAGAGCGAGACTCTGTCTCAAAAAACAAAAAACTTCAGACTCATCTCATGCAAGGGCTCTCCCATTTCACTGAAGATAACACTGTCGTAAAGCTGGGGATGGGCAAGAGGGAGTTATCCAAATCTACCAGCACGTTGACTTCAGAGTTTAGGGAAGTTTGGATCCTGCCTCCCACATTACTGTTCTCTGCTTCATTTTCTGCTCTCCCAGACTCACCTGCTCACAGTTACCCTCTTCCTGCTGAACTATTAGTCCCCATGCCCCTGCTGCCTGCCTCCAGAGCCCCTATGTCCATCCACTACTCTGCACTTGGATGAAAAGAAAAGAAATGGGAAGGCAAACACATATCTGTCAACCAGGGATCTCGGGCAGTGTCCAGGATTTCCCCTTGGAAAACTCTAGAGGTGGGTGCATGGCCCAGGGCTCTCTGGTACCTGAGCAGATACCACCTCTGAGTTGCTGAAAATCCCACCATGGAAGTAATGGTGATTCAGATCAACTTCCTTGAGGTGTTGGAATGACCTGGCTCTTGGACCCTGGAGGCAAGATTAGATCAGGGCTGAAATCCGTGACCCTGGGCAATTTACTTCCTTTCCCTGAAGCTCAGTTTTCTCCTCTGCAAAATGGAGAGGATAACAATCTTGGAGTTTGGGAAGGTTAACTGAAATAACACATGTAAAAGTGCTCACCACAGGGCACACAGTAATGACTAAAGACTGTGGTATCTATTTTCCTGGCAGACCAAGTCTAATTGATGCACAAAGGGTGCGTTGAAAGCCTACTGCATGCTTAGAGGAAGCCAAAACTGTGAAGACCACAAGCCAAGAACTTTATTGAGCTCTTACTGGGTACTAGACACTTCGCTTAACACTGTATCTCTATTTATTCCTCCAAACTTATCTCTCCCGTAAGATTGTGGGCTCCTTGAAGGCAATGTCTATTTTAGTCCTCTTTGTCCCTACCATAAACCTAATCTGAAAGGAGGGATGTATTAATATTATTGTCTCCATTTTACAGATGGGAAAATTGAGGCTCTGGAAGATTAAGTTACCTGCCCACGAGCTCCTAGCTAGTGAGTGGCAGAGCTGGAATTTGAACCCAGGCAGTTATATTCCACAGCCGGTGCTCTGTATCCTGACTCACACTACTTCATGCCTGTTATCTCTTCTGTTCTTTCCAAAAACCCTGTAGTCATTAGCATTACCCCATTTTACAGATGAGTAAAGTGAGGTTCAGGGAGGTAGAGTGAGTCACTAAGAAGTGCAGTGGCCATGACTTTTGAGACAAAGGGCAGGTGGCTGGCCTACAAGTGTTCTTTAGCCAGTAAGAGCTGCCTGCTTTGGAGCCAACTGACCCCCAGCAGTTACACAAGGTGCTCGGGCCACTGGGGCATGTGCTGGGAGTGGTGATAAGGCCAGTTCACCTCCTGGTCATTGATTTTGATGTCTGCTTCATTTTCTGGGGTGCCAGTGGGCAGCAGACAGCAGAACTGAGGAAACTGGATTCCTACCGGGCCATCTCCAGGCTCAAGGACAGATCTACACCCAGCTGTCACAGTGACAGGCATGTCAGGACAGCCTGCCAGAGTGGGAAGGACCTCTCTCCTGCTCCTGTTACCTAGGCAGCACAGGCTGGCACCTGCTCCCTGCTCTCTCCAACTTTCCCTTCCTCCTTCCCCCTCCTTCCCTCTCCTTCTGTTATGAGTTGATTTGTGTCCCCTCAAAAGATGTTGAAGTCCTAACCCCCAGTCCCCCAAATGGGACTATTTGGAAAAATGATCTCTGCAGATGATCAAGTTAAGATGAGGCACTAATCCAACATGACCATGTCCTTATCAGAAGGGGAAATTTGGGCACAGAGGCCAACATACTGAAGACACAGTGGAGGATGTCATGAGAAGACGGAGGTTGAAGGATGCGGCTGCAAGCCAAGGACTGCCAAGGACTGCTGGCCACCCCCAGAAGCCAGCAAGAGGCAAGGAAGGGCTTTTCCCAGAGTCTCAGAGGGAGCATGGCCCTGCTGACACCTCGATTCCAGACTTCTTGCCTCCAGAACAGAGAGGTGATCACTTTCTCTTCTCCCATACCATCCAGTTTGTGGCACTTTGACATGGCAGCCCTAGCAAACTCTTACACCCTCTCCCTTCACCACCCTACTTAGCTTCCATATTCCAAACATATGTGTGAAGGTGACAAGTCTCAAAAGAAACGACCCCATGCCAGGTTCACATTGACAAGCATGTGCTGCACCCACGGTCCCTGGAGCAGAGGCATGAAGGAGGACTCCAGAGGCTTCTCCAGCCCCTCAGAAATGGTTGGCTCCATTAATATTACAGAGCACTTAGTATGGACTGGGTGCTCTTCTAAGTAATTTCTTAAATATTAAGTACTGTCGTTATCCATTTCATAGGTGGGGAGACTGAGGCACGGAAAGGCAAAGTAATTAGACAAATATTACCTGGCTAAGTGGCAGAGCTGGGGTCCAGGCTCAGGCAATCTGGCTTTAGGACCTGGACTCTTAGCCACTTTATCTTGCTGCCTCTAATAGCTTTATCCTGTTAGGACAGCTTCTCCATCTGTTAAATGGAAACAACTTAGGCAGGAAGAAGATCAAGCCCTCTTCCGTGCCCTGGGATTCTAATTCCCATCCGGCCCACAGAGCCCCAGAGATGGAAGGAACCCTGGTGATGGCCCACCCCCTGCTTGAGCATGTGTGTGTGTTTGTGTGTGTGTGATGGCACATGCCTATGATGTCTGTGCTTGCGTATCTGTGTATATGTTTTGTTTTGTTTTGTTTTTTTTCTGAGATGGAGTCTTGCTCTGTCGCCCAGAGCTGGAGTGCAATGGCACAATCTCGGCTCACTGCAACCTCCACCTCCCGGGTTTAAGTGATCCTCCTGCCTCAGCCTCCCGAGTAGCTGGGATTACAGGCGCCCGCCACACACCTGGCTAATTTTTGTATTTTTAGTAGAGACAAGGTTTCACCATGTTGGCCAGGCTGGTCTTGAACTCCTGACCTCCCGATCCACCTGCCTTGGCCTCCCAAAGTGCTGGGATTACAGGTGTGAGCCACTGTGCTCGGCCGTATATGTTATATATACATGTTACATATGCATGCATCCATTCTACTTAATGATATTTTTTTCTTTTTCAGAGTGAGGCTGATTCACTTACTCAAATTAATGTTCACATCTTGCCTGACTCATTTAATGGGAACAGCGAGTTCATGTGCCAATATGTGAACTGACCCTGAAGACCTTTCACCAAAAAAATATGGAGAGTCTCTTGTTCTTGAGTTAACGAGCATTGGACAACAACCAGCTTTTCTTTGACTTTCTCTGTTTTTCACAGTGATGCCTGCTGATCTCTGTCTAGCATTCTGACAAAGGGATTGGCGAGAGCCTCTTCAGGAAGACAGGGAATAAAGACTCCCAGAAAGGATGAAGAGAACACTTTACCATTTCTCAAAAGTGATTTTACCCAACCAACTTTGCAGATGAGGAGGCTCGCAGATCAGAGTGGGTAAATGGCTTGGCCAAGTTCGTCCAGGAATTTATTGCAGAACCAGGGCTGAGCCCCATTTGTCCAGATATCCACTTCTCTCCTTCTAATTTTTCTTCTTCCCAGGTTTTTCTCTGTCTCTGCTACTATCTGCCTGATTCTTTGCTTTTTATTCCAAATATGTAAACCTCCAATAAACCTAGAGACAGACTTATGCTTGATTTATCCCGTTATAGAGGAGCCAGGGACAATTACAAAGTGGATAAAAGTCCCCAGGTGCAGTTTTTAGAAATGCTTCCCCAGCATAAACAGCTTAACTCCATAAAGCGCCCCGAGAATGTTTGCTTAGTGGCTCTGATTTTTAAGAGATTGACCTTTGCTGCAAGACCTTGGGTCTATTCAGACCATTGCAACATAGCAGATCGCTGCCGCTCACATCTGAGTGTGGCGAACCAGCCACCTTGGAGAGGCCTTATCCAGAGTTTAATTCACAGTGCTTGGCACCTGGTAGGGGTTCAATAAACAGCTGGTGAATTAAAGACTGAATCAAATAATCAATAAATATTAGCTTTAGCAAAACAGAATGAGGAGGATAAATCCCCTAAAGGGAAAAAAATCAAGTAGCATATCCTGTCCACCAAAAAAAAAAAAAAAATCTTATGTTTTATCTGTGCCACTGAGCACCACACCAGGCCACATTCTGGGGCATAAGCCCTCAAATCTGAGGTTTCATTTAGACATTCAATATTTTAGAGTACTGCCCATGTGCCTACAACTATCCTAGGTAAACACTGGGCATATAGTGGCGAATACCACAGATGTTGTCCCTGGTTTGCAGAGCTCACAGATCATAAAGAAGACTCTCTGCTTTGGGATTTACTAGAAGGAGGCCAGTAATTCCCAAAGGAATCTCAGCTTTCACTCTTGGACTCAGAAGCCAAAGGGCAAGGAAGCCAGTGCTTGTCATCCAAGGTTCCAGGGCACCTGGGCTTGGGTTTGGGTCACAGAAGTGGCCCCAGCCATTCCTCACGTTGCAAGCAGATAAAGACCCCTGTGGATGGCCTGTGGGAATAGTGGGTGGCTTCTCATCCTTCCTAAGAGGCCAAGCCAAGGAGACAAACGGCACTTTATTAGAGATAAAAGCCCACTGAACAATCCATACCCCATTTTTATAGGCTGGAACCACTGACCCCCCTCTCCCCGCCAAAACAAACTAATAACAATTCAAGGGAACAGTTGAGCTCTAAGAGGGCCTTGAGTACACCCAAGACCAGGAGGCTGTGAGGGGAGGGACCACCACACTGGATGTCAGTGATCAAGTATCCAGTACCAGCTTTGCTGGTGATGTGCTGGTGGCCTGGACAAGTCTCTGCGCTTTTGAGTTGTCCAGCTTAGGTGGGATGACCTGCGAGTTCCTTCCAGTGCCGACCTTCTGATATGGTTTGGCTATGTCCCCACCCAAAATCTCATCTTGAATTATAATCTGAATTGTGATTCCCACATGTTGTGGGCAGGACCTCATGGGAGGTGATTAGATCATGGAGGCAGCTCTCCCATGCTGTTCTTATGACAGTGAGTGGGTTCTCATGAGATCTGATGGTTTTATATGGGGCTTTACTCCCCTTCGCTATGTACTTCTCTCTCCTGCTGCCATGTGAAGAAGGATGTGTTTGCTTCCCCTTCCGTCATGATTGTAAGTTTCCTAAGGCTTCCTCAGCCATGCTGAACTGCGAGTCAATTAAATCTCTTTTGTTTATAAACTACCCAGTCTCGGGTATGTCTTTATTAGCAGTGTGAGGATGGACTAATACACCCTCCATGTCTATTTCAATATTTCTCTTGTCCCTGTCTTTGACCCTCTGCCTGTCTCCCCACCCCTCCATAGGCTCCTGCTTATGCCTGGATTGTGCTGTTGTAATTAGTAGCAGTGCCTTCTCATTCTCAAAGTGTCTTGGTTTGGATGACAAATTATATAGCTACCCTACCCATCTTCCCTTCTTTCCCTCTCTTTTTCTCTGTTTTCTTGTGGGTTCCTGGAGACCTGACCAGCCCAGTAGTGTTCTTCAAGGATGCAGAGATCCAAGACCACCTACCCTATGCTGTGTCTCCTCCGTGGAGCTTCCACTTTCTCCTTATCCTTAAGCAGCTTGCCCTACCACAGGCCTAAGAAACAAGGACCTAAAACACCTCCCTCCAAGGTGGGAAAGAAGCCAGTTTTCCAGGGAACCACAGAACACTCAGCCACCCCAAAGTCTGGGAAGGAACCTCAGCTTTCACTTTGGACTCAGAAGTCAAAGGACAAACAAGCCAGTGCTGGTGGGCCCAGGGCCCAGGGAGCACCTGGGTTTACGTTTGGATGGCTAAAGAAGACACAGCTCAGGCAGACCCCTGCCTCACCACACCTAGCCATCCTGTGGCTTGCCAGAGACCTCCATCCAGGCCTTTTTTCTGTGTCATCCACAGGGGAGTTCACTTCTACTGGGCATTCCACACAGAGCACCTCCACCCCACACATACCTCTGAGAAGCAGAGTGAAATATTGATCGAGAGGACAGCCTTGCATTTGTCCCTGTTGCTTCTCAGAGTAAAAGCTGAAGTCTTGACAATGACCTACAAGGCTCAACATAATCCGTCTTCCCCTACCTCCCCGACCCCCTGCCTCAGGTCCCCTCCTTTCCTTCTCCCATCTGCTTATTCTGCTCCAGCCAGATGAGCCCCTGGCCATTCCTATAACACCAACATGCCAGACACGTTCCCACCCCAGGGCCTTTGCACCTGCTGCTCCCTCTGCCTGGAACGTTCTTCCCCCAGATAGGTACGTGACTCACAGCCTACCTCACTCAGGGCTTCCTGTAAATGTCACCTTTGGAGCCAGGATTACCCTGGCTGCCCCATTTAAAATTGCAATCCTAATACTACTTATTCGGTCCTATTTTTCATAGCACTTAGGATCTTCTAAGATTCTGCAGCATATAGTTCTTTATTGTTTTGTTTACTGCTGCACCTAGAATGAAGCCTGGTACAGTGGACACTGAATAGACAGGGAATGAATCCCTTGGGCTAGGACTCTTTGTGAGCAGAGGTCATGCTTTAATAGTTTTTGTTTCCATACAACAGGCCATGGCTGGGACCTCCCATGTGCCAGAAATAGTGCTAGGCACTGGGGACCCATCAGATTGATCAGTAGCACAGCTATTAACACAAGAGTTCACATTTATTCAGCACTCTAAACTACCAGGCACTGTTCTAGGTGCCTTGTAGGTATTGACTCATTTAATCCCTGTAACTACCCTAAATTGTAGATATTATTATCAGCCCTACTTGCAGATGGAAAAACTGAGGCATAGAGCAATTAAATAACTTTCCCAAAGTCTGTGTTGGTAAGTGACAGAACTGGGACTTAGATTCAGGGGGCCTAGCCCCAGAGCCCATACTGCCCTCAGGGAGCTCACAGACTTGTAGAGGAGACAGACATGTAAGAAGCCATGCTGTGCCACATGACTTGGGGACAATAACAAAGGCAAGGCCCAAGCATGCTTAGGAAGCAAAGTGGAGACATTAATATTAAATACAACTAGGGAGGCTGAAAAAGGCTTGTCATGAGAAGTGATATTTCACTGGGGTCTTGAAGGATGTATAGGAGTTCACCAGCTGAAGAAATGGGGAGGGTAGGAAGCAGTATGAGGGTTTCTGGGAATTATGAGGTGTCCATATGATTAAATCATGGAATGCACATGAGAGAGGGGTAAGCGGCAAAGCCAGATAAGTAGATAGGGAAGCTCACAAAATGCCAAACTGAAGAGTTTGGCCTTTATAAGGAGTTCTGGAGAGTGGGGTTTCAAGCAGGGTCGTGAATTCATTTGTTCATTCAAAGAGGAAACATTTTAAAAATGTTTACTATGGGCTAGGGAGAGTCCTGTGTTCTGGGATCTGTGTTTGGAGATCACTCCTAGCAGATAAGAAAGGTGCCTGGGTTAAATCCTGACTCCCAGCAGACTTTCTGTGGTTGTCTGTCAATGAAATGAATGAATGAATAAATTTTTTTAAATGGTTCTTATTGGTTTACCCAGCAATCTAGACATGAAACTTTGAAACATTGAGTGGAAGCTCTGACCCCCATTCCTCTACAGACCCCCACTGCATTTTTGTCTGAGCTTCCTGGCAGCCAAGGGAAAAAAGGAGATAATGGGATCTATAGCTCTCATTTGTCTTCAGGAAAAAAAAAATGTTAAGTTCTTTGAGAGAGAAATTCTACTTCCTGGCATCACCTTTTGGGAGGAATTTATCTCTTGGCGGCAAAGCAGTAGCTCTTATTTTTTCACTAAGCAGGAGCTGCAGGTTGCCTGGGAATCCCAGCCTGCCTAGATGGCAACACCACCTTGAAATGGAAAACATTGCCAGCTTCCTTTCCCAACAATAGGCCGTCACCTGCCCGGGTGTAAATACAGCTTATAGTTCAGAGGCAAGTTGCTAAGCATATGCGAGACCATATGGAGGGCCCTGGGAGGGCAGCCACCACTGATAAACACTTCCAGCAGCCAACCTGCCACTGCTGCTGCAGCCACTACTCCTCAGGGTCCCCACCGAATAGCCAGGGCCACCGCATCTGGGCCTCGGCTTGGGACAGGACACCCCACCTGGCTACTCTCCTGGGGAGACAAGGGGCCGAGTTCTGGTGACTTTCTAGGGCAGACTGGGATTTTCTCTGGGTCTTTTACATGGCAGAGGGCCCAAGGCTTGCCTGGAGTAGGGCTGGGAGCCGGTCTCTGTAGCTCAGCCCGTGCCGTCTGCCAATCTGATCATCTTTCGGCCTCAATTGCCTCCCTCTTCTTCTCCTGATTGTCTGTTTCTGACTTGTTTTCTTCCTCTCACGTTTGCTCACACTCACTCTGGCCTCTCTCTGGCTGACGCCCTCTCTGTGTCCCCACTTGTTGATTCTGTTTCTATGCCCCGTTTTTCTCCGACCCCTCCCCTTGCTCTTTGTTGCTGTTTCTCCCTCCACCTCTGCCCCATTTCTACTTCATCCTCCCCTGTGAGCTCTTCCCTTTCCCTCTGTCTCTCCACTCATCCTTGTGTGTCTCTCAGTCTCTGTGTTGCTGTTTTTCCTTCTGTCTTCTGCCAGTTCTCTTTTTCTATGTAGGTATCACGTTCTCTCTCTCTCCCTCCCCATCTCTGTGGTTTCTCCATCAAACAGCCTCTCTCTCTCTCTCGTTCTCTCTCCCTCTCCCTCCCCTGCCCTCCCTGCTCAGCTCCTGGGCCTCTGCTGTCTTTTATCACTATCAGCCCCTTTCTCTATACCTCTCACTTGTTTTTCTTTCCTGATTCTCAGAGAAGGGGGCTGGAGCCCAGGGCCCCTGTGCTGTGGGAAACACAAGGACACTTCGTGAGCTCCGAGCTCTGAGTCTATGCCTTACAGATCCCCCTTTCCTGCAGCTGGTGCTCTCCTGGCCTCTGGGACACTCACTCCCCACCTCTCCCATCCCCCACCCGATACATATACACATGGAGTGGTCCCAAAGCCCAGCCTGGCCTGCTGGCCTCTCTGTGGGCCTGGCTTCATTCCACTCGTTGCTCCTCCCACCCCCAGTGCCTGGTTTCCATGGTTACCCTGGCTCTCAGAGGCCATAGTGGATGTCTGGTCCTGGTGGCTTAGACTAACTGGGATCAGGAGCCTCCCTCCTCCTCTCTACCCTGGAGAACCCACCATAAGGCTCTAAGGGTCCACCTAGTTCTCAAAAGGATATTGCCAGTATTTGCCAGTATTTGTTTTCTAGAAAGGTTAGAATCGTGGCCAGCTCATCCCTGCTGAGGCCATGACCAAAAGGACATCGTTAGCCAAGTGTGGCTCAGACCAAGATCCAAGCTGCTGAATCCTTACTAACACTCATTCATTCAAGCAATCAAGCAAATATTGGGGGATAGAGGGCTGAATAAAGACAAGTCTCTGCCTTTGAGAAGCCCCCACAGATGATAGGAGCAGAGGGTGCTGGAAATATTGACCTCCTTGTGTCTGAGGCATCAAAAATATCCCCCAGAGGACAGGGTAACAGTTGAGCCTCAGAGGGTAAACAGGGAGAGGAGAAAGAGCTGGCTGGTATTCAAAGCAAATGACACAATTTGTGCAAAGGCACTAGGGTTGGGGACAGGGTGATGGGAAATGTGAGCTCCAAGAGGGTTGTAGCCCTGATGCCTAATTCCGTGTCTGGCAGAGTAGATGCTAAACAAATGCTGAGGGAGGGAGGGAATGAATGGATGAATGGTCTACAAGAGATGCTCAGTGATGGCTGGGAGCACAGGGGGACACGGATGGGCAGAGAGCGAAGAGCTGGGAAGATGCGTCTGGGCAGGTTTCATTAAAGACTCATCCACCCAAGCTGAAGAGTTAGAACTTCATGACTTAGCCAACTAGAGATTTGTTTGTTCCTTCCTTTGTTTTTCTTTCAGAGAAATAACACTCTGGCAGCTGTTTTGAAGATGAACATAAGTTCGAACTTGTAAATTTTACAAGTTCAGGACTAAACTCTTCATCTTCCCCACCTCCCCCCAGAACCTGCAAGAAGCAGGAAGATCCATGGCCTCATCTTTCCAGTTGATTGCAACTCCATCCTTCCAGTGCTCTGGCCAAAAGCCCTGGCGCCATCCCTGACTCATCTTTCTCTCACCCCCTACATTTGATCTGTCAGGAAATCCTGTTAGCTGCACTTGCAAAATGCGCCTGGAATCCAGCCATTTCTCGCCACCTCCTCTGCCACCATCTTCCTCCAAAACACCCTCATCTCTCCCCTGGGCTATTGCAACAGCCCCTCACTTTCAACTCTCATGCTTTCACTGCCTCCTCCTGCCTCCCCTGCTGCAGGTGTATCTCCTCTTATACACTACTCAGAGTGAGCCTGTTAAAATGTTGGTCACGTCACTTCATTCTTCAGCTTGAAACTCTGCGATGGCAGTGTCTCATGCTGAGTCAAAGTCAAAGTCTATGCAAGGTGCAAGGGCCCTGCATGATCCACCTGCTAGCTGCCCCCATCTCCTCTCTGATTTTCTCTCCTACTACACTCGGTCCCCAGGCACATGGAACAGTGAGTCCATTAAACTTCTTTTTTATTTTTTAAATAAATTACCCAGTCTCAGGTATATCTTTATCAGCAGCATGAAAACAGACTAATACAAGCAAGCCCCTAGGGTTTGGCCTACTGTTGAATGTCGAGGCAGGTTCTTGGAGGGGCCCTGAGTGCTCTCCTGGCCTCTGGGACACTCACTCCCAGGTTAAGAATCTTATTCTGTCAGAGGGAAGTTGGAAAGCTAAGCAGTCATCTTTCCCAGACTCCTTTGCAGCTAGGATCTGGGCTATGAATGAGGTTCTATAGGTAAACATGCCCCCATGAGGTGGGGAAGGAGGAAGAGAGGTGGTAGCCACCGAGCTGCAGCTGGAGCGGCCCTAGCATCTGCTCACCAGGTTCACAGGTATGTGGCAATTCCAGTGGCAGCAGCAGCTTCCGCACATCTGAGTCATATCAACAGGCATGACCTTCCAAACCAAAGTCCAGGGGCTGCCCCTGACTGCCCTTCTCCAGCCCTCCCACAGTTTTGCAACCATCTAATTTTCAGTTTTAATTCATTTGCTGCTTAAAATTCATACAGTGCTTTCCATTTCCAGCATTGAATCCTTACAGCCAGTCCTGCTGCATCCTCTGGGCTCCCTGACCCCTCTCCCTGGCCACATCCTCTCCCTTCTCCCCCTCCACAGTCTGAATAATTCCTTCTGGCTGGAGGTGTGGGTGGAGATCATTCTTTATCCATCTACCCACACGCAATCCCCAGATCTATCATCCAGGTACCTGAGTACTTCCTGCCCTTTTGAAACTTCAAGTCTGGAGTCCCTCCCTTTCTGTTCTCAGCTATCTCTGTGCCCCTCTGGGCAGGAAGTCGCATCGTCTGCATGGGTTTGTTCTGAAGGTCCTGGAAGGATTCTCCCCAGCATTCCCATTCTCTAGACTGACCTTTTTCAAAAGCATGTTCTGTGCAAGGGGTGTGAATGGGATTCTTGGAAAACAGAACTCTACCAAGCAGGAAGCTGGTAGTGACTCAACGTTAAAGGGGCTTCTTTATAGCAGGACTTC
Organism: Homo sapiens; assembly: GCF_000001405.40. Classification (NCBI taxonomy): domain Eukaryota; kingdom Metazoa; phylum Chordata; class Mammalia; order Primates; family Hominidae; genus Homo; species Homo sapiens. The sequence goes on along the minus strand of NC_000011.10, from coordinate 44,708,739 downwards.
TCAGAGCCTTTACTGTGGTAAGATAAACTGTGAAACCCCAAGAGGGATATCAGAGCACAGTGCTTGGCACAGCACTTCACACGTAGTGGTCTCTAAATTAACCACAGTCTTTGGTGACCAATTCGTGATTTTGATTCTCAATTGGGTTTAGCTTGGGTGGGATGAAGTGACACTTTTCTGTGTGCTTGAGAGTGGACAAAGCACAAGCTTTCCCTCTGGACAGGTCTGAGTGCAGATCACAGTTCCGCCGCTTACTGTGGAAAACTGACCTCGCCACTCTGAACCTCAGTTTCTTCTTCAGGGACAGGATACCTACCGCTCAGGAGGACTGAGTGGGTGAATGAAATGAAGTACACAGTGGTGCTGGATACACAGTAGCTAAGAGGGTGACCGTCGTCTGGAACCACAGCTCCTCTAATCACAGTCCAGCCCTCCGAGTTCAGCCAGGCTGACACAGTGAGGAGAGCGTGGGTGGGCCTGGCAGGCTGTGCAGGGAATCCCGAGGGACCCTTCTCCTGAATTCCAGTCGTGCCGGCGGGGCTCTTGGGTTTCAATACACAACATCACAGAGCTGCTCTGCTACCCGGACAAATTCCTATAATGGAAGGACTCAGAGATTCCCAAAGCCAATTTTCCACTCATGCTGCTGCTTCAGGTGGAAGGAGGCAGGGCCCCAGCTGGGGACTGGAGGACAAAACGGAAACAGGCTGATGTCACAAAGTAATAGTACAAACTAAGACCTATGACTACTCACTATGGGCCAGATACTGCTCTAGGCATTTTGCATTTTCTCATTTAATCCTCACAGCAAGCCAAAGAGGTAGGCGCTATTATCATTTCCGATGTGTAGGGGAGGAAGTTGAGGCTCACAGCCTCCCCTGGCAGCCTCCTCTGTGGTCTGCTGCCCCTGACTCTGAGCAAGCCCTGCCTCTCCCTGAGTCCATGATTGCTCCCACTAAATGTCCACCCCTTGGCCTTGGTTCCATGCTCGGAGTCCTCCTTGCTTCCCATGGCAATGTGGGAGGCCAAGTGGTTTCAGATTCCAGGGGTCTTGTCCCATCCAAAATTTCAGGGCCAAGGCAGCTTGAAACAGCCCAGAGAACTTGAACTTTGGAGTAGAAAGATGAGGCCTGAGTCTCAGAACCCCATTCATATGCTGTATAATGTGAGACAGGTCACTCCACTTCTCAGGGCCTTGGGGTATGACTAGGGACTGCCTTTGTCACTGGGGTGCCACACTGGTGTAGAGGCAGGTAACAAAAAGCCCAACTCAAAGTGGCCTAAAAAGCAACGAATTTCCATTTTCTCATATAAATAAAAGTCCAGAACTAGGGTGGGTAATTCACAGTTCAGCAGAGGCATCGAGGACCCAGGTACCTTTCATCTTTCTGTGTATCCATGTTTGCTTGCCTCATGGTGGCAAAATGGCTGCAGCAGCTCCAGGCAGAGCATACTCAAACAACAATGTTCATAGGCCTTCAAAGAGTGGGACTCTTCCCTTTGTTTTTTTTCTTTCAGACTGGGTCTCACTTTGTCACTCAGGCTGGGGTGCAGTGGTGCCATCATAGCTCACTGCAGCCTCAGTCTCCTAGGCTCAAATGCTTCTCCCACTTCCTAGCCTCCCAAGTAGCTGGGACTACAGGCATGCGCCACCATGCTGGACTGATTTTTTTAATTTTTAGTAGAAACAGGGTCTTCCTATGTTACTCAGGCTGGCCTCAAACTCCTGAGTTCAAGAAGTCCTCCTGCCTCGGCCTCCCAAAGCATAGGGATTACAGGCATGAGTCACCACATCCAACCTGCTTCTTTATAAGAGAGAGGAAAACCTCATTAGTACTGCCTTTGTACCTCATTGGCCAGATTTGCACACGCAGCCTGGCATCATGCTTGGTGTCTGAGCTTGCTAGAGCTGCTCTGACCAAGTCCCACAGCCTGGCTGGCTTAAACAACAGACATTTCCATCGTCACAGATCTGGAGGCCAGAAGTCTGAGATCAAGGTGTGAGCAGGGTTTGTTTCTTCTGCTGCCTCTCTCCTTGGCTTGTAGACAGTTGTCTCCATGCCATGCTTTCACACAGTCTTTCCTCTGTGCGGGTCCATGTCCCAGTCTCTTCTTCTAAGAACATAAGTCATATCGGATAAGGACCCATCCTAGTGGACTCATTTTAATGTATTATCTCTTTAAAGACCTTAACTCCAAATACAGTCAAATTCAGAGGTACTGGAGGTTAAGACTTCAGCATGAATTTGGGGAGGAGAGAATTCAGCCCCTCACACCTAGTAATAGCTCAATAAACATGAGCTATTAGTATTTGTGTTGGCATTTGAATTCACATTTATGTTTTTTAATTGTTGCATTCTCTGCCACTACAATGGAAATGGACTTATTTATTTATGAGATGGAATCTCACTCTGTCACCCAGGCTGGAGTGCAGTGGCACGACCTTGGCTCACTGCAATTTCCGTCTCCCGGGTTCAAGCGATTTTCCTGCCTCAGCCTCCCAAGTAGCTGGGATTACAGGCTCGCGCCACTGTGCCTGCTAATTTTTGTATTTTTAGTAGAGATGGGGTTTTGCCATGTTGGCCAGGCTGGTCTTGAACTCCTAACCTCAGGTGATCTGCCTGCCTCAGCCTCCCAAAGTGCTGGGATTACAGGTGTGAGCCACCGTGCCCGGCTGGAAATGGACATAACTGCTCTATCTAACCAAATTGTTTAAATTCAGTGGATGGCAGCCAGGACTGATGGATGGAAGGTACCAGAGCAGTTCCTTCCCTTCAGGGCCAGGCTATATCTTTGCTCTGAGCGACAGTGGGGTAGCTTCTTTTCAGTGATTCCCAAGAACCCAGAATTCCTCCTCACCTCAGTTTCTTAGAGGGAGAAGGCAAGGAGTGGAGGAAGAGGTGCAGCCAGGCTGGACTGAAGGGTCAGAGGTGCTTTTCACGGCCTTACCCTCAATGACCAAAAGCTAGCATTCATCCAATCATTCATTCAGCAAATATTTATTGAGTGCCTTGGGGTAGGCCAGCACTATTCTGGGTACTAGTGATTCGGTGGAACAAACAATGCCTCTGTCCTTGTGTTCATAATCTATTGAGGGGGACAGACAATGAAGAAACCAAAACTGATATCATATAACGTCAGCACTGTGATGAAAAGAGAAGCGGGGTAAGGGGATAGAAAATGGGAGCGGGGGCCAGGTGCAGTGACCCATGCCTGTAATCCCAGAACTTTGGGAGGCCAAGGTGAGAGGATCACTTGGGCCCAGGAGTTCCAGACCAGCCTGGGCAACATAGCAAGACTTTGTCTCTACAGAAAATATATTTTTCTTAAAAAATTAGCCAGGCATGGTGGTGCATGCACGCCTGTAGTCCCAGCTACCCAGGAGGCTGAGATGGGAGGACCTGAGCCCAGGAGGTTGAGGCTGCAGTGAGCTGTGATTGTGCCACTGCACTCCAGCCTGGGTGACAGAGTGAGACCCTGTCTCAAAGAAAAATGAAGAAAAGAAAAGAAAAAAAGAAAAAGAAAACAGGAGGGGAAAAAACAAAGGGGGAAAATAAAGAAAATGGGAGGGGGAGTGGTATTTAAACAGGGGGACCCAGGGCCCTCTAAGAGATGACACTTGAGCAGAGGCCGCAGGAAGTGAGGAGGGAGCCCCAGCTGCAGGACTGGGCTCCAGGCTGTGGGAACTACACACACAAGAGCCCCGGGAGGACAATTCACAGCCAGAAGCCAGAGTGGCTGGAAAGGAGTGAGCAAGGAGCAAAAGACTTTGGCTTTTACTTCTAGTGGGAAGGGAAACCACTGGACAGTTTTCAAAAGGAAATGTTGGGCCAGGCGCGGTGGCTCATGCCTGTAATCCCAGCACTTTGGGATGCCAAAGCAGGTGGATCACCTGAGGTCAGGAGTTTGAGACAAGCCTGACCAACATGGGGAAACACCACCTCTGCTAAAAATACAAAAATCAGCTGGGTTTGATGGCGCATACCTGTAATCCTAGCTACTCGGGACGCTGAGGCAGGATAATCGCTTGAACCCAGGAGGCAGAGGTTGCAGTGAGCTGAGATCGTGCCATTGCACTCCAGCCTGGACAACAAGAGCAAAACTTCGTTCCCCTCCCCCCTCAAAAAAAGGAAATCTCATGGTATGATTTAGGGTGGGCAGAATGGGAGGGCTCATACTTACAGGTGCTTGTAAGAATCAAGTGAGCTCATTCATAAAAAGACTTACATGAAGAGTACCTGGCACAAAGTAAGTGCTACGTGAGATTTTCTATCATTATGATTGTTATCCTCATTTTATGGAAGAAGAAACTGAGGCTTCAAGTGGTAACTAACTAGCCCAAGATCAATCACTGGTAAGGGGTGGAGCCAGTCTGTTACCAGAGCCTGGGCTCTGCATTGCTACAGATTGGAAGTCCCACAGACCCATGTCCAAATCTTGGCCCTGCCACTCATTAGCTGTGACCTTGAATGATTAACTTCTCATGGTTCTGTTTCTGCATCTATCAAATGGAGGCATGGCTGACAACCTCTAAGATGGTCCCAGTGACCCTGCCTCCTGGTGTTCATGGCCTTTTGTAATCCTCTCCACTGAGTCACTAACTTACTTCTAATCAATAGAATACAGCAATGTTGAGGATGTTACTTTGTATCTGCTTACGTTACAAAAGATTGTGAGTTCCACCTTGCTAGCAGACTCTACCACCTTCTGCTTGTGGACTTTGAAAAAGCAAGTGTGTGTGGGGGAGAGGCCCACGTGATGAAGAGTTAACAGCAGCCTCTGGCCACAGCCCAGAGATAACTGAATTCTGCCAACAACCACTGACTAAGCTGAGAAAGAGATCTTTTCCCATTCAAGCCTTCAGATGAGACCACAGCCCTTGCAGACGACTTGATTGCAGCCTTGTGAGAGACACTGAAGTAGAGGACCCTGTTAAGTCATGCCCAGGTTTCTCACCCACAGAAGTTGTGAGACAATAAATGAGTGCTGTCTTAAGCTACTAAGCTTTGGGGTGATTTGTTACACAGCAATAGATAACTAATACAGGGGTGATACTTGTGCCTGCAACTGACAGTCACTGGGGACAAACACAGTGTTTTGTGTAAAGTACGTAGCTCCATGCCTGGCCCCAAGTGAGTTCTGAATAAATGGTAGCTGTTTTAATTTTAATAATTAAGCCCTCCCAGAGGGCAGATGACAAGTCTGCTCTACCTGGACTCTGAGCCTGAACAATGCCTAGGGTTTGCTAAGATCTAGGTCCAGAAAGGCCAGGCTCAAACAGTTTGCTCTGAGGACAGGAACATCCCTGGGCCTTTCGCTTTGCTCCCCACATTCCAGGGCCTCTTAGTCATCCTGATGTCCATGTCATGGCAGATCCCATGTTTTGCACCCCAGTTTCACCCTTAGAGGGGCCCCAAAACTGGTGCTGCACCCTCCTTCCCATTTCCTGGCCACCTCTGGAAGGCCCCAGATTACCCCTCCCAGTCCAGGAGAGGAAGAGGTTGAAGGACGGGAAGAGGACACAGCCCAGCCAGAGGCTAGGAGTTGGGCTCGGCCAGGCCTCTCCTTCAAAGGCAGCCTCTCGATGTTGGAGGCATCCAGACAGCAAGCAGGCCCCAGGCACTGGCCCTGGCTACAGAGTTTCATCCTCAAAGCCAGAGCTGTCTCCTGCATAGCTGTTGGCATGGGACCCATCCCCACCCCACCTCCCCACCCCCCCACACACTGTGAGTCATCGACTCCATTAAGGCCTATGGCCATGACCATTTCTCTTGGAGATTAGCAGCCAGGCCCCCCCAACCCCTGCCTAGGGCCTGCCACTCTCTCAAAGGCAGGACACACCATAGCCAGGCACCTGGACTGTCCTCTGGCCTCCACCAGCACACACCCTGGGCATGCGATGGGGTCTCTTGGTGTCCTGCTCTCTCTCTCTGTCACATTGCCGTGTTGTCTAGCTCTCCCTCATCTCTCTGCTGTTTCTATCTCTGTTTCTTTCTCTCTCTCCCTCCCTCCCTGCCTCACCCCCACATCTCTCTTTCCCTGCCACTACTTCGATACTGCTATTACTGCATCACTCTCACTCTGCCCCCTCTCTTCAGGGAGACTTCCTCCCTACACCTCCCACTCCCTAAAGCTGCCTGTGCTTCCCTGTGTGACTCCTGAGCCTACCCCTCAGCCATCTCCACTGCCCATCTCCACTGCCATCTCCACTGCCCAAGTGCCATCTCCCCCGAGAAGCCCACTCTCAGTTCTTCCTCCTCCCTTACCCCAAACAGAATGCAGTCTCTCTCTACCTTTGGTCATATGATTTGTGGGTAGGATATCCATCCACTCCACTGCCTCATCTACTCCCATGCTAGCTCTGCCAGCCTCAAGGGCAGTGGCAAACACCAACCTGGCTCAGGTAGGTGTTCAGGAAACCTTGAAAAGGGAAAGAGAGACAGGGAAGAGAGAAGAGACACAGATAAGAAAGTAAAGATGCCAGATGAACTTATTGAGCACCTAGTGTATGCCAGGCACTGTTCTGGGTGCTGAAGAATTATCAGCTACCTCAGGTAGCAGGGGAAATGGATGTGAGTATGAAATTGTCGTTGTCATAAGTATCATAGAAAGAGAAGACCAGGGCTGTGGGAGGCCATGGGCCATGTTCCTTACACTGGATTTTGTGGGGGTGTTTGAGAAGGCTTCCCGGAGAATGTTGTTTCTAAGCTGGGACCTGAAGAATGAGTCAGGAAGGTGAAGAGGAAAGGTAGATGCAGTGGAAAGAAGGAGAAGAGGAAAGGTAGATGTGGTGGGCAGAAGGAACAGAGAATGGAAGGCTCAGAGGCAGGGAGGCAGGAGGAGTAGATGGATGGATGAGTGGGTGGGGGAACGAAGGTTTGGATGGATTCGGGGAGGACTGATCCAATGGGCAGGTGGGTCATTGCACAACCTGCTTGGCCAACTGCAGGGTCAGAGCAGCAGGCAGAGGGGAGGGTCCTGGGTCATGTCCTTGTCCTCTGTGTGGCCCTTTGATCATCTCCCAGGCAGACACTGATGACCCCTGTCCACCCCCTCAGCCACACAGCCCAGACCCTCTGGCCTCAGCCCCTTCTGATCCTCTCCTGGGGGTCCTGGAGATAGGGTTATTTGTAGATGATAACCTCCCTGCCCCACATCCCCTACCCCCCGACTCAGACACTTGCCTTTCTCTGGCCACTTCCTTCTATTCTTCTGCCCTGTGTGTGGAGGGGGAGGCAGCAGCCCTGGCTCCAGAGAAGCCTGCCCCTCCTTTCTTTCCTCCTTATCTCTCTCCTGGCCATGTTTCCTGCCCAAGGAGACAGAAATAAAAACGCAGGCCCTCCTGCAAGTGTTAGTGATTCTGGGAGCAGGGCTGTCAGGGTCTCCAGGGCAGGGGCCCCCATTCAGCCTGTTCCCATTGCCAGTGTGAGATGCCCAGATGTGGGGCACCCAGGCCTGGGATGCCCAGGCATGGAGTATCCAGGTATGTTGAATGCCCAGGCATGGGGCATCTACATGTGGGGTATCCAGGTGTAGGGGCTCCAGGTGTAGGGCTGGGGTGGAGATGATGGCGTATGGCATGGCTAAGAGCATGAGATTTGTCTGTGCCTGGCTCTGCATCCCTGGATGAGCCACAGTCTCCCTCAGTCTTGGTTTTCCCATCTGTGAAATAGGGCCCGTGGCAATGCACATCTCCCAGGGCTAGTGTGGGAATTAAGGGAGACGCTGGAAGTCACAACATGACTGAGGAGGTTTCACTTCTTTTATTAAGGCCAGACAGTTCCTTGAGGAGCGCTGTAGGGAGAGAAAGAGGGTGCTGGCCAGGCCTGCAGGACCTCTTGCAGGGCAGGGTGGGGGTGGGCTGGAGGGTGCATCTCCAACCTGCTGAGCTCAGGTCTGGCGCTCCCTCCCCTGGGCCTGGGGATTGCTGGGGAACACATGCCTCTGGCATCCTGCCTCTGGCTTCCAGGAAGGACTCGGCTCCAGGCTGCCTCCTCCTCCCTCCACTCCCACCCCTAACAGCCCCAGCATACACACACACACACACACACACACACACACACACACACAGCAGAGATGGAAGGATCTCCCTCCTACCATCCTCTTACAGAGAGTGGGGGAAAGGTCCACGGAGACCCCCAATCTCTACCCCTGGCTTGCACTAGGAGCCTGACATACCCCTTCCTAGCTAGGTGGCTCAGAGAGGACTAATGACCTTCTCGATTACTTTACAGAAGACCAGGAAGACTGGCATCAAAGGAGAGAGACTCAAATAGGGGGTTTCAGGCAGCAGGGGCATTTCTGAGTACTCACTGAGCATTTCTCCCTTGATGTCCTTCTCTCTCAATTTATTCATTCAACAAATGTTTTCAAGCAGGTACTATGTGCCACACACAGTGTGGCTACGGAAGAGACCAAAAATAGGACAGATCCTGGCTCTATTTTAGGAAACAGAAAACTAGCAGGTCAAGTTACCAATGATGGCTGTTGCAACAGGAATAAGTAGAGAGCTTGGATGGGAAATAAGGAGGTGACAGCTACTGTAGACAGGGAGGTCAGGCAGGCTCTCTCAAGAGGGGACATTTAGCAGGAGCCCCAGCCATACTTAAAGCCGAGGGTGACTGTTCCGGGCAGACGAAGTAGCAGTGGAGATGCAGTGTTGGGGAAAGAGTTCAGATTCAAAATGTCTTCACCCAGATCCCAGGTCTGCTTGAATTTGTTTCTCCTCCAGCCGTTACCTGTTTTCCAAGGTCATTCGAGGCTCCTCCTCACCCTGGACCCACAGCCTGTTTGTTGTGAGGCTGCTAATTCTGCCTCTGAAAGGGCTCTGCTGTCTTGCTCCCACCCACATCCCTGGCCTGGATTGTGGAGACGCACGCTCACTGGAGGCACACCCTTGCCTCACCCTCCCAGTTCACTCTCCTCCCTGCTCCCAGGGATTGTTCTAAAACCAACACCTTCATGGAGCTACTCCGCTCAAAAACCTCCCATGGCTCCCCATTGCCTACCCAGCCCAACCACACTGCTTGACCGTGCCTCTCTGGTTTCACAATCACAGCACAGCCTGCTTGTCCAGACCTATGTCCCCACCACCACCCCCTGCCTCTCACAGACCCTGAACCTTTCATGCTGCCTTGTCCTCCATGCCTTTGCTCATGCAGTTCCCCCGCCTGGAATGCCATTCCCTCGCTCCTCCACCATCTCTACCCCAGGCTTAGCTGTGGTGCTCTTGCTCTCTGCTCACTCCTCTGCTGCATATCCCAGCATGCCATATGTTCCTCTGTCTGAATCTGCGCCATGCTGTATAGACAGGGGGGTCTATGCATTGGCAACCCCCAGCTGGGATGCCTTTCTCATATTTGGGTCCCCAGTGCCACTGCAGGCCCAATGGACACGCGGGAAGGAAGTATAGCAGACTGCGTGGACTTAAGACAACTTCCGGTGAGGGTCCTGGCTCAGCCATTTCACCTCATCTGTAAAAAGGGGATAATGTTAGTACCTCTTATATCAGATTGTTGAGATGATTAAACGACACATTCAGTTGAGTGGCACTGCCCCCAGGGATGATTTGGAAATGAATGGGGGGCATTTTCGATTGTCACAAAGATAAGGTCAGGTGGGGAGTACCACTAAACTGAGCAGGTGGTGGGTCTGGGAAGGCAGGTGATTAGTTAAGAGGGAGATGGTCTTTGGGAGGCCGAGGTGGGTGGATCACCTGAGGTCAGGAGTTTGAGACCAGCCTGGCCAACATGGTGAAACCCCCGTCTCTACGAAAAACACAAAAATTAGCCTGGCATGTTGGCACGCACCTGTAGTCCCAGCTACTCAGGAGGCAGAGAATCGCTTGAACCCAGGAGGCAGATCATCGCTTGAACCCAGGAGGCGGAGGTTGCAGTGAGCTGAGATCGCACCACTGCACTCCAGTCTGGGTGAGTGAGACTGTCTCAAAAAAAAAAAAAAAAGTGGGATCATGCAGCCCAGTGAGGAACTGTCCCCACAAGCCACGTGACTTTCACACGCCCTGCTGGACATTCATGTAGGGAAGAAAATATGTTTATCATTATGTGAGTCTAGACTTTAGCTCTGCTTTACATGTAAATATAAAGCATTTTTCCACACTTTGAATATATACTGAATTTTCAAGGATGCAACTAAAGACAAAAACAAGAGAAGAGAACTCTATATTTAGTTTTATTCAGAACATGCCAAGAACTGCTCACAATTTTGGAAACGTGCATCTGACAGTGACATGATTAGAACGTTGGCTTCTCGGCTCAGTGCCCCACGTTCCTGTACATCTGTAGCTGTCCCCTTGATGGTGGTCCTGCGCAGGCTGCAAGCCCCTGACTGCTTCCTATGTCTTCCAGAGCAGCTGGGCCTGAGTGCTTACTTGTTCAAGTACAGTTTTTATTTTACGGGACATTCTTTATATTTCCTATTTATGTTACAGATAGGACATTGTATATGGTTATTTTTAAAAATCGTGCCTGTAGGTAGGTTACAACATCCATGGGGTTTATTTCAGAATATTAATGGGAATGTTATGCACCATCCACATAGAAAGAAGGTGTCAGGCATGTGAGGATCTGGAAGCAGGGTTGCAGAGTATTTATGAAGTGGTGAGAATTTAGACACTATTGCTAGGGACTTAACACACATTTGATGGGTGAGTGAATGAATGGATACAGGTTGGTGAAAGAAGCTCTCTAATGCCCCTTTTATTACCACTCACAGGTGAGCTAATGCTTGGGACTGCCTGGAACTATCTGCTCCCGGTTCTAGGACCTTCTATGAAGCGAGCTAAGCACAAGCCTTTCTTGGCTCCAGCAGCCAGTTGGCTTCTTGCTGGGTTGGGAAGCTGCTCAGGGCAACTTCATCCCTGCTTTGGAGGCCCACCTGGATATGAAGGCCCAGCCAGGATTAGATCCAGGCGGCTCTGGGATTTTTGCAACATTCGATAATAGGAGTGGAATTCCCGCCCAGGCCTGGTCAGGAGTGAGAGGAAGGGACAGTGTGATTCTAGGTGTCATATTCCTGCCTGCTGGGAATCAAAATCATCACATTTGCTTCAAGTTTATTTCATTTACATATTTTCTCGTTATAAGTAATACATGCTTGCTGCCCAAAGAACTCTAATTGGAGTAGGCGTGTGGACTTCTCTGTTCCATCTCCTGTTTCTTACTAACATAGAGAGCAAGTGCTTTCTTTGAACTGTTACTGATTTATAAATGACTTACCGTCATTTATTTGTTTTCAATTTGTTAAAAACTTTTCTCATGGAACGAACCTATGCATATGGTTAAAAAATAATAAAAAGTAAGTTTCTCTGTTCTCCTAAACACTCCAAGTTTGTTTTTCATTGTTATTTATTTAAAAAAAATTTTTAAGTGACAGGGTCTTGCCATGTTGTCCAGGCTGGACTTGAATTCCTGGGCTCAAGCAGTCCTCCTCCCACCTCAGCCTCCCAGGTAGCTGGGACCTCAGGCACGCATCACTGTGCCCAGCTTGTGTGTTTTTTTTTTTTTTTTTCACACTAAATCATAGAAAATACATTTCTGGCTGAGCTTGGTGGCTCACGCCTGTAGTCCCAGCATTTTGGGAGGCCGAGGCAGGAGGATTGCCTGAGCCCAGGAGTTTGAAACCTGCCTGGGCAACATCAAAAGACCTTGTCTCTAAAAAAAAAAAATACAAAAATTAGCCAGGCATGGTAGCACTCGCCTGTAGTCCCAGCTACTCGAGAGGCTGAGATGAGAGTATTGCTTGAGCCCAGGAGGTTGAGGCTGCAGTGAGCTATGATCATGCTACTACACTCCAACCTGGGTGACAGAGAGGGACCTTGTCTCAAAATCAATCAATCAATTAATTTAAAAAATACATTTCTGTTTCTTCATTTATCCACTCTAGGCACTGTCTACTAGTGACTCTCCATAAAAGGTGAGGAAATTAACAATCAGTCCCGAATGTTTGTTGACTATGTGATTTTATTTCATATTGGGAAGATTAACAACATTTACATTCTATTTTATTTCTATAACTATGATTGGTTGTCCAAAGTGACAGCTAATAACCAGCATTTTTGGTAACAGTGAATACTTACAAAGTCCTTAGCCATATCCTGGTGTTGTTCAGAGCACTTCACTCAGAGGCTAACTTGTTTAATCTTCACAACAACTCCAGGAGACAGCAACTGTTATTAACCCCATTATGTAGATGAGGAAACTGAGACATGGAAAAGTTAAGGAATTTGCTCAAGAAAGCTCAGCTTATACATGGCAGAGTGGGGACTGGAACCTCGGCCGGTCCCAGGGTCTGCGTTCTTAATCACCACATTGTACTACCTCTCTGGGACTATTTCAATATTACATTTTTCTGAAGCATGGCCGCACCCCTTAGATGACTTGAGCCTCTCTTCTTCCCGTGTTGCAGGTGGAGAAACATGGGGCTAAATGATGATCTTGAAAAGGGCCCTCACTCGTGAGCCTTCGCCATGTGCCAGTCACTATGCTGAGCACCTTGCAGGTGAGAACGTGATTAACCTCACGGTAAGCTCCCACGTGGGGCCCATTGCCATCCTCTTTTGCGGACGAGGTCACCGAGGGACACAGACTTTAAGTAATCAGAAGGGGAGAAGCCGGGTCTCACACCTGGGTTCATCTGGCTTCATGGAGCAGGCCCTGAATTAGGAGTCAGGCTATGAGCCATCACTCACTGTAGGCCCTGGGACAGGGAATCTAACCTGTCTGGGCTCTGGGTTCCCCAACGTAAGGGTTAAGCCAGTCCCACAGGGCCACCTGGCTCTAGGACTCTACGGCTCTGCTTGACCCCGCTTTGCTGGGTAAACACATGCCAGTCTCTCACTAGCCAGCCTTGGAAGCTTCAGCTCTGAGAGGGGGATAATAATGACCCTCCACATAAAACCATGGGAAGACTAAATGAGATGACCTGGGTCATGCCCTGAGGACATGATAATAATGAGGAGGAGGAGCAGGAGGAGTCAAACAGCAGGACCCTGTCCACCCCAGCCTGCTGCCCTGCCCTCTACGAGTCCCCCAGAGACAGCCTCCTTTCCCCACTCCTTCAGCTGAGGTGGGGCTGGAGATTCCAGCCTGTGGCTCCAGACCGTGGGAGGAAGTGAGAATGTCCTTTCTCATCAACTCTTGTTCTTCCAGGAGCTTCAGGTCCAGGCCTTGGGGGTCAGCAGGGCAAGCCTGAGCCCTGTGGTGCTGTGGGAAGACTTGGTTCAAGTGACACTGAGCCTGGGACAAAGTGCGGTTGATGGCTCTTGTTTTCCCTGGCCCTTCAGATTGCCTTTGGGAAACCACCCAACCCTCACTCCCCTCCACCCACGTGCATTGCATGGGGCTAATTCTACCCCAGGCCCTGACTCCAAGTATGATCACCTGATCCAGACCTGGCCAATCAGCCTGTTCTGTCCCCCAGGCCACAGTGATTTGTTTAGGGATGATCATGTGACCTACAGAAAGCTTCAGGATAGTGGCTTCCTTGGGTAGGGGAGGCTGATGGTCAGACAGGGAAGAAGCCCACAGACAGATGCAAGTGCTGGTTAATGTTCTGATTCTTGTGTTGGATGACCAGGTCTTGGGTGTTTATTTATATAAATAAACAGAGGAGAACCGTTTATGAACCTATGGCAAGAGGATGGCGTGAATAAGGGATCATGATTAATAGAATTCAGAGACAAAGGGAGAGAAAACAAACAAAAAACACCTCTGGAACTTGTTGGAGCTCTTGGAAAAGAAAAGCTGTGAGTGGATGTTCAAGAGGGTAACCTAGGGCCTCATGCATTGGGGCATTCAGAAGTTTCGTACTGGATCAAAAACAACGAATGAAGCCTGCAGTGCAGAGAAAACATTGTGATATGAGGGTAAGTAGGAAACACATCTAGACAGCAGCCCTGGCCCTAGGTCACACTGCAACACTGTAAGCATTATATCCCAGTGGGGACAAGGACTGAGGGGTCAGGGAGAACGAGGACAGTTAATTTACAGAGAAGCCCAGCTGGTGGGGGATTGTGATTTGGTTTCGTTTTCCATTAACGTGGTTTGTGCGGCGCAGGTATGCAAAGGCGGCCCCACGTGAGTGAAGCACGCACCGTGTGCACCACTCAGCATCGTCACACATCCTGACATCCTGACAGGAGTCCTGTGGGCCTTTTGTGATGCCCAATTTATAGACAAGGAAGTCAAGGCCTAGTGCAGCAGAACATGCTGCAGTAGGGCCGGGAATTGAACTCAGATCTGCCCGCCTCTCAGCCTTCCCCTGTGGGAAGCCCTCTCAGGTTGGAGGACTGTGAGGCAACTTCTTTTGCAGGCCCAGCACATGCTGTGGAGCTGGTGCAGACACCTGGTTTCTGCATCTTGGGATCTCACACCCTCAGGCTGGGGGAAGCAGGGGAGGAGGCTGGTAGGTTGTGGGGGAAAAGATTTTAACTCTTTTATATCCCCCCACCTCAGTCTCCACTCAGGCAACCCCATCCCAACGTCTGCCCAGTCCAGGTGAGAGCTTGAGACTTGGCACTGGCTCAGAACCAAGGGCAGACCCTGAACAGGGGCATCCGGGCAGAGCCCCTACCCCCCATGCACTCCCTGCCCTCCCCAGCTCCCAACTCGGGGCCCCTTCCCTAGCCCCCAGCCCAGGGCCTGCTGCAGCTCCCCACTCATCACCTGAAGTGGGATTGACTACCCCCACCCCAAAGAGGGCAGCACGTGCGGCAGCCCTGATGGGAGAAGCAGACGGGCGGCCTGATGGAGCTCTGGAGAGGGAGGTGTTGAGTGAGGTGGGAGGGGATTGAGGCCGGCAGAACTAATGGCATTAACAGGCCCTCAGGGTGGACAGGGCTAAGCTCTCATCCTGGGGCCCTGGAAGCAGATAAAATGTGGGACTAGATGCTGGAACATATGCCCTGTGAGTCCTGCCTTCTTCACTTAAGCCACGCAGTGTCCTTGTGCAGGCAGGGGTTAGCTATGACATTAATAATCATAAAAAGACCAGTGGTCACTGCCATCTGCTGATCCTTATCAGGCACAGTTGTAAGGGCTGCTCCTGCCTGGTCTCAGGCTTTGCAAGGTCTCTCTGAGGTGGTGATTATGTTGTCCCCATTTTGTCTCAGATACAACCAGAGAGGGTAAGTCATTGGCCCAGTGCCACAAAGCATCTAACCCAGGTCAGAAAGGATCCATAGCCCACCCCTTTAATCTCAATGGCTATGTGACTCTCCAACTTCAGTGTTCATCAGATCATTTGAGGTGCTGGTAAAATGCAGGTTCCTGGGCCCCACCTTTATCCACTGAATTGGGATGCAAGGGGAATGAGACTTTGGAGACCATTTTTTTCAGGCAGAGTCTCACTTTGTCACCCAGACTGGAGCTCACCCAGAGCTCACTGCAACTTCTACCTTCTGGGCTCAAGCGATTCTCCTGCCTCAGCCACCCAAGTAGCTGGGATTACAGGCATGCACCACCATGTCTAGCTAATTTTTGTATTTTTAGTAGAGATGGGGTTTCACCATGTTGGCCAGGCTGGTCTCAAACTCCTGGCCTCAACTGACCCACCCGCCTCGGTCTCCCAAAGTCCTGGGATTACAGATGTGAGCCACCATGCCCGGTCTGGAAGCCATATTTTTGACAAGTGCCCCAGTTGATTCTAGTGATCAGGCATGTTTGGGAACTCCTGCACCAGGCTGTCGAAAGGACTAGTCAGAGAGAGGTGGAAAGCACCCAGTCTGCAGTGTCAGGCTTCTAAGGCTGTGGCTCATGAATAATGGAAGCAGGGGCCCTCCATGACGTCTCAGAAGGGGTGGACAAGAGGCTGCCCCAGGGCTGGTGGAGGTGGAGGACTGTCACCTCCCCACCTTCCCTGTGCCCCTTTTGGCTGCCTGTACAGAGCAGGAGGTCAAAGGCCTTGTCTAAGGACGTGGCAGGAGGGCCTCTCAGGGGCCCAGTCAATCAGTGGGGTATCTGTCAGCCCCTGGGGTGAGGCCGGGTCGGGGAAGATGGCAGACGGACACCCCCCACCCCAGGCCTCTCCCTGGGGCCAGGCAAGAGCTATCCAGCTCATCTTCCCGGGGGCTCCTGCTTCCCCCTTCCCACCCTGCCAGTCCTGCGTTGCCATCACCCGTGACTCCCAGCTGGTCACCTCACCACAGCAACAGTCCTGCTCCCTGGCAAAACAGGCACAGCAGGGGCAGAATCCTGACAGAGTCACCCACATCCACAGTCACAACCACGCTGATGGACAGACGGGGTGCTGTGTGACCCGCACCTAAACAAAGGGGAGACTGAGACCAGAAAGCTAGGCGGGGCCTGCATTGCAGAAGGGCACCCAACTCAAGGGTCAGGTTGAAATCCTGCCCAGCCACGCGCTCTGACATGGGGCTGTGTCTTTAGGGCTGGGGGTGGAAGGGGCCTATTTTTCAGGTGATATAAGAGCACTGGGGTGGGAGGGTCCCGTCTGCAGGAGGAGCCCAGGACTTGCCCAGGGTCCATCCCCTAGTTGCCGAGTGGTACTGGGTCTCCAGACTCCTAGACCCTTTGTTTGGATCAACCAGTCAGTTCAAACTGCTTTAACCCACAGAATGCTTATTTCAAATAATTTCTTTTTGTTTGTTTTTTTGTTTTTGAGGCAGAGTCTTGCTCTGTCACCCAGGCTGAAGTGCAGTTGCACCATCTCAGCTCACTACAACCTCTGCCTCCCAGCTTCAAGCAATTCTCATGCCTCAGCCTCCCGAGTAGGTGCGCGCCACCACAACCAGCTAATTTTTTTGTATTTTTAGTAGATACAGGGTTTCACCATATTGGCCAGGCTGGTTGAACTCCTGACCTCAGGTGATCCGCCCGCCTCGGCCTCCCAAAGTGCTGGGAATACAGGTGTGACCCACTGCACCCGGCCTCAACTAATTTCTTATACAAAGTAATAAATAATAACCCTAGCCAACAATGTTTGAGCATGTCCTATGTGCCAGGCCCTTCTCATGGATAATCTAATTTATGACTAAAAATAATCTTACGAATAGCCATGATTATTGCCATTTTATAGAAACATAAACTAAAGTGTCAATAAAACAGGCAAAAATCATGCTGCCACTGACTCCAGGGGGGCCACCCCCACATCTCCAGACTCCAGGGGTTCCTTGGAGCACAATTTGAAAACCAGTGCACAGCAATCTTCAGCATATTTGTACCAGAATCAGAAAACACGTCAGAACGATGCACCATGTGAAGTTTAATTAGGGATACTTCCTCCTGCAGTTTAAGCAGCTTCCTAGGGTCTTGCCATCCCTACCTCACCACCACCACCGTCGCTTTCCAGTCTTAGTAAAGAATGGAAATGCTCACCTATTATTTCATCTGCCTAGGCTCCAGCCGGACCAGTTTTTCTGGGCTCCTACCTTCTCCCAAGTCGATCTCATGCTTTTAGGAGGGTTGTCCTGCTCTCATATGATCCCACTCCCTAAATCACAGTTTACTGGCCTCTTCAGAATTCTTCCACAGGTTGACTGGAATGGAGGAGTCTTCCCGCCTAGTGATGGGGCTGCTAGACGGGGCTCTGGAGGGTTCACTGGCCATGTCCCCGACCTGTGGAGGACTCAGTCTGTAAGGAGAGGGTATGAGGACAGCCCACAGAAAGAGTAGAGACTCCTGAGGCATGTGATGTCCTGCTTCTGGCCCCTGAGATCCAGCAGCATCCCAATCCTTCTCACCAGCTGTTCGCTTCTTTCTTGTGCTGGCCTAGCTAAGCAAATCCAATTTCTGTTGCTTGCCACCAAAGAAAAGGAGGGGGTGGGGTGTAGGAATAGAAGAACCAAGCTGCTTCCCAGGTTGTAGCTGTGTCACTCAGTACAATTTTAGCCGACCACTCAGCAGGCATTCTTGCCTTTCTGTTTTTCCTGGCAGAACCTGCATCTCAGCCAGCCAGGTTTCCTTGCAGGTTCAGAACTGGCATGGCATGAACCTTACTTAGCCAATGAGATGTACGAGGGAGCCTGGTGGTGGGGTGGTAGTTGGGGGTTCCTGGGAAGGTTTTCCTTGTTATTCAAAGGGGACATGAGATAGGGCCTGTGAAGAGATGGATCTTTGTCCCCAGGTATCTGTTTTCCCCTTTTTGCCTCTATAAACAGTATGTATGTATGTATGTATGTATGTATGTATGTATGTATGTATGTATTTATTATTTTTGAGACAGAGTCTCACTCTGTAGTCCAGGCTGGAGTACAGTGGTATAATCTTGGCTCACTGCAACCTCTGCCTCCCAGGTTCCAGCAATTCTCCTGCCTCAGCCTCCTAAGCAGCTGGGATTACAGGCACGCACCGCCATGCCTGCCTAATTTTTGTATTATTTGTAGAGATGGGGTTTCACCCTGTTGGCCAGGCTGGTCTTGAACTCCTGACCTCAGGTGATCCACCCAGCTTGGGCTCCCAAAGTGCTGGGAATATAGGCGTGAGCCAAGGCGCCTGGCCTTAGGAATAGTTTTTAGATGGGCATGTGGCTGCCCAGCCAAAAACTGCATTTTCCAGGCTCCCTTGTAACTAGATGTGGCCATGCAGCCATGTTCTAACCAACAATATGAGTAGAAGCCATGTGTGCAACTACCGTGTGTACCCACAAAAGGAGGGGCATGTTCTCCCCTCCCTTTCCTCCTCCTCCCTGATGAATAGAGTACAGTCATGTGCCACATAAAGATGTTTCGGTCAATAACAGACCTCATGGAAGACAATGGTCCTATGAAATTACAGTACTGTATTTTTACTATACCTTTTCTATGTCTATATGTGTTTGGATACACAAATACTGTGTTACAATTGCCTGCAGTATGCAGAACAGGGACATGCTGTACAGGTTTATAGCCTAGGTGCAATAGGCTATACCATCTAGCCTAGGTGTGTAGCAGGCCGTACCATCTAGGTTTGTGTAAGTACACTCTATGATGTTCAGACAACAATGAAATCTTCTAATGACGCATTTCTTAGAACATGTTCCCATTGCTATGCAACACATGACTGTACTTACATGATGAGCCACCTCCAGCTTTGCAATAAGGGCAACAAGATATGGAAACCTAGTCCTCAATACCACTGGGCTGCCATGTTAAACCTGAACTAGCCTGGGACCGTAAAAGAACAGGAAAATACATTTCTATAGTGCTTAATCCACTGCTATTTTGTGTCTTATTATAGCAACTGGATCAGTGTCTAATCAGGGATTCTTGCCTTCCTGCTTTAGGTCTTGCTGTGATGACTGGAGCTGTGGCAGCCACCTTGTGACCATGAGGGAAAAGCCAAGAGACTAGTTGAGAAGCCAACTGAGAGTTTTACCGCCAACTGAGAGTTTTACCTCCATTGAGCTGCTGGATTTGCCAACTCTAGAACCACTCATTCTGGGTATCTCATTAGGCAAGATAATAAATTTCTCATTATTCAAGCTGTTTTCATTGGTCTTTCTGTTACTCACAGACAAAGCATGACAATTGAAGTACTCAGTGAGGAATGTGGTGAAGTTGCCTGAAGTCACACCCTTGCCAGGAATAGTGGAAGGCTATATGGGCTTTGTGAGCCCACTCCCTCACCAGGGGGCTTTGCCCTTTCCATCCAGGAGGTTCAAATCCAGCCTCAAACCTTTCTAGACAAAATATCTGTCAAAAGAGTATGATAAAACAGAGCATCTCTGTTTATTCCTCAATAAGAGATAGAGAGAGAGATGAGGACACTCTACCTAAGGTGTGTGCTGGAGGAAATGTAACTTCTGTCCTCTAAACAGAAATAAGCACGAGTCTCTCCCGTATCCCTGGCAGCCTCCACCTGGGAGCTTTTATTCCTGCCCATGTTTGCACTTCATGGAACCAGGAGTTCCTGTGGATTAGTCAGGATCTTGACTGGAAACAGAAGTCACATCAACTAGGATTTCGAGGAGGATTTAACAGAGGTATGGATGGAACTAAGGGAACTAACAAGGGATGCCGAGGCACCCAGGAACAAACAACAGCAGGAAGCCATTACTACCCCTAATCTTGAAGGCATTGGGGGAGGGAACAGCGTTAGGGAACCCGGCAAGGACTGGAGTGTGGGAGAGAGGCCATTGCAACACAGCTGCCATTATAGAAAGATGCAGCCAAAACCTTGGTGGAAATACCCCAACCCCTCTCTCCTTCTTCCCTCTGGTTTCCCGCCAGTGTCTCCCATCACCTAAGCCCGACCACAATCAAGAGAGTAAGGGAGCCTGGGGGTGCAATCCTTAGAGGTCAACCTCCTGGGGCAGGGAGGGGCAGAGCATAGATTAGGGCATAGTGAGAGAGAGGAGGGCAAGAGTGTCATATTTGTGCTAAGGTATCTGCTTGCTCCAGAACTTTGGCAGCCCTCATGTTGTGGGGAGATGTGGGTGAGGAAGAGAGAGGGACAAAGGTCCCTCAGCCCTGACAGTCCTGGCAATGGAGAGTCCAGGTTTGGAAGATGCTGCGTGGGCAGCTGGGGCCAGGCTGCCTTGCTGGAACGTGAAAGTGCCCAGAAATGAGGGAGACCAGAGCCAGCCATCCTGCCAGGCAGGCACCAGAGGGACTGTCAGGAAGAGCCCTTGCAAATCAATGGCAAATGATGAAAAATGCAGACAGATAAGTAACTTAAAAAGACCCAGGCTTGCTGGAAGTGGTCTCTGATCTCAGCTCAGCTCCTGGGCAGCCAGGCTCACATGCTCGATTTTTAATCAGGGGCTATTGGGTGAAGACAACTGGGTATTTTTTGGGTTGCTTTGAAAGGAGGCTCTGCCTCTGCCTTCCCTGCTGGGCTGCTTTTGCGCTGGCCCCAGATATGCCCTTCTCCCCAGCCTCAGCATCAGAAAGGTCACTGTCATTTGTGGACATTCTGTCCACAGGTCTGATCTCAGAAAGGTGTGTTCAAGACCCAGCTCTGCCACTTAAGTTATGTATTTTGGGGGCAAGTCACTTAAATCTCTATGAACCTCAGTGGCCTCGTCTGTGAAACGGGGGTAACAATAGTGCCTCTCTTCCTGGGATTTTGATATACAATTCTTAGCACACACAGTTCCTACAGAGAGGAAGTGCTCAGTCAATGTTAAAAGAAACTGAGCTGAAATTCTGGGGAAAACCCAATCCTGGTTCTGCTTTTCCTCTCAACTTTAGTTTCCTCCTCTGTAAAAATATGTGCATTCAACTATGTCCACCTCTCATGGTTAACATGAGGGTCAAGGGAAATGGTGCACGTAGGATGCCCAGCCTACAGTGAGCACTAGATAGTGGTAGCTGTTCTTGTTATTGCTGGTGTTGCTGTTGTTGTTTCATAAGAAGACTGGGATGAAAGAGCAAATAACGAGGTCACTACTGTAGGGTGGAGTCTGGGCTGGGGAGGGAGCTCTTGTAGGCTGGACTCCTACCTATCCCAAGGTCCTTCATCTCTCATTACTGGAGTAAGAAACGACGTGGGGAGACACCCCTCATGGTCACAAAATTGAACCTTGGGCTAGGCAGGGGGTGCTGGTCAGTTCAGCATCATGAATAGAACTGGAGCCTCGGCATCAAACAGGCTACACCTGTCGGCTGTGGAACCCGGGGCAAGTCCTTTCACCTCTCTAAGTCTCAGTTTTCTCATCTGCAGAATTCCTCCCAGCACAGCTGTTAAAGTCCAATGTAAAGGACTTAGGGTCTGGCTCACAATAAAGCCTGATTGTTTTTAAAAATTATTATTTGGACAGACTCAGGGTCCCCAGCACATTGGAGGGAAGGGAACCAAACTGTCTTTCTTGCTTGGATGAGGGAAGAAGACACAAGAGAGGTTGTGGTCAGACCCAGTGAACAGACCCCAGCAATGCCAGGCAGCATGGGCAGGGAGCAGCAGGGGAGCTGGCACCTCAGCCACCACCTTTCTGCCCACTCTCTCCCCTCCAAAGTCCTGATTTTCAAGTTGATACCATACATGTGGGGTCGTCTGAGTTGCCCAATACCTCCTCCAGCCAACTGGACTCTCCTGGGTGTCCGGAGATCATCCCTCTCATTCCCCACCCATCTCATCTGAGTCCTGGCCTGGTGTATGATCAATGCTCAATGAGGGGAGTTGCACACTTGTGCACTGTGTTTCTGTTTACAGACATATCCACGCCCATCATCAACTTTCAATCCTACAGAATGGGTCTTACCAACGCATCTCACTGTTTCAAATGGACCACAGCTGGTGGAATCTAAGAATACCCCCATCACACCTTGGGTGGTGAAGATTCTTCTAAAATTCTAGGTGAAGGCTATTAGGTGTTTGGTTTGGGGGATCTTTTTTGTGTGTACTCCTTACTGCTTTCAGACCATGTGCTGTGCGCTTTACTGCTGTCATTGCATTCAATCCTGATAACGGCTTTGTAAGGTAAGTGTTGCTATTGCCCCCATTTTGCAGGTGTAGAAGGTGAGAGTCCCCATGTAGTTACTCGCTCAGGGTCACACAGCCACGGGAATAGAGCTATGACTAGAGACCAGGTCTTTCTACCCCCAGACCCCACACTCTCAGCCACCATACTCCTCTGCCCACCATTTTCTTCCCCAGTTCTGCAAACCTCTTTCTACGAGGTATCAGTATTGCTCATCCTGGTGGCCTCCTTCCACCTCATCCCCTGTACCCAGGACAAAGTAAGGCAGAAGGGGCAAACATAGGAGGTGATGTAACATGATTGGGGCGGCGCAACTGATAAGTAACAGATCCAGGATTAGAACTGAGGCTGTCGGATCCCAGAGCCTGTGCTCCTAACCAGCACACGCTGTCGCCTCCAATCATATGTAATTAAATTAGCATTTAATGATCTAGAATTACATTTTATGACAGAATATGTACAGTTGATGAAGTTCTGTGTTCATGGTTCTCACACACTGCATTATGATGAAAGGTTCATTCATTATCGTTAAGGGGCCGACAAAACCACATATGTCCAGTGCTTGGGGGACACAGTCCCTGCAGCGTAGGGTGTCACCAAGTGGTTATTGAACTCCTATAGAGCAAGGACTGGGTCTCAGTCGCCTTTTCAGCGGCAGCACCTAACACAGTGCCTGGCACAGTGCTGGTACTTAGAGTAATAAATGAATGGAGGAGTTGGCCCTCCAACCACATTTTCTGATTTCCAGTGCTCTTTCCTTTACATCACAACCTCAAAGCTTTTGAGTTTGGGGAGCACTGATTGGTACCAGGGCACATCTCAGGAGAGGTATGAACTGCCAAGGGGTGGACTGTAGACCGCAAGTTGGCCAAGCATGTGGGCTCTGAACTCAGCTTGCCTGGGTTCAAATTCTGACTCCACTACGTATTACTTAAGGGACTTCAGGCAAGTTACTCAGCCTCCCCCTTCAGCATGAGGAGTGGCCACAGTCCAGGTTTAGGGATAGGAAGTCGCCTCCACCTGGGCAGAAGCAGCTCCATCTCAGACTCCACTGACCGACAAGGCAGACGGGGCACCAGCAGACGGGGCACCTGCAGTCAGCACCTGAATGCCTCTCCTCCCTCAGACTCCCCTTGCGGCCAGCTTTGTACTCCTGCCTGGCCAAACACATAAAGCCTTGTTAATAATGAATAGGCCCCTGTCTGCCTTACTTAACACTGAAGCTCCAGGCAGATGCACAGCCCTTTATAAATGATCCAGTCCAGCTGATTAGGCCCCGTGGGGCGCATTCCTGCAGCCAGCCTCTTGTTCCCCGTAATGGAATCATAATGTTAATGTGATTTCAATTAGGGCTATGTTACAGAACACAGGTGCTGGAGTGAGCCTGCAGGCGGGGAGGCCTCCTCAGGGACTCATTTTCCTGGGAAAGGTACGCGTCTTTCCAAGGCCTCAGGAAAAAGCAAGTCACCCCGGCTGAAGGGAAGACATGAAAGCAGGGACGAGAGGTATCAGAGCCCACACTCCCGGCTCTTCAGGGGCCCCAGACTTGTTTCTTATTCAACTTGAGTAGCAGGCCCCTTTTACAGAGTGTCTTGGGGGCCCCTGAGATCCACAGGTCCCAATTTGAGAAACAACGGCCCAAGAACCAAAATCTTATCCCAGGAAAATGTCTTTCTGTTGCGAATTATCACTGCAACAGAGATGAATAAATGATAGATGGCTTTTTTATTTTTCTTAATAAAAATAGCTCACATGTATGGAGGCTTCACTATGTCCCAGACACAACTTTTAGTACATTATGTGTATGTACAACTCATTCCTCGGATTTCATTATGAAAATGAAAGCACACAAATATTTTTTGGACAATTTTCTTTTTCTTTTTCTTTTTCTTTTCTTTTTTTTTTTTTTTTTTTGTTGAGACAGAGTCTTGTTCTGTTGCCCAGGCTGGAGTGCAGTGGCACAATCTTGGCTCACTGCAAACTCCGCCTCCCAGGTTCAAGTGATTCTCGTGCCTCAGCCTCCCGAGTAGCTGGGATTACAGGTGTGCACCACTATGCCTGGCTAATTTTTTTGTATTTTTAGTGGGGATGGGTTTTCACCATGTTGGTCAGGCTGGTCTCGAACTGCTGGCCTCAAGTGATTTGCCTGCCTTGGCCTCCCAAAGTGCTGGGATTACAGGCATGAGTCACTGTGCCCGGCCATTTTTTGGACACTTTTCATAGAATGCAAGGACCCCCTAAGGACACATTTCCAGATTGCAGTCTGAGAAACCCCAGCCTGGGGTAGCTGGGCCAGATGGGACCTTCAGGGAGCCCTGGGCCAGTTCTCATCCTACAGGTGAGGAAGCCAAGAGCCAGAGAGGGGAAGGGACTTGCCCAAGGCCTCCTTGCAAGTCAGTGGCCAATAGAACATCCAACCCAGATGCCCTGCCCCCCAGGGCCCAAGCCCTTTTTCCTTCCACCATGCTCATGATGAAGAAAGTATGGGGAGAAAATAAAAATTATCCCAAATCCCGCTACCCAGAAATCTCCATTGCTGACATCCTAGAATATCCTTCCAGCCTTTTACTCCAGACATATACAACTGGCCCTCCATATCTGCAGTTTCTGCATGTGCAGATGCAACCAACTGAGGGTCATAAATATTCAAAAAACTAAAACCAAAAAATGCAACAATAAAAATAATACAAGTTAAAAATATACTACAGCAACTATTTATGTAGCATTTACATTGTATTAAGTATTATAAGTAATCTAGAGATGATTTGAAGTATATGGGAGGATGTGCATAAGTTATATGCAAATATGACTCCATTTTATATAAGGGACTTGAGTATCTGTGGATTTTGGTATCCACAGGGGATCCTGGAACCAATCCTGTAGGGATACTGAAAGATGACTGTATGCACTTTACAGCACAAAATCGGATAATAGTGACTAGGCTATTTAGTAATCTGTTATTTTTCCCCATCTAAAGATAGCATGTCAACTGGGCAGCACTGGGTCATTTATTTCTGATACCCATGTCATTCTAATGACACCCATGGGCTCAAGGTGGCCTTTTTTGAAGGTCTCATGTTGCCCAGGTTCTCCCATGACTCCTTTATTGCAAACACTAAAAGTGATTTGCATTTCTCTGATCAGGTCTTCAATTCATGCCTCCATGCCCTTTTACTTGCTGGTTTCTACCAGCAAAGCCCTTCTCTGCTTAGCAAAATCACACTCAGCTCACATATTACTTCTGCAGTGAAGCCTTCCCTGGCTACTCTAGCATCATCCTCTCCTCTCCCCGTGCCCTTATCTTCTTGCAATGCTTCTACAGGATGTTTTATCTGGTCCTGTTTGAGCATCTGTCACTTTGTATTTCTACTGTACAGGGTGTCCATAAAATCTGGAAACAGGCAAACATACAGAATATTGTCAAAGACATCTTTCATATGTAACATATACATACATTGTTATGACTTTCTAGGCTTCTGGACTTCATGGATACCCTGTATTTTCACTGGTCAGTCCCCTTCATTCCATGGTGAGTGCTGGAAGTCAGAGAAACACTATCTTCTTCATATTTGTATCTCTAAGGGAGT
Organism: Homo sapiens; assembly: GCF_000001405.40. Classification (NCBI taxonomy): domain Eukaryota; kingdom Metazoa; phylum Chordata; class Mammalia; order Primates; family Hominidae; genus Homo; species Homo sapiens. The sequence continues at coordinate 44,682,775 of NC_000011.10, read as the reverse complement.
ATTTAGGTGATTATTGATCACAGTTTCCTCATCTGTGACATGGGACCCTTTGGATAGTGGTAGGTGAGATGAGATAATGCAAGAAAGCAATTAGCACAGTGACTGATGCAAAGTAAGCTTTCCATAAATAGTGGCTATAACTGTTTGTAGTATAATTGCTATTGTTATTAAGCCTGTGGCTTTTTGAACAAGGGATGTGCAGAGTGAGGGAGGGATGACTAAATGAACAGATGATGGATGAATGGATAATGAGTGAAAGGATGAGAATATGGATGGGTGATAAAGGGAGAAGGATGGATGATTAATAGAGGCTGGATGGATAGTCTTAGAATGGATAAATGGAAGGATGGAAGGATGGGTGGATGGGTGGATGTATGGATGGATAAATGGATAGATGGATAGATGATGGATGAATGGGTGGATGGATGGATGATGGATAGATAGGTGGGTAGGTGAATGGGTACATAATGGATAGTTGGATGTGTGAGTGATGGATTGATGAATGAAGGGTCCATCTTTTCCTTTCATAAGTAAGGATAGAAGAAAGGAGGCAAGAGGTTGACAGGAAGACCAAAGGTCTTGGTGGCTAGAGACAAGAGTCAAAGGCTACTTGTTATCCCAGCCTTCTACCATAGCCCAGATCTCAACTAGGTCTCATAACTTAGTCTCCGAGTGACTGTTCCTAGGCCGACTTGAGGTTATGCCTCTGGAATAAGAAGAGATTGGCTGTGGAATAGCTGAAGGAGCAAATGTAGGGCTATAAATCTGCCCTTGGCCGAGAGGCTTTCTTAGAATTCACTGTGAAGTTCACTGACCATGAAGTTGCTTCTTGGGGGAAGGGAAGCCCTAAGCTCTCCTCCACTGGCAAGGAAGAGTGAGTCATTATGGTGACCTGAAGGTTGCAGAAGCAAACACCACATTGCTGCCCAGCTGGCCCTAGCTGCAGGTCCTGAGGGGCCTTTTCAGACACATCCAGGAGAGGTCTCAGGGAATGATCCCCAACCAGCCACCCAAGTGGGATTATAGGGGGAGTGAAGAGCAGGGCAAGCCCCTGGGAGGGAGCTTGGAGGGGTCCCAGAATCCTGGAGCACCAGCACCAGCAGAGACTCAGGGATCCTCCAGGCCACCCCACCCATGGGGCAGATGGAGACACAGAGGCAAGAGAGGGTGGTGGCTTCCCCAGGTGCCCTGCAGGTCAATCAAGGGTGGAGTCGGCGCTTGAATGCAGGTCCCAGGCTGTGGGGTCTCTCCAGTCCTCACTGTTAGCTATTCCTTGGCTGTGGGGTGAAACCACCCAGACTCTCCAGGAAACCCTGAGGCTTCTCAGGCAGGGCGTGGCTAGAAGCAGTTTCCTGGGGGCTGGTTTATATTCCGACACTGGTGTGTCTTTCACCACAGCCCCTGTAATGTTCCAGGAGTCACTCTCCAGGATTCTTGGATGCTGAGAAACCCTCCCAGGCCCTGAGGCCGATAAAAGAGTGTTGGATCAAGTCCCTCTCTGCTGCGTGGAGCCCACGGTGATTATCTCTGGGACTCTGACTTGAAGAAGCCAGGAAGACAGAACAGTGGCTTTTCAGGAGCTGCAGGTCAGGCCCTGCCCAGTGGAAACAGCCACACCTGAGAAACCCACATCCTTTTGCTGGGGAGCCAGAGTGCCTGGGCGGGGTGTCCTGACTCCTCCCCTTACTAGCATGGCCTTCAGGGAGGTACCTCCTCTCTTTCTGCATTTCATGGCTGAAGAGAGGGGGATGGGGGCGAGGGATGCCAAGAAAGGGTGGCCTGAGAGAAAAGAGGAAACTTAGGAATGCATTTGGGCCTGTTTACTGAAGGCCTGTTTACTCTGCTCCTTGCACCCAAATCCCACTGAAAACAATAACGAATTTGGGGGGAAAAAATAGAGCAAGACCTCCTTTTTTTTTTTCTTTTTTTTTGAGAGAAGTCACCCAGGCTGGAGTGCCATGGCACGATCTTGGCTCACTGCAATCTCTACCTCCTGGGTTCAAGTGATTCTCCTGCCTCAGCCTCCCTAGTAGCTGGGACTACAGGTACCTGCCACCACACCCAGCTAATTTTTGTATTTTTAGTAGAGATGGGGTTTCACCATGTTGGCCAGGCTGGTCTCTAACTCCTGTACTCAGGTGATCTGCCCACCTAGGCCTCCCAAAGTGCTGAGATTACAGGTGCCATTTTTTATTAAACCAGAAAGTATACATGCTGCTAAATGCCACAAATATGAAGAGGGCACAGAGAGACGAGGAGGAAGCCAGTCTCCCTACAGACAGCACCACTGGGAGGCCTCCTCTGTGGATGATAGGGTCTGGGGGCAGCTCAGGCTGCAGGGTCATGAGAAACATCCTTCTGTAGACCCAGTTCAATAGCACAGGACAGTGGGGGGCGAGACGGGACGTGCTGACCGTCCATGTCTCCTGCCTGGCACCCAACTCCTCCCAGCACCAGGAGACTGCTGGGGCGAAGTAGAGGAAGGAGGACGTTTGAAGGCCTTTGCTGAGTCTTGGCAAACCTCAGTGCTGAAGTGGGAGGTGATGTATGTCCAAGGAATAACAATAAAGGATTTGGAAAGAGCATGTCTGCTGGAAACAAACCCTAGTCACTTTCTGGGTTGCATACCTCTCTCTTCAATATCATCCTGCAACAAATGACTGGCTGTGTTCTAAGGTGAATGATAATCACAAAGGAACCAAAAAGGGACTAAAGAAAACAAAAAGGCAATAGAGGTAAGGAACGTAAGCAAAGACCACAAGAACTGACGTCAGGAGAGGACTTATTAAACAAACAAAAAACACAGAGGGAGAGTCAGACACACAGTGCTCCAGGTACTCAAAGAGATTGCACACGACCCAACCTCCTTAATGAGCTAAAAGATGTCAAGGTTTCCATAAAGCACTTATGAGGCAACAGACAGAAAGACACCAGCTCTCAGGAAAGAAATAGAAGCAAAAAATAAAGACACTTTGAAATTAAAAAGACATATGGGCTGGGTGCAGTGGCTGATGCCTGTAATCCCAACAATTTGGGAGGCCAAGGTGGGCAGATTACTTGATGTCAGGAGTTCGAGATCAGCCTTGCCAACATGTCGAAACCCTGTTTCTACTAAAAATACAAAAATTAGCTGGGCGTGGTGGTGGGCACCTGTAATCCCAGCTACTCGGGAGGCTGAGGAGGAGAATCGCTTGAACCCAGGAGGCGGAGGTTGTAGTGAGCCGAGATCGTACTATTGCACTCCAGCCTGGGTGACAAGAGCAAAACTCTGCGTCAATTAAAAAAAAAAAAAAAAAGACGTATGGATACAAACAGCCAACAAACATATGAAAAAAAAATGCCCAACATCACTAATTATCAGGGAAATGCAAATGAACACCACAATGAGCTACCACAGTACTCCTGCAAGAATGGCCATAATTAAAAAGTCAAAAAATAATAGATGTTGATGTGGATGTGGTGAAAATGGAACACTTTTACTCTGCTAGTGGGAATGTAAACTAGTACAACCACTATGGAAGACAGTGTGGAAATACCTTAGAGAACTAAAAATAGAGCTACCGTTCCATCCAGCAATCCCATTGCTGGGTATCTACCCAAAGGAAAAGAAAGTCATTATACGAATAAGACACCTGCATGCATATGGGCATAGCAGCACAGCTCACAATTGCCAAAATATGGAACTAATCATATTCAACCAATCATGTTCCAAAATATGGAACCAACGATATTCAATCAACGAGCGGATAAAGAAAATGTGGTATATATACACCATGGAATACTACTCAGCCGTAAAAAAGGATGGGATAATGTCTTTTGCGGCAACTTGGATGGCGCTGGAGGCCATTATTCTAAGTGAAGTAACTCAGGAATGGAAAACCAAATACCATATGTTCTTACTTATAAGTGGGAGCTAAGCTACGGAGATGCAAAGGCATAAGAATGATATAATGGTGGCTGGGCACGGTGGCTCACACCTGTAATCCCAGAACTTTGGGAGGCTGATGCAGATGGATCACAAGGTCAAGAGATTGAGACCATCCTGGCCAATATGGTGAAACCCCATCTCTACTAAAAACACAAATTAGCTGGGCGTGGTTGTGCGCACATGTAATCCCAGCTGCTCAGGAGGCTGAGGCAGGAGAATCATTTGAACCCACAAGGTGGAGGTTGCAGTAAGCCAAGATTGCGCCACTGCACTCCAGCTGGGCGACTCCGTCTCAAAACCACCCCCCTGCCAAAAAAAAAGAATGATATAATGGACTCCGGGGACTCGAGGTGAAGGGTGAGGGGTAAATGACTACATATTGGGTATAGTGTACACAGCTCGGGTGACAGGTGCACCAAAATCTCAGAAATCACCACTAAAGAATCTACGCAGGTAACCAAAAAACACCTGCACTCCCAAAACTATTCAAATTTTTTTTAAAAAGAAGAAAGACATTATGAAAACAAGAAAAACAACTCATGGGATAAACAGAAACACAGAGTGGAGAAGGCCACATAGTGAACATCTGGGGAAAACACACGAATGTAAAGAAACAAACAAAACATATACCAATAGTTCTATTAATTTTCTAGGGCTGCTGTGGCCAAGTACCACAAGTACTGGATGGCTTAAAATAAGAGAAATGTAATCTCTCATAGTTCTGGAGGCTGGAATTCTGAAATCCTGTTGGTAGCAGCATTGGCTTCTTCTGGGGGCCCTGTGGGAGAAGCTGCTCCACAGCTCCAGCCTAACCTTCTAGGTGTGCCTGGCAACTCTTGGCGGTCTTTGGCTTCTAGCTGCAACAGCCTAATCTCTGCCTTTGATGTTCCACGCATTGTTCTCTCCATGTGTCTGCATCTCCCTCCTCTTCATATAAGGACTCTAGTCATATTGGATTTAGGGCCCCTCTAATCCAGTGTGACCTCATCTGAATTAATTACATCGACCCTATTTCTCAATAAAGTCACATTGTTGGGGACAGGGCATCAGGGCTTCAACATAGCTCTTTGAGGCCAGGCGTGGTGGCTCACACCTGTAATCCCAGCACTTTGGGAGGCCAAGGCAGGTGGATCACAAGGTCAAGAGATAGAGACCATCCTGGCCAACGTGGTGAAACCCCATCTCTACTAAAAATACAAAAATTAGCTGGGCATGGTGGTGTGTGCCTGTAATCTCAGCTCTCCTGCCTCAGGAGGCTGAGGCAGGGGAATCACTTGAACCCGGGAGGTGGAGGTTGCAGTGAGCTGGGATTACGCCACTGCACTCCAGCCTGGCAACAGAGCAAGATTCCATCTCAAAAAAACAAAACAACAACAACAAAAAAACCATAGCTTTTTGAGAGGATCCAACTCAGCCCATAACAGTTATAGGAAAGACTAAGAGACGTGGAGGACAGATCAGAGGCAGACATTTGCACAGTCAGTTCCTGAAAAGAGAAAGAGAACAAATGGAACAACGATGAAAAATAGTCTGACATAACAGGGAAAAACATTCCTAAAATAAAGATTTGAATGTGAATATAAAAGATTGATTCAAGACCATCAGCATCAAGCATTATACGCTAATGAAGGTATTGAAATACAAGGCTAAAGAATCATATGGGAGTCCAGGTAAAAAATCTCAAGTCACGTGAGTGGGGGAAATCAGGCTGGCTGCAGGCTTCTCTCTAGGAACATGCCAGAGTCTGTGGGGCAGAGTCTACAAGCTCCCAGAGGATAGAAAGTATGACCCGAGAAATTTATACCCAGACAATTTCCTTCAAATTGAAAGGCCATAGACAGACATTCTCAAGAGTTCTAGAATTTAGGGAATGAGTGCCTCTTAGTCCTTCTTGAAACAAAAAATTAGGCAATGAAATGTAGCCAACAAAGGGATTTATTAAAATAAATAGCTCAGAATGGAGAAGCCAGGGTAAACATATTGGTGACAAGCTCTGAATCAATTTAAATATAGAAATAAAAATCTTTGTGAATTTGGAGTATAGTACACAGTGCAAAGGTTATATAAACATCAACAATAAAACTAATATCATTAAGTGACTAACAATAATTGGGAGATCTAGGAGAGAAGCAGAGAGAAACTGTGAATCTGCTAATTTCCTCATTTTTCACAGCAAGAGTCAACCAGTAAGGGATAAAGTTGGAAAAATGCCATTTAAAAAAATAACATAATTGGCTGGGCATGGTGGCTCATGCCTGTAATCCCAGCACTTTGGGAGGCCAAGGTGGGCGGATCATCTGAGGTCAGGAGTTCGAGGCCAGACTGGCAACATGGTGAAACCCTGTCTCTACTAAAAACACAAAATAATTAGCCAGGTGTGGTGGCAAGCACCTGTAGTCCCAGCTACTCGGAAGGCTGAGGCAGGAGAATCTGTTGGACCTGGGAGGTGGAGGTTGCAGAGCCAAGATCTGCCACTGCACTCCAGCCTGGGCAACAGAGCAAGACTAGACTCTGTCTCAAAAAATAAAATAAAATAAAATAAAATAAAATAAAATAAAATAAAATAAAAATAAATAAATAACATAATATAATCTCATAATTAATATTTTACAGAATTATGTTTCTTAACTTTAAAAAGCCTTGTAAAAACTCATATCACTTGAGGTAAAAAAGTATTTATCTAAAATTAAGCAGTTCTTTGATTTTAATTTACTAATTTATTTTTTAAGCCTTTTATTTTAAAATTTTATTTTATTTTTAATTTTTATTTAATTTAATTAATTAATTTATTTATTTATTTTTGAGACTGGGTCTTGCTCTGTCACTTGAGTACCTTCCGGGCTCAAGTCATACTCCCATCTCAGCATCCCAAGTAGCTGGGACTACAGGCATGCACCTACCATGACTGGCTAATTTGCTAATTTGTTCATTGTTTTGTACACATAGGGGTCTTATTATGTTGCCCAGGCTGATCTCGAACTCCTGGCCTCAAGCAGTCCTCCCCGCTCAGTTTCCCAAAGTGCTAGGATTGAGCCATCGTGCCTGGCCCTATTTTTAAATTTTTTTTGAGGCAAGGTCTCACTCTGTCATCCAGGCTGGAGAGGTTCAATCACAGTTCACTGCAGCCTCAACCTCCCAGGCTCAAGCCATCCTCCCATCTCAGCCACCCAAGTAGCTGGGACTACAGGCATGCATCACCAGGCCAGGCTAATTTTCATATTTCTTGTAGAGATGGGGTTTTGCCATGTTGCCCAGGCTGGTCTTGAACTCCTGGCCTTAAGCAATCTACCTGCCTCACCCTCCCAAATTCCTGGAATTATAGGCATGAGGCACTGCACCCAGCTGAAATAATTTTAAATATACAGAAAATTTGCAAAATGCTCCCCATATGCCCTTCACTCAGCTTCCCTAATGCTAACATCTTACCTGTTTGTCCAAATTAAGATATTAACATTGGTATAAGGCTATTAACTAAATTATAGACTTTATTTCGCCAGTTTTTCCACTCATCTCCTATTTCTACCCAAGGATTTCATCCTTTAGTAATCAGCGTCTCCTTGGTCTCCAATCTCTGACAGTTTTTCTGTCTTTCCTTGTCTTTCATGACCTCGACACTTCTGAAGAGTCCTGGCCAGATGTTTTGTAGAAGATCTCTCGATTTGCATTTGCATGATGTTTTCTCATGATTACATTGAGACAGATTTGGGGGAAGAGCACCACGAAGGTAAAAATGCCTATCACGTGGTATATAGTATGGACATGACTTATTACAGGTGATGTTAACCGCGATCACTTAGTTAAGGTGGCATCTACCAGGTTTGTCTGCTGTGAAGTCACTGCTTTTCTCCTTTCATACTCTAATTCTTAGAAATGCATGACTAATCCAGCCCTTACTCAAGAGGAGGGGAATTCATCTCCTCCTCCTTGAGGGAGGAGTATCAAATAATTTGTGGACATAGATTAAAATCACCACAGTAATTAGTAAGTATTTTAGAGAGGAACTTTGGGGACTTCATCAGTGGATCTTGCCTGCAGTCATTAGCACTTGTCTCCTAATGGTGATGCTCTATTGCCCCCATCCTTCTTATTTGGAATATTATTCACATGATTACATCCCACATTTATTATCTGGAATTCTCTATAAAGATTAGTCTCCCGTCTCCCCCATTTATTTATTTAGTCAATCATTTGTCTGTACCAGTATGACCTTGTGTATCTTTATTTTATTCTTTGCATTATAATCCAACAGTATCACGATCTATTTTGTTGTTCAAATTATTCTAGCCCTGGCCACTGGGAGCTTTTTTCAGGTTGGTTCCTCTGTCCTTTTTCCTTTCTATTACCTAATGGACTTGATATTTTAGAGCAGTTTTGGGTTTATAGAAAAATTGAGCAGCAAGTGCAGAGCGTTCCCATATATTCCCTCACACCCCCACTCACACACACACGCCTTCTCCTGTTATTAGTATCTTGCCTTACTGTGGTACATATGTGACAACTGATGAGCCAATATTGATATATTATTTTTCACTAAAGTCCATAGTTTACACGAGTAGTCACTCTTTGAATTGTGCATTCTGTGGGTTTTGACACATAGGTACTGACATGGGTCCACCATCATAGTATCATACACAATAGTTTCATTGCCCTAAAAATCCTGTGCTCCACCTAGACATCTTCCCTCTTTCTCCCTGAACCCCTGGCTACCACTGATCCTTTTACTGTGTTCATATGTATTAGTCCGTTCTCACATTGCTATAAAAAACTTCCTGAAACTGGGTAATTTGTAAAGGAAAGAGGTTCAATTGACTCACAGTTCAGCATGGCTGGGGAGGCCTCAGGAAACTTACAATAATGGAAGAAGGTGAAGGGGAAGCAAGGAACCTTCCTCACAAGGTGGCAGGAAGGAGAGTGAATGCAGGAGGAACTACCAAACACTTATAAAACCAACAGATTTCCTGAGAGCTCACTCACTATCACGAGAACGGCATGGGGAAACCGCCCCCATGATTCAATTATCTCCATCTGGTCTCTCCCTTGACACGTGGGGATAATGAGGATTAAAATTCAAGATGAGATTTTGGGTGGGGTCACAGGAAAACCGTGTCACCATTGTTCCAGAATGTCATATAGTTGGGATCATACAGAAGCCTTTTCATATTGGCTTTTCGGAGAGAGAGAGTCTCTCTCTCTGTCACCTAGGCTGCAGTGCAGTGGTGTGATCCTAGCTCACTGAAGCCTTGAACTCCTGGGCTCAAGCAATCCTCCCACCTCTGCCTCCCAGGTAGCTGGGACTACAAGCACATGCCACCATGCCTGGATAGTTTTTTTATTTGTGTAGAGATGGGGTCTCATTATGTTTCCCAGCCTGGTATGGAACTCCTGGCCTGAAGCAATGCCCCTGCTGGCCTTGGCCTCCCAAAGTGCTTGGATTACAGGTGTGAGCCACTGTGCCCACCCAAGAGATTTGCTTTATTTTGTTTAGAAAGGGGGGGGTCTCACCAGATTGGCTTCTTTCAGTTTACAATATGCATTTGAGGTTCCTCCATGTCTTTTTGCAGCTTTATAGCTCATTTCTTGTTATCTCTGAATAATATTCCATTGTTTAGATGTATCACAGTTTATCTGTTCACCTATTGAAGAACATCTTGGTTGCTTCCAAGTTTTGGCTATTATGAAAAAGCTGTGTAAATATACATGTGTGGGTTTTTGTGTGGCTCTAAGTTTTCAACTCATTTGAGTGAATACCAAAGAATACAATTTCCAGACTGTATAGTAAGAGTGTGTTTAGTTTTGTAAGAAACTTCCAAATTGCCTTCCAAAGTGGCTATGTCATTTTGCATTTCCACCAGGAATGAATGAGAGTTCCTGTTGCCACACATCCTCACAGCACTTGGCACTGTCGGTGTTTTAGATTTTTAGCTATTCTAATAGGTGTGTAGTGGTATCTTGTTGTATTTTGCAATTCCCTACTGATTTATGATGTTGAGCATATTGTGTCCTTTTGACATGCCTCCATCCTCTTTGTTTCTGTAAGCACTTTCTTTCTGGCATTACAAGATGCTCCAGGTTCATCTTACCTTTTCTATGTATATTAATTCATTATTGAATTGCTATAAAGAAATACCTGAGACTAGGTTAATTTACAAAGAAAATAGGTTTAATTGGCTCATGGTTCTGTAGGCTATACAGGAAGCATGGTGCTGGCATCTGCTCAGCTTCTGGGGAGGCCTCAGGGAGCTTTTACTCATGGTGGAACGCACAGGGAGAGCAGGCGTCTCACTTGGTTGAGTGAGGGCAAGGGAGAGTGGGGCAGGGGAGGTGACACACTTTACAACAATCAGATCCCACAGAACTAACTCACCATCACAAGGATAGCACCAAGCAAAGTGGCATCTGCCCCCATGATCCACACAGCTTCCACCAGGCTCCACCCCCAACATTGGGGATTAGAATTCAACATGAGATTTGGTAGGGATATATATTGAGACCATATTATTCCACCCCTGACACCTCAAAGCCCATGTCCTTCTCATATTGCAAAATACAATCATGGCTTCCCAACAGTCCCTCAAAGTTTTAACTCATTTCAGCATCAACTCAATCAGAAGTCCCAAGTCCAAAGTCCAAAGTTGTATCTGGAAATGAGTTCCTTTCACCTATGAGCCTATAAAATCAAAACAAGTTATTTACTTCAAAGATACAATGAGGGTACCAGCATTCGGTAAACATTCCTGTTCCAAAAGTTAGAAATTAGCCAAAAGAAAGGGGCTATAGGCCCCACACAATGCTGAAACCTGGCAGGGCAGTCATTAAATCTTAAATAGTCTCCTTCGACTCCACGTCCCACATCCGAGGCACACTGGTGGAAAGGGTGGGCTCTGAAGGCCCTGGGCAGCTCTGCCCCTGTGGCTTTGCAGGGTTCAGCCCCCATGGTTCCTCTCACGGGTTGTTGAGTGCACACTGCTTTTCCAGGCAAAGGGTGCAAGCTGCCAGTGAATCTCCCATTCAGGGGACTGGAGAATTGTGGCCCCCTTCCCACAGCTCCACTAGGCAGTGTCCCAGTGTCAACTCTGTGTGGGGGTTCCAACCCCACATTGCCCCTCCACAGTGGCCTTGTAGAAGTTCTCTGTGTGGGCTCTGTCTTGCAGCAGGCTTCTGCCTGGGCACACAAACACAGTCTTTCTCATACATCCTCTGAAATTGGCATAGGCTGCCAAACCTTCACTTTTGCACCCTGTGCACCCACAGGCTTAACACCATGTGGAAGCCACCAAGGCTTACAGCTTGCATTTTCCAAAGTGGCAGCTCAAGGTGTACCTGGGCCTTTGTGAGCCCTGGCTGGTGCTGGAGCAGCTGACATGTGGGAAGCACTGTTCCAAGGCTGTGCAGGGCCGCAGGCCCTCTCCCTCCAAACCATTCTTTCCTCCTGAGTTTCAGGGCCTGTTATGGGAGAGGCTGCCTCCTAGATCTCAGAAATGCCTTTGAGGCCTTTTCCCCATTGTCTTGGCTATTAGCACTTGGCTCTTTTTTAGTTATGCAAATTTCTCTAGCAAGGAATTCAAGCCTGCTTGAATTCCTCTCCCAAAAAAGATTTTCTTTCTTTGCTACATGGCTAGGCTGCAAAATTTCCAAATTTTTATGCTTTGCTTCCTTTTTAAATATAAATTTCAACTTTAGATCATTTATTTGCTCCCATATCTGAGCATAGGTAGTTAGAAGCAGCCAGACTACATCTTGAGCACTTTGCTGCTTAGAAGTTTGTTCTTCAAGATACCCTAGGTCATCACTAGTGGAAGCAGGTACTTCGCATGCCATAGCAGGAGCAAGAGAGAGACAGTGGAATGGAGGGAGGTGCCAAACACTTAAATAACCAGATCTCACAAGAACTCACTATCATGAGCACAGCACCAAACTATGAGGAATCCACGCCCATAACCCAAACACCTTCCACCAGGCACCACCTCCAACATTGCAGTTTACATTTCAACATGACATTTGGGTGAGGACAAAATATCCAAACCATATCACTCTATTTCAACCCTAGAATCGGCCATTTCTCCAGGCAACTCAAGTTTCTTTATTGGTGAATGTTGTTTAGAATTCAAGATGTGGATGCAAGGTGGGGCATGGTGGCTCATGCCTGCAATCCTAGCACTTTGGGATGCCAAGGCAGGTGGATCACCTGAGGTCAGCAGTTCAAGACCAGCCTGGCCAACATGGTGAAACCCTGTCTCTACTAGACATAATAAAAAAAAAATTAGCTGGCCATGGTGGCGCATGCCTGTAATCCCAGCTACTTGGGAGGCTGAGGCAGGAGAATCGCTTGAACCTGGGAGATGGAGGTTGCAGTGAGCCGAGATCGCGCCATTGCACTCCAACCTGGGTGACAGAGCAAGACTCTGTCTCAAAAAAAAAAAAAAAAAAAAAAAAAAGCCAGGCACAGTGGCTCACGCCTGTAATCCCAACACTTGGGGAGGCCGAGGCAGGCAGATCACGAGGTCAGGAGTTCAAGACCAGTCTGGCCAACATAGTGAAACTCCGTCTCTACCAAAAACACAAAAAATTAGCCAGGTGTGGTGGTGTGTGCCTGTAATCCCAGCTACTCGGGAGGCTGAGGCAGGAGAATCGCGTGAACCCAGGAGGCAGAGGTTGCAGTGAGCTGAGATTGCACCACTGCCCTCCAACCTGGGTGACAGAGCGAGACTCCATCTCAAAAAAAAAAAAAAAGATGTGGATGCTAGGTGCGCTTGTTGTTACTGAAGTGTCACTACTTCTAGGCTCAGAGGCAGAGCTATGACATATATGTATCTACACATAACTATATTTCTGTCTATATCTATCTATATTTACATTAAAATAAGCCTGAATGCACACTGACTGACTCTAATGCAGCATTCTAGCCTTCATTCTAGCCTCCTCATTTCCCCATTTGTAAATTTTTTCTCCGAAAGTGAAAAACCTAGCTCTAGTATGTACAAAATGTATACTTATTTGTTCAACCTAGCAAACAAGCAAAGTAGTTTTACAATTGCTAACCTGGACTGCCCTGAGAAACAAATTAATGACAGTAGTGTTTGTGTTTTACTCTTTTCCTCTTTAATCTTACAGTATCCAGTCAAAAGATCGTTTTTCATTTACTTGGGTCAGCTCCTTTTTCCCCATTGAACTTGGCTTTTATGCTTTTAAAAAGTCAAATCATATTAAACATGATACTTTCAAGTTGGGAACAGGATATTTAATATGCCATATTATTATAGTACACTTCTTCACTTTTCCTGCTATTTATCTACCCATGCTTCTCTCTGTATGTATGTATAAAGAGATATCTGGAATTGCATGAATCCAGTGTTAAAAACATTGCTTCTAAATGATGGAATGGGGAGTGACTTTTTTACATTATTCAGATACTGTTCCATTATTAATTTTTATAATAAGCGTATATTATTTTTTACAGAAAACAATAAATTGTTGTCTAAACTAAGGGAGGAAATGGGCAACAGGTGAAATATTGCTGAGGGGGAAATTCCTACTGGATTTCGTGGAACAGAGGTCATTTCTGAGCCTGATGAGAGTCATCACTTCTGGCAGAGTTGGTTGAGGAGTAAATGGAAGGCAAGGATAAGGCAGGTGACTAAGATGAGTGCTTCTCACCCTAGTAATCATCATTCCCTGTTGCTTGACTGGGAATCACACATTCAAACCTGTTTCTGGTCCCCATCCAGCAGAGGTTCAATTCTGTAAGTCTAGGGTAGAGCAGATCACTGGCTTTTTTACCAAGCTCCCAGGCACTGCTGGTCCCTAGTCCGCACTGAGTGGCACTGGGTGGTGCGGACATGTCGCCTGGGAAGGTTAATCAGCAGTGAGAGAGGCAGGAGAGGAAGATGGCTGGGGTGGCTTGTGGGCTAAGGGAGCTTGCTTTGTTCAAATTACTTGTATTGTTGTTTATTTTTTGGGTGCATCTAATGATACATAAGCACAAAAATGAAAGAATTACCAAAAGAAATAGACAAATCAAAAACCTGAGTGGGAGATTTTAGCACTCGGTAACTTACAGAGCAAGCTGACAAAAAACAGTCACTAAGTGTATAGATGATATGAATAACATGATTCACAAACAATGCCTGGGAAATACAGAGAAATACATCAAGTAACGACAGAATTACTTTCAAGGGTACATGGAATTTGCCAGAACAATCCTACTGGGCCATAGAATAAGTGTTAACAAATTTCAAAAGATTGAAATAATAGGACGGTCTGGGTTTTGGCCACTGTGAAATCAGTAGCCATATAACTACAACATTTTTGAATGGTTAGAATTGTTGTAATACATGTCTACTTTCGTAACTTTTTACTTGGAAATAATTTTAAATTTACCAAAAAAAGTTGCAAAAATAAAAATAGCAGAAAGACCACTCATAGAGCCTTTACCCAGATTCACTTAATTGTAACATTCTATCCCCTTGGCTTTATCATTCTCTCCCTTCTCCTTCCTTTAAGTGAACCCCCTTAAAAAAGGGTCCCCCAGCCTCCAGTAGAGCTGCCCCAGTTGAAGCCTCTGCACAGAGCAGAGCTGAGCCTTACCCAAAAGTACAGATTTGTAAGCTAAATAAATGTTTCTTTCTTTGTTTTTATTTTGATTATTTTAAAATTTTTTTTGAGATAGAGTTTTGCTCTTGTCGCCCAGGCTGGAGTTCAATGGCGTGATCTCGGCTCACTGCAACCTCCGCCTCCTGGGTTCAAGTGATTCACCTGCCTCAGCCTCCCAAGTAGCTGGGATTACAGGCACCCGCCACCGTGCCTGGCTAATTTTTGTATTTTTAGTAGAGACGGGGCTTCACCATCTTGGCCAGGCTGGTTTCAAACTCCCGACCTCAGGTGAACCCCCAGCCTTGGCCTCCCAAAGTGCTGTGATTACAGGTGTGAACCACCACGCTCCCCCTTGTTTGTCTGTTTTTAGAGACAAGGTCTCACTCTATTACCCAGGCTGGAGTGCAGTGGTGCAATCGAAGTTCATTGTAACCTCAAACTTCTGGGCTCAAGTGATCCTCCAGCCTTAGCCTCTTGAGTAGCTAGGACCGTAGGCATGCGCCACTGTGTCTGGTTAAATTAAAGCCAATGAGTTTTGGGGTGTCTTGTTACACGGTAATAGAAACTAGAACAGACACTGTGGAGCAGGAGAGTGCGTGGTCCTGAGATACATTATTTCCAGGGGACCAGTCTACCCTAGGCAGTGGTTTTCTCCCTCTGCCCTGGTGCAGGTAAAGAAGCAGCTGAGAATTCACTCATTTAAAGTTGGAGTTTCATAGGTGGGTGAAAAAGATAGATGGAAGAAAGGATTCAGGAATTGGCAGGAGTTACTGAAGAGGTGAACCGCTGAGGATTCTAACTTGGATACAAAGAAAGGGAAGGTGGGAGATGGTGACCAGAAAGGAAGTAAACCAAGAGGTCAGGGCACTCAAGATCCAGTGAAGGGAAAGGATGGTTGTCATGGAAGTAGCTCAGTAGACAAGATGGAATCCAGGACCAGGATCTAGCAGAAAGCTGCATTAGCAATCCTGGCCACAGGGCATGGCAGTTTGGGGTCTTGATGGGGACTTGATGGGGACTGGCTACTGCTGATTGTCTTTCACATTTCAGCCTTCCCTGACCTCCCAGCACCCCTCTGTCAAGAGCCCTTGCCACAGTGAATTCTCATTGCCTCTTCCCTGTTTGCCTTCCCAAGAACTGGCTCTGTGCTTTGTTCATTGCTCTGTCCCCAGCACCCAGTCTGGCACATCTGGAGGCTAAATGAACCAATGCTTGGATGCAGGGATTGATAACGGACCTCCAAGTCCAAAGGGTCTTTCAGAATGAGGGGAGTCCAATGCCCTCTCAGCCTCGTTATTTCTGCCCCACCTTCCATATGGTAAAATGTGAGGCCAGAGAGGTTAGGAGACTGCCCGGGGTCACACAGCAGAACAGCCCTGGTGATTGAAGCTGCAGCGGGATTAAGGGAGAAAAGAGGGGACTGCTAGGAGGAGACCCCTGAATCCCTGTTCTGTGATATGTCAGCACTAGCTGGAAAGAGGGACTCCCTCCTCTCCTCCTACCCTCCCCACTCCACCAGCTGCAGGGGTTCAAGCCCAGCCCAGGGGCCAGAGGTGGCTGCCCTGGAACTTTTGGCAGCCCATGAACTTAAGCCTCACCCGGCTGGGCAGGGAGCCGGCTGTCACCTTATATCCTAAGCATCTCCATGTTTCTGGGGAAACATCTGGACTGACCCAGCTGTATTTTACTCCTCTCTCTTCACCCCACCACCCCACCCCCAGCAAGTAAAAGGAAGAGGACAGTTAAAAGGAAATCCAGAGGAGGGAAGGCAGTTTTACAAGACATGGCTGGGGCTGCCCTGGGAGCAAGGAGGTGCCCGGAGGAAATCCCAGTAAATGAATGTTTATTTTAATGGGAGATGAAGGGAGAGGGGCTCAGACCAATTCTTGGGGGGTGGGGAAGGGGAAGGAGAAGAAGAAGATGCAGGGTCTGGGCTCACAGATGGGCCTTTGTGAGCTTCCCGGGGCTGCCCAGAGAGTGGGGAACCAGCCAAGATGCTCAGGCAGACAGCAAGATGGGAGGCGGGGGGTAGGAATGGGGTGAGAGGCTGGGGCTGCCAGCAGAGCCGGGCCAGGGGCACTCTAGCTCACCTTAGCCCACCTTAGCAGGAGGACCAGTTTGAACACATCCCATCCTCAGCAGGAACATCTCCTCAGCCTGGCCAACTGGCTTGTCCTCTTATTCTTGCTTTCACAAACTCATTCATTCATTCGTTCATTCATTCATGCACCCATTTCTTTTCTCCTTCACTCCCCACCCATTCACTCACACTTATTCCTTTGTTCCTTCAGTCACATCTCCAGCATCCCCTGGGCTCTTATGTACCCCAACTCTAGGCTAGGGGCCAGGCAAACAACGACCAATCAGCCCTGCTCCCAACCAAGGGAAGGAGTGGGGAGACCCCCAGCTAATCAATCTATGCTAATGGGGTGGGAGCTGGGACAGCCAGGAGCACAGGTACTATGGGAGCACCGGGGAGTCTGGAGGCTGAGAAGTTACGGGGCCGGTAGCCTTCCCAAGGCTGTCTCAGCTTTTAGGACCCAGGGTCCTGAGACAGGGAACTCAGGGGCCTGTCCTCACCTCCAGGCAATGTCCTGGAGGGCAGCCACATCCTGAGTGTCTAGGAAACCTAGCCTGACACCGGAGCCCCTTCCCACAGCTTCTCTGGCCTGTCCTGATTCTGGTCCAAGTGGGTCCCTGTCATCTTTAACGGGGCTGAGGACCTTCTCAATGACCAATCAGACCCTAATATTCTTCAAGGTCAGGTTCACTTCCATTCCTTAATCAGCCCACAGCTCTGCACCAAGTCTCTAGGGAGTATTCAAACTCAAGGCAGAAATGCTATATTCAATTGCTCACTCATTCATTCAGCAGACATTCACGGAGCAACCCCACTGTGCCAGGGACTGTTCTGGATCCTGGGGGTCTACAGTGAACAAAAGCAATTAAACATCCCTGCCTTTGCCTGCTGCGGTGGTTCATACCTATAATCCCAGCACTTTGGGAGGCCGAGGAGGGAGGATTGCTTGAGCCCAGGATGTTGAGGCTACAGTGAGCCATGTTTGTGCCACTGCCCTCCAGCCTGGGTGACAAAAAAAGGCCCTGTCACAAAAAAAAATAAATCCCTGCCCTTATAGAACATCTTTCATAAACAGAGATGATAACGAAATGAGTAAAATATATAGAATGTCAGAGTGCAATGGAGAAAAACAAGGCCAGGGAGAAGGTAGGGGCAATAATGATAATAATCATGATATTTATCTTTTTTTTTTTTTTTTTTTTTTTTTTTGAGTCAGAGTCTCGCTCTGTCACCCAGGCTGGAGTGCAGTGGCGCGATCTCGGCTCACTGCAACCTCCGCCTCCTGGGTTCACGCCATTATCCCGCCTCAGCCTCCTGAGTAGCTGGGACTACAGGTGCCCGTCACCACACCTGGCTCATTTTATATATATATATATTTTTAGTAGAGACGAGGTTTTACTGTGTTAGCCAGGATGGTCTTGATCTCCTGACCTCGTGATCCTCCTACCTCAGCCTCCCAAAGTGCTGGGACTGCAGGTGTGAGCCACCGCGCCCGGCCTAATCATGATGTTTATCTTTTTTTTTTTTTTTTTTTTTTTTTTTTTAATTTATTTTTTTATTGATAATTCTTGGGTGTTTCTCATAGAGGGGGATTTGGCAGGGTCATGGGACAATAGTGGAGGGAAGGTCAGCAGATAAACAAGTGAACAAAGGTATCTGCTTTTCCTAGGCAGAGGACCCTGCGGCCTTCCGCAGTGTTTGTGTCCCTGATTACTTGAGATTAGGGATTGGTGATGACTCTTAACGAGCATGCTGCCTTCAAGCATCTGTTTAACAAAGCACATCTTGCACCGCCCTT
Source organism: Homo sapiens (assembly GCF_000001405.40). NCBI lineage: Eukaryota > Metazoa > Chordata > Mammalia > Primates > Hominidae > Homo > Homo sapiens. Next base: position 44,664,379 of record NC_000011.10, on the reverse strand, counting down.
AATCCATTTAACCCTGAGTGGACACAGCACATGTTTCAGAGAGCACAGGGTTGGGGGTAAGGTCACAGATCAACAGGATCCCAAGGCAGAGGAATTTTTCTTAGTGCAGAACAAAATGAAAAGTCTCCCATGTCTACTTCTTTCTACACAGACACGGCAACCATCCGATTTCTCAATCTTTTCCCCACCTTTCCCGCCTTTCTATTCCACAAAGCCGCCATTGTCATCCTGGCCCGTTCTCAATAAGCTGTTGGGCACACCTCCCAGACGGGGTGGTGGCCGGGCAGAGGGGCTCCTCACTTCCCAGTAGGGGCGGCCGGGCAGAGGCGCCCCTCACCTCCCGGACGGGGCGGCTGGCCGGGCAGGGGGGCTGACCCCCCCCACCTCCCTCCTGGAGGGGGCGGCTGGCCGGGCGGGGGGCTGACCCCCCCACCTCCCTCCCGGACGGGGCGGCTGGCCGGGCAGAGGGGCTCCTCACTTCCCAGTAGGGGCGGCCGGGCAGAGGCGCCCCTCACCTCCCGGACGGGGCGGCTGGCCGGACGGGGGGGCTGACCCCCCCCACCTCCCTCCCGGACGGGGCGGCTGGCCGGGCGGGGGGCTGACACCCCCACCTCCCTCCCGGACGGGGCGGCTGGCCGGGCAGAGGGGCTCCTCACTTCCCAGTAGGGGCGGCCGGGCAGAGGCGCCCCTCACCTCCCGGACGGGGCAGCTGGCCGGGCGGGGGGCTGACCCCCCCACCTCCCTCCCGGACGGGTCGGCTGGCCGGGCAGAGGGGCTCCTCACATCCCAGATGGGGCGGCGGGGCAGAGGCGCTCCCCACATCTCAGACGATGGGCGGCCGGGCAGAGACGCTCCTAACTTCCTAGATGTGATGGCGGCTGGGAAGAGGCGCTCCTCACTTCCTAGATGGGATGGCGGCCGGGCGCAGACGCTCCTCACTTTCCAGACTGGGCAGCCAGGCAGAGGGGCTCCTCACATCCCAAACGATGGGCGGCCAGGCAGAGACACTCCTCACTTCCCAGACGGGGTGGCGGCCGGGCAGAGGCTGTAATCTCGGCACTTTGGGAGGCCAAGGCAGGCGGCTGGGAGGTGTAGGTTGTAGTGAGCCGAGATCACGCCACTGCACTCCAGCCTGGGCACCATTGAGCACTGAGTGAACGAGACTCCGTCTGCAATCCCGGCACCTCGGGAGGCCGAGGTTGGCGGATCACTCGCGGTTAGGGGCTGGAGACCGGCCCGGCCAACACAGCGAAACCCCGTCTCCACCAAAACCAGTCAGGCGTGGCGGTGCGTGCCTGCAATCGCAGGCATTCGGCAGACTGAGGCAGGAGAATCAGGCAGGGAGGTTGCAGTGAGCCGAGATGGCAGCAGTACAGTCCAGCTTCGGCTCCGCATGAGAGGGAGACCGTGGGGAGGGGAGAGGGAGAGGGAGAGGGAGAGGGAGAGGGAGAGGGAGAGGGAGCCATGATGTTTATCTTAATTCCAATATTAAGAGGTGCATCAGACACTGAGAAACCTACAGGCTTTTATCTCACTTCATGCTCATCACTGGCCTACAGGTTGCTTCTGTGATTAGCTCACCGTTTGTGAATGACAACGTAGTGACAAGCCAGGTGGAACGGAGCCAGGGTTCAGTCCCCAACATCTAGGAGCCTGGTCTGAGTGGAAACAGAGAAGGAAATAAGTATCCCCCAGCCACAGGTGGCACCTCATCTGGGGGCCCCAACCATGGGCTCCCGCTTTGGCTCAGACCCTAGGAGGGCTTCATTGACTGGTGACCTTACTGTGTGTGGCTCCTGTCTGGGGAGGGCCCCAGGACTGACCATATCCCAAGGCCTCTTAGGTGGTCCCACCTGCCCCTGGTCAGCAGCCGAGAAGCAGTGTGCTTGGGAGAAAGAACGCTGGGTGGCAGGCCGAAGGTCTGGGCTCTAGCCCCATCCTACTCTCACCTGCCTTGTCAATTACACACGTCAAGGTCCAGCCACTTCTCTGCATCTCATTCTCCCACAAATCAAGTTTTAGGGGGAGCCAGTGACTCTGAAGGGAGGAAGATGAGAAGGGGAAGCTGACTTTTCATTGCTACCCTTTCAAATTACGTAAACTTTTGAAACGGTATATTACCCATTAAAAATAAAATATTTAAAAAAGTTTAAACTTAAGCCCTTCCGCATTGCCTTGCCTTCCTGAAACTGCAAGAACCTGCTTAGGAAAGTTCCTGACTTTATCCCTGGGCCTGTCTTGCCAATAATGATATCTCAGGGACTGGCAGATAGCAGGAGCCTCCCCCAACACCCTTTATATTCGCTCCTGTGAACGGCGGGTGCATCTGCCTTCCCCATGTACACGCCTGCTGAAGTCAGGCCCCTTGGAACACACAGGCTCTCCTTTGTTCACCCCAGAAACCCCTTTCCCACCCACAGATGTGCAGATAACACATACTCAAACACACAGAAATGCACAGACACACACACAGAAATGCACAGACACAGAGACATACACAGAAATGCACAGACACACTCTCACACAAACATAAACCTACACCGAGACACACACAGATACACATGCGCACACACACTCCCACCCTGCCCACTGGGTTGCTTTGCACACCCCTTAGTCAGGGATTGAGGCATATTTGCTAAATAATAAATGAATGCTGATTCTGAGATCCAGGAAGCCAGACAGCCCGGCTGGGCCCTGCCTGTCTGCAGCCTCCCTGCCTCCCCAGCTCCCTGCAGCCTGTTTGAGTGGGAAGACAGTGCAGAGCTGGGGAGCAGGGCAGGGAGAAACTGCTGAGCTGGCGGGGCTGGCTGGGGTTGGCCGTGACATTTCTCTTCCAAGTTGCTGCAACTGGGAGAGCTGGCATTGGGTGAGGGGGTATCTAAGGAGAAGGGAAGGATAAGAGGGAACTCTGGGAGCATTGCTCTGGCCTGGCCTGGGAATGTCTCCCGCCCCACGCTCCCATGGTCTCTAATGGACTCTCCACACCCTGCAAGTACTTGGGGGCCAGACCAGCTAGGCCACATGTGCTGGGGCTCCCACGCCTTGAGTCACGTCTTCTGTGGCCTGACCCACCCAGCCCAACTGGATTGCTTCTCTGCTAAACTTGAATTTGACTCTCTCCAGCTGCAACACAGTTCATAGGGAGAAGTTATCAGCCCACACTTGTCCTGTGTGGAGTTTTTCTGGGGGGCCTCTCAGGGATCTGGTCACAGGATCACTAGGGGAGTGGACAGCTCCTGTTGAGCTGCGGGTGGTTGTGGTGGGGGAATAGGATTGAGCTCAAACTGCGGGGCTGAGATGGCTTGTTGAGGGCAAGGCACTGTTCTGCCCCTCAGAGAAGTCTGCCTGCACCTGAACCTCTGCAGACACTGCTTCCTCCAGGGCACAGATGTGAGCTCAAGAGGGAAGTTGTACACATCAAGGTTCCAAATTAGAGCCCTGGTTAGAGGCAGACCTATTCCAGGGGTACATCTGTATTAGTTCATTCTCACGCTGCTAATAAAGACATATCCAAGACTGGGTAATTTATAAAGAAAAAGAGGTTTAATGGACTCACAGTTCCACATGGCTGGGGAGGCCTCACAATCATGGCAGAAGGCAAGGAGGAGCAAAGTCACATCTTACATGGCAGCAGGCAAGAAAGAGTGTGTGCAGAGGAACTCCACTTTATAAAACCATCAGGTCTCAGGAGACGTATTCACTATCACGAAAACAGCATGGGAAAAACCTACCCACATGCTTCAGTTACCACCCACTGGGTCCCTCCCTTGACAAGTGGGAATTATGGGAGCTACAATTCAAGATGAGATTTGGGTGGGGACACAGCCAAACAATATCAGCATCTAAGACAGAGAATCTACCTGGCTCTGGAAGGCCCTTCAGGAATTGTCTTGTCTAGTGGTTCACAATTTGGGGTTTTATGCACCAGTTGAAAATTACAAAAAATAAACAGGGGTGCTGTCTGACAAGATTACCATCTACTAGCCCTTATTTCATAAACAAAGTGACACTCTTTAACGTCAAAACTGTTGGAGGAAGGTGGGCGTGGTTTCACGATAATGTACAGTTCTTCACATGGAAACACTTCTCTTTTCAGAAAGCCCAATATTTGGTTTTCTCACTTGGAGATAAAATCTCACCCTCACCATCCCAATGGGCAGGATGGCATTTGGAACAACGGGGAAACTGAGGAAGGCCCAGAAAGAAGGGAGGCATGGAATCTGCACAGTGAGGGGCTGAGGGGATCAGAGGTCACATCTTTGGACTTCAAGTCCAGGGCCCTGTCCCTGTAGCTGATTCCCCAGAGCTAGAAGGGGCAGCAGAGGCCCTGTGAGGGATGGGGGCCTGGTACCTGTGGGTGGCCCCTTTCTGCTTCTCAGAAGAGGCTGGGAGGGGTGGCTGTGGCTGCAGGCTTCCTGCCATATCCACAGGGGAACTGAGCCTATCAGCTGCCCTCAGGTCCTCAGGGCCCACCCCAGAACCAGGCTCAGACTACAGCTTCAAATGCTTGCCTCCTGCGTGACTGCCAGTTCCCTCTGGGAACACTCTGTGCCCTTGGCTGCCAGCATCCCTGGCATGACGTTGCTCCAGTGCCAGGAGGGAGGGGGCCACATGTTCCCCATATGCCAACAGGGTGGGAAGTTTATACTGAACAGCTGAGTCGGCCTCTCCTCCTCCTCCCCGCAGCAGAGACTTTCCTGCCTCTCTTCTCTTTGTCCTCCTCAGAGGACCTCCCACTCCCACCCAAGGAGGAGACAGAACAGAATGTTTCAGCATTAGCAGGGCCCCATGCTGTCCAAAGCATGTCCACATGCATGGGTTTTAATTCAACAAATACGCATGCCCTGAAATCAAACAGAAATCAAACAAGGCACGTGCCCTGTTCCAGGAAGTGCAGGGAGAGGTAAAGGTAAGCTCATCAGAGAACAATGAGTCCTCCAACTCTCCATCCCATTATCCATCCGTTGATCTCTCCATTTCTCCATCCATCCTTCCCTCTGTTTCCTGTTCCTCTCCGTTCCTTCTTCAGTCTCTCCATCCCTTTATTCTTCATTCCCTCTCTACCTTTCAATCTCTTCATCCATCTCTCTCTCTATTCCTCCAGCCACTTCTCTATCCTTCCTCTGATCTTTCCCTTATGCCTCCACCTATCCCTACACCCCATTATCCCTTCATCCAGCCACCATCCATCTTTTCCTACCTCTCTCCATCCCATTATCCATCCGTTCACCTCTCCATCCCTCCCTGGATCTCTCAGTCGCTCCATTATTCCATTCACCTTCTACCCTTCCATCCCTTCATCCTTCCATCTCTCCATTTCTCCACCCACCCCTCCATGCTTCCTACCATTTCTCCATGGCTTCACCAATTCCTTTAACCTATTTATCCTTTTGTCCAGCCATCATTCCCTCCCTCCTTCCATCTCATCTCCTCTCCACCTCTCTATCCTTTCCTGAATTTCTCCATCCCTTCATTATTCTATTCACTTTCCACCCTCCCATCCTTCATCCATCCATGTCTCCATTCCTGCACCCATCCCCTCTATTCTGCCCTCCTCCCTCCCTCTGCTCAGCCCTCTGTCTTTCATCTGGCTAATCAGTCTTCTCTCCACCCTCCCTTCCATCCCTCTACCATTTATTGAGTTCTCCATGAACTAGGAAGTGCCACAGTATCTCCTCAGGGGATCAGCATGCTTCGCCTTGTGACATGTTAATAAATGTTTATTGCCTGGACCTAATGGTGCCCCCAGCCGTCAGGAGCTTGCATGACAGTGCGTTAAATCCACAGCTGACACCAATTCTGCTGGGTCTGCAGGTGGAACTGGGTCTGTGCTTGGGAAGCAGGTGGGCAGAAGAGAAACATTGGAAAGACCCAGCTTTCAAGAGTGCTTACAATGAGCAGAGTCCTCTCACACACTCTCTTTTCCTCCCAGTAGTCCTACGAGAAAGATGTGATTTGTTCCCATTTTATAACTGAGGAGCTGACCAGCAGCCCCGGCCCAGGAAGGGAATCTGAGAGTGCCTCTGCTCTACCATCTGCTCCCTTTTGGGGATCATATGTGTGGTGCCTGTTGTTTTTTTTAAATACAAATAAGAGTGGGTTGATTTATTCATTTTAGCAAACAAAAATAGTAAATTTAATGTAATCCCAATACAATTTCTCAAATGCTCGACTCAAGCAAGGAGAAAGCCTGTGGAAATTTCTAGTTTGGCAGAGTGACAATTTGTTTTTGATCCTCTTTGGGCCTTATTCTACATAACCCCCACTTTTTTCAAAGTAGATATGTGCCACTTTCCATTGTTTTTATAAGCATGTTCCTTACTTACGCTATCAAAGATAGAGGGAGTTGAGATATGGGTCTCTTCCTCTCCTAAAAGCATCTGCTGGCATCGCTGTGACAATATGCAAATGGCAGGGAATATGTTCTGCTTTCCTCAATTATCAGAAAGTCACTCCCACCTGGGTGACAGAGGGAGACTCTGTCTCTTAAAAAATTTTTTAAAAAGGAAGTCATTTTTCTGTTCCTTCAGGCACATCCATAGCAATGCTTGTACTGTGAATTTAAAACTCCCAACCCGATACATATTTTATTTTATTTCTTATTTCTTTTTTTTGAGATGCAGTCTCACTCTGTCACCCAGGCTGGAGTGCAGTGGCACAATCTCGGCTCACTGCAACCTCTGCCTCCCGGGTTCAAGCAATTCTCCTGCCTCAGCCTTTTGAGTAGCTGGGACTACAGGTGCCCGCCACCATGCCAGGCTAATTTTTGTACTTTTAGTAGTCAAATTTTCGCCATGTTGGCCAGGCTGGTCTCGAACTCCTGACCTCAAGAGATCGGCCCGCCTCGGCTGCCCAAAGTGCTGGGATTACAGGCATGAGCCACCATGCCTGGCCCTGATAGCATGTTTTAAAGAGAAGGAATGACATAAGGACAAATAACATGTTATATAACAAATAGCTTTAGCTACTTCTCTTATGCTTCAAACTTTTTGTGCTTAATTTTTTTTTTTGAGATGGAGCCTCTTTGTTGCCCAGGCTGGAGTGCAGTGGTGTAATCACAGCTCACTGCAGCCTCAGACTCCTGGGCTCAAGCGATCCTCCCACCTCGTCCTCTCAAAGTGCTGGGATTACAAGCATGAGCCACCACACCTGGCCTAAAATTTATTTTTAATAAAAAAGGATTGATTTATTATAGTTCAAATATATAAAATTAGCATTCAAACATCTTAAAATCAAACTTCAGAAACAAAAGTTTAACATCAAACAGGAGTACAATTTTCAGGGAGCATCCAGAAAGTAATTCGTTGTCTAGTCCAAAACATTGACAAAGATCATTTCATGATCAATAAAATGCATTTTACCAGTACCTTTTTTTTTTCTTTTTTCCTTTTTCTCATGTCTTCATAAAATCACCAGCAGTTCTATTCCGGCCCACATCTTATTGACTGTGGCTCCATACCTCTTTAGTGGCACTTTTGTTTCTTTGGAATTCTTCCCTTGCCCAGTCCTTCAGGTATTTGTTATCAGAATCATTTGAAACTGGCCGACTTGCTTGCAAAATCTTTTTGTAGCAGAGGAGAACTTGTTGCCACCTCATGAAGTGCTTTAGCAATTTTTTTTTTTTTTTTTTGAGATAGAGTTTTCCTCGTTGCCCAGGCTGGAGTGCAGAGGCACGATCTCAGCTCACTGCTACCTCCACCTCCCTGGTTCAAGCGATTCTCCTGCCTTAGCCTCCTGAGTAGCTGGAATTAAAGGTGCCCACAACCACACCCGGCTAATACTTGTATTTTTAGTAGAGACAGGGTTTCACCATGTTGTCCAGGCTGGTCTTGAACTCCTGACCTTAGATGATCCACCTGCCTCGGCCTCCCAAAGTGCTGGGATTACAGGCATGAGCCACCTCGCCCAGCTGAACTTCTTTAGCATTTGCGTCACCAGTGGGGAAACGGGAATCAGCTATGTCCCCCAGACAGCGTTCCCCTCAGCCCCCTTTTTGGTTTCACCATAAATCTCCCCTTCGGCAAATTCTCTGCCCCAAGCAGAGCCCACTCTCCAAGTCTCCCTGTGTTTGCTTCTACCGTTTCCTCTAGCTTGGAATACCCCAGTCTGCTTTTCCAACAGAACAAATCCTGCCCACTTTCCATACTCATCCCCGAGGACCCCTCCCTCAGGAGGCCTTCCCAGATTGCCCCACCTCCCCCAACTTTAGCAAGAGTTGATGGTTTCCTTTGTTCCCACAAAACTTCATTTACTCCCCCTGTACACACATACCATTCTCTGCCTTATCTGCAGAAGTGTTGGGTGAGGGGGTGTTGTGTCTGTCTTCTCCCTTTGAGCTCCCTAAGCGGGTTGGGGCCTGCTGTCTAAATCACATTGTTCCCCCTCTGCCCCCAACACACACACATAGCCTAACACCAGAACAAGCAGTAGGCAAGGGATAAATGCAGTTGAACCAGATTTATAACCAGGGGTGACATTAGATATTTACTGGTGGGCCAGGCGCAGTGGCTCATGCCTGTAATCCCAGCACTTTGGGAGGCCGAGGCGGGTGGATCACGAGGTCAGGAGATCAAGACCATCCTGGCTAACACGGTGAAACTCCGTCTCTACTAAAAATACAAAAAATTAGCTAGGTGTGGTGGCGGGCGCCTGTAGTCCCAGCTACTCGGGAGGCTGAGGCAGGAGAATGGCGTGAACCTGGGAGGAGGAGCTTGCAGTGAGCCGAGCTTGTGCCGCTGCACTCCAACCTGGGCGACAGAGCGAGACTCCATATCTAGAAAAAAAAAAAAAAAAAAAAAAGAATATTTACTGGCTGGGTGCATTGCGTCATGCCTAGGAGGCCGAGGTGGGCGGATCACCTGAGGTCAGGAGTTCGAGACCAGCCTGGTCAACATGGTGAAACCCCATCGCTACTAAATATACAAAAATTAGCCAGGCGTGGTGGTGCGCCCCTGTAGTTCCAGCTACTCAGGAGGCTGAGGCAGGAGAATCACTTGAACCCGGGAGGTGGAGGTGGCAGCGAGCTGAGATCACTCCACTGCACTCCAGCCTGGGCAACAGAGTGAGACTCCATCTCAAAAAAAAAAAAAAATATTTACTAGCCAGCAGAGTATGGACAGCAGCTAGTCAGAAAGGGAAGAATCAACAAAGCATGACTGCTATCTGTAATTTCCAAAGAGCTTCGGCCTTTGCTAGCCCCTCCTGACCTGACCTCCATCTGAGCATGAGCAAGAGGTTGAGAGGCATTCAGCACTGGGGGAGGTCGGGAGCAGGGGGTAGCCCTGGGCTGTGAACCTTGCCAGGACTTTCTAGCTAGCAAGCACAAGGCTAGGGCTGGAATTCAAGTAGTAGGACTCTCAGGACCCGCACTGTGGGACAGCCCACACCCCTAGCTTGGCTTTGGAGTAGGTCAAGACGTAGCCTGGGTGCAGGTGGTGGGTGGGACTTGTTAGAATAGGGGAAAGGCTGGCATTGTGGAGCCAGGCCTATGCTTGTTACTCCTGGTTGTGTCATGTGTGGGAGCTGAGCCTGCAAGGGCCATTTGGAAAAGAGGCCCCGTCGGTGCCTGCGGGGCTCCCTGCGCTGGCTCTGCAGAGGGCCCAGCTTTGCCAGCCACATGGCGAGGCTGTCTGCAAGACCGGGGAGGCATCGCTGAACTCCCGGAGCCTTGGCTTTATTCTGTAAAATGGATGCAATGGTATTTATGTTATAGGCTTGTTAAGAGCATGGCTTGTGATAAAGCTCTTGCCTGGGTCATAGAACGCTCAAAGTAACATTGGTTCCCTTCCCTTCTGCTCCCCTGCCCCTATACTTGGGCAACCAGGTGGGGAATGGAGGAAGGGGGAAGATGGATGGGGCTTCAGCCACTGCCCAGGCCCCTTCTTCAGCCCAGTTCATTCAACAAGGCAGGTGTCTTGACTACTGACATTGTGAACTTCCTTGTTGGCCCGAAGAGCGGGCCGAGAAAGCAACAGTCCTGCCTCGCCTCTCCTGGACCGTGCCACAGACAGCCCAGGGGCTTGCTCACTAGGGAGGCATTCTCATTGCCATTTGGCAGATGAGACTACTGAGGCTCAGAGAGGCCCACTGTCCCAAGTGGCCCACCTAGGGAGTGGCCATGCTGGGGCGGGGCTCCAGGAGTGTGTCCCCCCAACCAAGTCTGTCTCTTTGATAAGGATGAGAGTGAGCGATTATGCCCAGCGCCACACCAGGCACAGGGAGGTAGTCACAGGGCAAGGTCTGGGCACCAGGGCACTGGCCAGGAGGGCAGTCCTGCATCAGCAAGGAAGGAGAAGCGGAGGGCTTCCTGGGGCAAGAGGAGGATGACCAGCTCCCAGGCCTTAAAGGTCCCCAAGAGAGGCCCTGGCTCCATCAGGAGCCCCATGCCCTGAGACCTCCTTACCAAATGCCCTAAGCAGGAGTCATTGTCTCTCTCAGACCTTGGGTCCCAAGTTCCTTGATGGCAGTGACAGCCTTCTATGGCTACCTTCCTGGAAAAGCAGGAACAAGTCAGGAACCTCTGGCTTGATTACCTTCACCTGCCCAAGGCCTGCCATAAATGGGTCCCAGACAGTGTGCGCAACCCATGGCTTCCGGCTTTCATAAGTGGAAAAGCCGGAGAGGAGAGAACCAGCCAGAATGCTAGGGTGAGAGGGGGAGGGGAGCAGCAACAGGGAAAAGAGCGAAGAGCCCCCCACTTTCCAGGTTCTTCTTGGGGGCCCAGAAACCTGACCTGACCCTGGAGGCTCAGCCCCGTGTTCCTGGCCTCTCCTATTCCATAGCCTCCAGGCTGATTCTGCCCCTTAGAGCTTGCAGGTGAAAAAAGACAGAGGGGAGAACAAGGCAGGCTGCAAAGAGGCGTGTTTCTTTCCTTTCGTGCCTCCCGCACTTTGATCCAGGCAGGAGCAGAAAAGGCAAAGTCAGCAAAATCCACCCCATTTGCTGCCCCCAGCCCTGCAGCTGCCTCCTCCCACCCCCTGGCGCCCCAGGGCTGCCCACAGTTATAAGCTGGAAAGTGCTGGAAAAGCAGTGGCAAGGAGGCCACCCGCTGGGTGACAGGAAAGCCCAGCTCTTCATGGGGATTCCTGGTGTTGCTCCTCACCCACCACTGTGCTCTGCAGTGGGGTGAGGGGGTGAAGGGAGCTAGCACTGGGCAAAGCCACTGTGTGGCAAGCCTTTTATGTCTCCGTCTGTCTTCACAATAACCTGCGATAGGCGTCACTGCCCCCCTTTTACAGATGAAAAGACTGAGGCTCCATGAGTTACACAGCTGGGGAGAGGCGCGGTTGGGACCTGAGCTTAGATGTGTATTTCTTCAGGGACTGCCCACCACGTTGGGGAGGTGGGGTGCAGGTTGCTCTCTATCGTTTACTTTCCAAGTGACACCGCTATTTGTCCTTGGTTGTCTAAGAGGAGAGCTCTTTGCCCAAGAGAGTCCGAGCACATTTGCGGACCATCTTCAAGAATGTCCATTTCACACCATCAGAGTGTTCTCACTGACAGTGTCTTTGGCCACTGCCCGCAATTCTCCAGGGGCACGGTTTTGTGTGGACAACGCAAGTGGCCTCAACAGAACTTCACAGCTTCAGCTCCCCCAGGCCTTGTAATATGGGAGTGAACTCAGGGCCCACGGTCCCCGGCAGGTGGCTGCTGGGTCCCCATCCCCAGGATGCCCTGTGCTCATTAAACACCTGTGGAGGATGAGCAAGAAGATGCTGGTACTGTGAGAAGAAATGCACCAGAAGGTTGGTGTTAGAGTCAGCAGACATGGCTCATAAGAGGTTTCTGCAGCTGTCCAAGAGAATTCATGCTGCTGTTTCCTGGAGAGGTGATTGGACTTTGGGACTGGGGAGCCTTCACTTGGGGATCCCCACAATCTCCAGGCTCCATCACCACCCTCCAAACCTGTCTCCAGCAGAGACAGGGAGATGGGAGGCTCGGCTTCCCAAACATCCTCCAGCCTGGTACCCCCTGTATCCTGTGCTGAGAAAGTATCTTTGGTACCTCCCAAGTTAACTTCAGCTTCTGACAGATTTACTATTTGGCGTGTTTTGTTTGGCTGGGTCTTCAGCCCATCCTCTGTGGAACTCCAAAGCACAGTTCAGCTTGTATGCATGTGAGCCCCCTACCCACAAACCCACCCAGGAGAAAACGCAAAACACTTTCCTTCCACAGTCTGCCTGTTTGGGGACAGAAAATGCCCTCCAGTCCTAGGGCTCTATTAACGGACACTTCAACAGACAGGACCCCAGGTAGAATGGGGTGTCAAAGCCCGGAAGCAGGGGAGCGGGAGAGGGGAAAGGGGGATGGCAGCCCCTGATCCACCCCAGCTGTTCAAACATCCAGGCCCCCTTCCTTCTTCCTTGCAAAATCCCCGGTCAGCACTCAGACTTGGCTCGTGGCCACCCTGGCTCCCTGGGTCCCTGCAGTAAACACCTTGCAGAGATTTCCTCCCGCAGACAGGAGGCTTCTCTCTAAACCTCAGAGGGCAGAAGGCCACCAGCTCTAGGGGAGCCACCAGGGCTGGGCAGAGCAGGGAGTGTAATGGACGACTCCGCCGAGCTCAGAGGCAGGCACAGTAAGGAGCGTGGGAGGAGGTCAGAGGCCACGGTGTTGCCATACCCAGGTCTCCTTGCCTGGGCCCCTTCACCAGTGTGGCATCTGTGTGATGCCTGAAGTCCCGCCATTAGTGACTTCCCCTTTCACCGCACACAGTTCCGCTCCATACACGCTTGACTGCAGCCAACACCAATTCTCCTGCCCTAAACCCTCTCCATGCTTCCACTTCTAGCCATTGTCTACACTGTCCATAGAGTAGCCTTTATGTTTTTTCTGAATGCCTACATTCTGCCCACTCTCAGGCCCCCAGTAAAGTGCTTCCAGATGGGAAGCATCTCCCACCATTGTCTGCTTCTTCTGCCACCCCCCGTGTCTTTTCTCTTGTGGCACTGGCCATTTTCTGCCTTACATGGGAGATATTTGGGTGAGGATCATACCTGTCTTTCTGGAGCTCCAGAGGCCAAGGTGAGCTGAGTCCTGCCAAGTGATCTCCAGAAGGTGCCTAACCCAGTGCCCAGGGACTAAAGAGAGAAACTGACATTTGGTAACAGTAACTTTGCACTTGCTAGTTCTCGACTTACTTGTCTCACTTAATCCTCATGTAAATATGCTGAAGTAGACACTGCTCCTCACATGCCACAGATGAGGCAAATATGGTCAACACTATCATTTTCTATTATTTACATTTTCTAATTGTTTGTACTAAGACCTAGAAATATCATGGATTTTTCCATGTTGATTTTGTATCTAGCAACCTTGCTGAATTCTCCTTAATCCTAATAGTACATCCATTAATTCCTTCCCGTTGTCTATATAAACAGTTGCATCATTTGCAAGTAGGTTTTTTCCCTTTCTTTTCAATCTTTATATCATTTAATTTTTTAAAAATTTACTTTATCTTGTTTTTTCTTTTACTGTGCTGGACCGCTAATACAACCAGAAGTGGCATGAGCAGGCATCTTTGTCTTCTGCCTGATTCTATTTTTATTATTTCTAATGTTTATTTTTAAGAGATAGAGTCTCACTCTGTTACCCAGGCTGGAGTGCAGTGGTGTGACCATGGCTCACTGTAATCTTGAATTCCTGGGCTCAAGCGATCCTCCCCCGTTAGTCTCCTGAGTAACTGGGACTGCAGGTGTGCACCACCACACCCAGCTAAGTTTTTTAAAATTGTTTTTTGTAGAGACAGGGGTCTCGCTATGCTGCCCAGGCTGGTCTCAAAATTCTGGCCTCAAGCAATCCTCCCTCCTCAGCCTCCCAAAGCACTGAGATAAGAGGTGTGAGCCACTGTGCCTGGCCCTGCTTGATTTTAAAGGGAATGTTTTCAATTCTACTTCATGCTAATTGCTTGCTCTAAGCTTTCTGTTGGTACCACTTATTAGGTTAAAGAAAATTTTCTTCTCTTCCCATTTTTCTAAGAGTTTTGTCATGAATGAATGTGGAAATTTGTTGCCCTCTTTTTCTGTACCTGTTGAGACTATGTAGCATCTGTCCTTTGACTTGTCTGATGTGAATTACATTAATCTGTTTCCCAAAGTCAAACCAACTTTGAATTCTTGAGATAAATTGAACATGGACCTGATGTGTTGTGGTTTTCATTCATTAAAAGGTTCTGTTTGCTAATACTGTGTCCAAAGTTTTGTATCCATGTTCAAGGGTAAGGAAGTGTCTTTTTCCATTGAGTTGCATCTGGTTTGGGTATCAAGGTTATACTAACCTCATAAAAATAAGCTACAAGGGCTGGGCATGGTGGCTCACGCCTGCAATCCCAACACCTTGGGAGGCTGAGGTAGGCAGGTCACTTGAGCCCAGGAGTTGGAGACCAGCCTGGGCAACATGGTGAAACCCCATCATCTCTACCAAAAATACAAAAATTAGCCAGGCTTAAGGGCACATGCCTGTCATCCCAGCTACTCAGAAGGCTGAGGTTAAAAAAAAAATGAGCTGAGGGGTATCCTCTCTTTTTCTGACCTCTGGAATATTTTGTGTAGGATTAGAATTATCTGAAACTTGAACGTTTTGTAGAACTTGCCTGTAAAGCTGTCTGAGCTTGGTGTTCTCATTGAAGAAAATTTGAAACTTCGGATTCAGTTTGAGAACTATTAAGATCAGTGGTCCCACACTGAGCCATTTTAGAGGACACTGTTTTACATCACATTTCTTTTGGCATCAATTTTCAAGTTTTATTTTTCTAATTCATTCATGTTACATACTTAAAGAATGTATTTGGATTAAAGTTCATAATGTCTTCTGATTATTTTAATAACTTAATTGTGAAATAATTGACATAAATTGACTTCACATATATAAAGCATACAATGTGATGAGTTTTAACACATATAATGGGATTCAGGACACACTACCCCAAAATATGGCACCTTGCCATTTGAGAAAACATTAGAAACAAGAAGGTCTCTCTGACCTCCCACCCTTCTCCACTGAAGCAGATCATAAGACAATTCTCAAGCCATCCACTAAAGTAAGTCATGAGACCCTCGTTCTAGAGAAGCGCACCTTATATCCAGAGAAAGGTAATTTCCTTCTCCTTGAAGACACAGAGATGCCAAGAATCTGAACAAAAAGGGATCGCTAAGTTCCCCCCAGTTTGTTACCACTAGATCATGCCCCCTTTTGTCCAATCATATTTCTACATGACCATCCATAAAAATACAGTTTTCTCTGCTTCTTTGGGTCTTCATTTCTAAAGTTATTTCTGTGATTTTATTCTTCAAGTCACATAAAACTTATATTAAATAAAACTGCTTGCTTTTCTCTTGTTAATCTGTGTTTTGTTACAGGTGCCTTAGCCATGGACCTTGAGATGTGTGAGAAATCTTTTCTCCCCTACTTAAACACTAGTGAAACTGTCAATGCATTCAAGGTACTGAACATGCCCTCATGTGTCTTGATGCTTCCTCCCCGCTCCTCGCCCAGCTTCCACCCAGGTCAATATCGATCTGCTTTATGTCCCTATATATTTACTCACGTTTTCTAGAATTTTATAAAATGGAATAATACAACATGCACTCTATTTTGCCTGGCTTCTTTCACTCAGTGTCATTATTTTGAGGTTCATCTAAGTTCCCATGTGTATCAATAGTTCATTCCTTGTTAAGGCTGAGTAATATTTTATTGTATATATATATACACCATCATTTGTTTATTTTTCACCTTTCAATGGACATTTAGGTTGTTTTTGGATTTGACTACTGCCATCACTGTTGGTGTAGAAATTATTAAATGAACATATGCTTTTATTTCTACCGGGTTAAACAGAGGTTGAATGGCTGGGTCATATGGCAGATATATACTTAACTTTTCAAAAAACTGCCAAACTGTTTTTCAAAGTAGTTTTGCCATTTTACATTTCCACAAGCAGTGTATGGTAGTTCTAATAGTTCCACAAGCAGGGTATGACAGTTCTAATCCTTGCTAACATTGGGTATGGTCAGTCTTTTTAATTTTAGAGATTCTAATTTTAGAGATTCTAATGTGTAATTGTACCTCACTGTGGTTTTAATCTGCATTTGCCTATTTGGCTAGTGATGTTGAGCATCTTTTATGTGCTCAACATACTGTACTGTACATCATATTGTAATGTACATATTGACATTTGTACTGTACATCTTCCTTGGTGAAGTATTTGCTCAATATTTTTGTCCATTTCTAATTTTTTTTGTCGAATTTTAAGAGTTCTTTATGTATTTTGGATACAAGTCTTTTATCAGATATGTGATTCACAGTTTGTCACTGTTTGTGACTTACTTTTGAGTCTCTTAATAATGTCTTTTGATACATGTGGCCAACAAACATAAAAAAAGCTCAACATCACTGATAATTAGAGAAATGCAAATGAGATTTGTTTTTTTAAGAGAAAAAAACAATGTCTTTCGGAGAGCAGAAGTTTTTAATGCAACATCACTGATCATTAGAGAAATGCAAATGAGATAACACAAAAGAGGTATCTCAAACCACAATCAAATAGCAAAACCACAATGAGATACCATCTCATGCCAGTCAGAATGGCTATTATTAAGAAGTCTAAAAACAACAGATGCTGGCGAGGTTGTGGAGAAAAAGGAATGCTTTTATGCTGTTAGTGGGAATGTAAATTGGTTCAACCATTATGGAAGACAGCACGACCATTCCTCAAAGACCAAGAGGCAGAAATACCATTTGATCCAGGAATCCCATCACTGAGTATATACCCAAAGGAATTTAAATCATCCTATTATAAAGAAACATGCACATGAATGTTCATTGCAACACTTCACAATAGCAAAGACATGGAATCAACCTAAATGCCCATCAATGATACACTGGATAAAGAGTATGTGGTAAATATACGCAATGGAATACTATGCAGCCATAAAAAGGAATGAGATCATGTCGTTTGGAGGGACATGGATGGAGTTGGAAGCCATTATCCTTGGCAAACTAATGCAGGAACAGAAAACCAAACATCACATGTTCTCACTAATAAGTGGGAGCTAAATAATGAGAACACATGGACACATGGTGGGGAATGCCACACCTTGGGACCTGTTGTAGTCGGGAGTGGGAGAGCATCAGGAAGAATAGCTAATGGATGCTGGGCTTAATACCTGGATAATGGGATGATTTTTGCAGCAAACCATCATGGCACACATTTATCTATGTAGCAAACCTGTACATCTTGCACATGTACCCCTGAACTTTAAAAAGTTGAAAAAAGGAAAAAAAAGTCTTTTGAAGAGCAGAAGTTCTTAATGTTCATGAAGTCCAGTTTTTCAATTTTTTCTTAAATAGCCCAAGGTCACAAATATCTTCCCTTATGTTGTCTTCCAGAAGTTTTATAATTGTAAGTTTTACATTTAAATCTATGGCCCATTTGAGTTAATTTTTATATATGATGTGATATTTAGATTGAAGTTATTTTTTAATATGGATATCCAATTACTGCAGCACCATGTGTCCATGTGTCCACTGAATTGCCTTTGTACCTTTGTTCAAAATCAGTTAACCATATATAAGTGGGTCTAGCTACAGACCCTTATTTGTGCCATTGTCTATTTTGATGCTAATATCACACTGTTTTGATTACTGTGGCTTTGTATAAAGACTTGAAGTGAGATAGTGTAGTCCTCTGACTCTGCTTTTTTTTTTTTTTTTTTTCATCAAGATCGTTTTTGCTATTTTGGGTTCTTTGCATGTCCAAGTGAATTTTAGAATCAGCTTGTCACTTTCTACAAAAATAATTTGCCCACATTTTGATTGGGATAGAGTCGAATCTGTAGTTCAATCTGGGAAGAACTGACACTAACAATATTTGATCTTCCAATCCATTAATATGGTATATCTCTCCATTTATTTAGGTCTTCTTTAACTCCTCTCAGCAATATTTTCTAGTTTTTAATATACAGGTTTTCATGTCTTTTGTCAGGCTTATCCCTAAGTATTTTATGTTTTTGATATGTTTGTAAATGGTATTTTTTGTTTCAATTTCCTATTGTGACTGGTATATAGAAATACAACTGATTTTTACATATTGATCTTATATGCCACCACCTTGCTTAATCCACTTATTAGTTATAACAGTATGTTTACAGATTCCATAAAATTTGTTGCATAGATCATCATGTCATCTACAAAATAAAGACAATTTTACTTTTTAAAAAAATGATCTGGATGACTTTTATTTCTTTTTCTTACCTGAACGCACTGGCCAAAACTTCCAGTACTGTGCTGAATGGAAGTGGTGACAGCAGACATCCTTGCCTCGTTCCTCATCTTAGGGGGAAAGCATTCAGTCTTTCATCATTAAGTATGTTAGTTGTATGTGTTTTTTAGTTACCGTTTATCAGATTGAGGAAGTTCCTCCCCTCCTCCCTTCTCTCCTCTCCTCTCCTCTCCTCTCCTCTCCTCTCCTCTCCTCTTATTGCTGAGAGCTTTTATAAGGAATGGATTTTGGATTTGACAAATACTTGCACTGCATTCATTCAGATGACCAGATGACATTCCTTTGTTAGTCTGTTAATATAATGAATTATATTGATTGATTTTTGAATCTTAAGCCAAACTTATGTTTCTCTAGTAAAACTCCACTTGGTCATGATGTATTATGAATTTAATATATTGTGCTGCAGAAAGATGGTGTATTAAAAATTAATATATTGTTATGCTTACTTCAATAACACTTTGGCTAATAATTTTTACATTTATGTTCATGAGAGAGATTTATCTATACCAAACACATAGTCTTCTATTTTTATAATGGCTTTATTTGGCTTTGGTAACAAAGTAATGCTGGCCATATGATACAAGTTAAGAATATGTCACTTTTTAAGTTTTTGAAAGAATCTATGTAGAACTGGTATTGTTTCTTTCCATAAAAGTTTGGTCGGATTCCCCAGTGAAGCTGGGCCTGGCATTTTCCTTGTTCAAGGTTTTGAACTACATATCCAATTGCTTTGTTAGGAATACAGTTATTTAAGTTATTTTCTTCTTGAGTAAGCTTTGATAATTTGTATCTTTGCAGGAATTTTTTTAATCTAAGTTGTCAAACTTATTGACATAAAGCTCATAACATCTCTACATTTTCTTGTTAGTGTCTGTAAAACCTTTAGTATTATTACTTCTCTTATTCCTGATATTGGTAATTGAAGTTGTGTCTGTTTTTATCTCGACCAATCTGGCTGGAGGTTTATCAATTTTATCGATCTTCTCAATGAATCAACTTTTGGTTTTATTGATTTTTCCTCTATTGCTTTTCTGTTTTATCATCTTTCACTCTGATCTTCACTATTTCCTTTCTATTTTCTTGGGTTTAATTTTCTTTTCTGTTTCTAGTTTCTTAAGATGAAAGCTGAGATAATTGATTTCAGATGCTTTTTCCTAATATATATACTTAATAATATAAATATCCCTCTAAATATTGCTTTACCTGCATCCCCTAATTTTTAATATCTCATTTCCATTTTCATTTAATTCACAATAATTTCCTTTTGATTTCTTCTTTCACCAGTAGGTTATCTAGAACTTTTCAATTATTAGTTTCCAAATACTTAGAGATTTTCCAGGTGACTTTCTATTAATAATTTCTAATTTAATTTCATTATGGTCAAAAAACATACCTTGTTTGATTTGAATGCTGTAAAATGTATGGCAACTTGTTTTGTGGACAAGAATATAATCTATCTTGGTAGATAATCTATGTGTACTTTAGAAAAAGAATGTGTATTGTGGTATTGTGAGTGGAGTGTTTTACAAATATTAGATTGAGGTGATAGACTTGTTCAAGTCATCAGTATACTTATTAATTTTCTGTTTTGTCTTAGCTGTCCTTGAGAGAAGATTGCTGAAGTCTCCAACTGTAATTATGGATTTCTCTATTTCCCCTTGTAGTTCTGTCCATTTGGGCTTTGAAACTCTTTTGTTAGGAGCATAAACGTTTAGGATTGTTGTTTGTTTTTCCTTGATGAATTCACCTCTCTATCATTTTGAAATGACACTCATACTTGGGCATAGTCTTTGCTTTGAAATCTACTTTGTTTAATATTAATATGCTTACTTCAGCTTTCTTTTGATTAGTGTTAGCCAGTATAACTTTTTTCATACTTTTAACCTATTTGTGTCTTTATATTTGTAGGCAGCATATAATTAAGTCTTACTTGTCTATTCAATCTGACAATCTCTTCCTTTTAACTGGGGTGTTTAGGCCATTCATATTAATGTGATTACTAATATGGTTGAATTTAAATCTAGCATCTTGTTATTTATTTTCTCTGTGTCTCACATGTTCCTTGAAGACACCAATTTTCTCCTTTTTCTGCCTTCTTTTGAGTTGAGTATTTTTATCTTGTTTTTTATCTTATTGCCTGTAATCCTTTGTTGTGTTATTTTAGTGTTTAGATTTTATAGTATAGTATAACTATAAAACTTATAGTACATAGTTATAGTATAACTATAAAACTTATTGGTCTACTTGCAAGTGATACACCACCACTTCTTGAGTATAAAGTGTGTACAAGAATATACTTCTATTTCTCCTCTTCCTGTTTTTGTGCCATTTTTGTCATACATTTTACTTCTATGTGTATTATAAAATTCCACCACATTGCCATTTTTTTGCTTTAAATAGTAGATTATATTTTAAAGATATTTAAATAATAATAAATACATTTTATACTCATATAGTTAACATTTTTATGCCTTTTATTCCTTTGTGTACATCCAGATTTTCATCTGGTATCATTTTTGTTCTTTTGAAGGACATTATTTAACATTTTCTATAGTGCAGATTTGCTAGTCATGAAATGTGTCAGCTTTTGTATGTCAGAAAAGATTTAATTTCACTTCTGTTTTTGAAAAATATTCTTGCTGAATAAAGAATTCTAGGTTGGCAAACTTTTTAAATGCTCCTCTGCCTTCTGACTTGCATTATTTTCAATAAAAAGTCTGCTGTCATTTTTATCTTTCTTCTTCTGTTCATAATGTGTCTTTTCTTTCTGGCTGCTTTTAAGATTTTGTCTTTATCAGTGATTTCAAATAACTTAATTATAATGGTGGCTTAGTGTCATTTTTTTTCGTATTTTCTGTGTATATTTATATAATCACATTTGGAAAAATTGTGGTCATTATTTCTTCAGATATTTTTTAGCCTCCCTTCCTTCCTTTGAAGACTCCAGTTGCACATCTATTAGGCTGCTTGAAGTTGTTCCCACATCTCCCTGATACTATACTCATGGTTTTTAATTTTTTTGGTCCCTTCTCTAGCCATGTTTCTTTTGGTTAATTTCTATTGCAATGACTTCAAGTTCACTTGTAGTGTTTAATCTGCCATTAATCCCAGAATATTTTTTTTATCTCAAGTGTTGTAGTTTTTATCTATCTCCCTGGTCAATTTTAGTTGAATGGTATACATTATGAATTGTATCGTGTTAGATGTTGCATATTTGAGTATTCCTATAACTATTCTTGAGCATTGTTTGGAATTCAGTAAAGATACTTGGAAACAGATGGATTCTTGTAGGTCTTGCTTTTAAACTTTATTAGATGGGACCAGAGAAACATTAAGTCTAGGGCTAATTTTCCCTCAAAACTGAGACAACTCTTTTGAGTATTCCACCCATGATTCATAAATTATGACATTTAAAAAATCCTGGCTGGTGCTAACAAGAACTATCCCCAGGCCTGTGCGAGCTCTAATCTTGTCTAGTGGTTTTATACCCCCAGACTTGGGTATGTTCCTCACATGCATGCATTAATCAGTACTCATTTGAATATTCAAGGAGGATCTCCTACCTCCAGAATTCTCTCTCTGTACAGCTCTCTCTTTTCCAGGACTCTTCCCTGTGAACTTGACTTTTTGGCCTCTTATAACTCCCAGTTCCATTACCTTAACTCAGGAAGCTGACAGGCTCCCCCAGGACTCCTCTTCCCTGTGTTATGGCCTGTAAACTCTCTATACAGTAAGTTGGAGACCATTAAAAATGTTCTAAAATTGTTGGTTGCACAAATCTGTGAATATACTAAAAACCATTGAATTGTACACTTTAAATTGGTGAATTGTGTGGTATATGAATTATATCTCAATAAAGCTGATATTTTAAAAAATATATAGGCCAGGCACAGTGGCTTATACTTTTAGTCCCACCACTTTGAGAAGCTGAGGTGGGAGGATCACTTGAGTCCAGGAGTTCAAGACCAGCCTGGGAAACATAGTGGAGCTGCTGTTTGTACAAAAAATAAAATAAATAAAAACAGAAATATATAAGCATGTAGTCTCAATGATAAAATAACTAGCTTAGAGCTGGAATTTAATTTTTAATTTTGTCTGAAAAATTTATCTTTTAGTCAGAACACTGAGTCCATTTATATTTCTTGTGATTACTGATATATTTGGGTGTATTTCCACCATCTTATTTTGTGGTATGTGTACAGCTTTTTCAGTTTTTTTCTCTTTCTTGCCTCATTTTGAATTAAAAGAATTTGATCCTCACTGAAAAACATACAGTATGAACAACTAAAAGTAATGTTATTCACTAATGCCTAAAACCCAGCATTCAAAATGTCTGTCTGTTTTTAGATGAGCTTTGCCTTCTTTATGGGACTCTACCCATAAGTACATCTCCTCTGTGATCTGCTTATCTGGTCAGTCATGATCAGGTCTAGTTTTGTATATGTGTTTAGTTCCATTTCCCCCTCTACTAGTCGAGCAGTTTTATTTTCTCTGTACAGTCATGTGCCACTTAACGATGGGGATACATTCTGAGAAATTTGTCATTAGGTGATTTTGTCATTGTACAAGCATCATAGATTATACTTAAACACAAACTGGATGGTATAGCCTACTACATACTAAAGCTATATGGTATAGCTCATAGCTCCTAGGCTACAAACCTGTACAGCATATTACCGTACTGAATACTGCAGGCAATTGCAACACAGTGATAAGCATTTGTATATCTAAACATACCTAAACGTAGGAAATATAATGCATTGTGCTACAATGTTATGATGGCTGATGCTTACGATATCACTAGGTGATTGGAATTTTTCAGCCCCACTACAATCTTACGGGATCTCCATTGTTTATGAAGTCTGTCATTAACCAAAACATCATTATGTGAAACATGGCTGTATATCCTTATTACTTAACAAGATAAAGTCAATATAATTTTACTCTCTTTCCAAACAATACAAAGATCTCATAACACTTTAATTCCATTTACTCTCCTTCCACCTACCAGCTACTATTGTCCAATATTTTAGTTTTATTTTGAGAAATCAGCTCCCCACAACCAGACATTATATCTCTTGTACATGCAGTCATTATGTTTTGAATTTAACCACACATGAATCATTATCTTTGCCCACCATTCTTTCTTGCATCTCAGAATTTCCAACTCTCAGATATTTTTCTTTCTGTCTAGAGTACATTTTTAAAAAAGCTTTATTGAGATATGGTTTGTATACCACAGAATTCGTCCATTTAAATTGTGGAGTTCAATGATTTTTAATATATTCACAGAGTTTTGCAACCACCACCACAATCAACTTTAGGACATTTCCATCATCCCAACAAGAAACTTTATAACCCTTGGTAGCCACTCCTCATTTTTCCTCAAATCTCCCAGCCCTAGGCAACCACGAATCTACTTTCTGTCTCTGTAGATTTCCCTATTTTTGACATTTCGCATAAATAGAATCATACAATATGTGGTCTTTTGTGGCTGGCTTCTTTCACTTAGCATAATGTTTTCAAAATTCATTGTGTTACAGCATGTACTCCATTTTTTTTTGTTCTGAAATAATATTCCAATGTATGAATATACCACATTTTACATACGCATTCATCCCCCAAAGTTACATTTAGGTTTTTTGCACTTTTTGGCTGTTATGAATAATGCTCCTATGAGCATTTGTGTGTAAATTTTTATGTAGATGTATGTTTTCAGTTTTCTTGGGTATATATCTAGGAGTGAAATTGCTGGGTCCTATGATAACTCCATGTCTAATATTTTGAAGAATTGTTGAACCTCTTTCTAAGGTGGCTGCACCATCTTACCTTCCCACCAGCAATGTGTGAGGGTTTCTGTTCCTCCACAGCCTTGCCAACACTTGGTATTTTCTTTTTCTTTTTCTTTTTTTTTTATTTCCCTCCTTGTGTGTGTGAAGTAGTATTTCATTGTAGTTTTGATTTGCATTTTCCTGCTGATTAAAGATATTAAGCCTGTTTTCATGTGCTTATAGGCCATTTGCATATATTCTTTTTTTGTTTGTTTCTTGAGACAGAGTTTCGCTCTTGTTGCTCAGGCTAGAGTGCAGTGGGACGATCTTGGCTCACTGCAACCTCCGCCTCCCGGGTTTAAGCAATTCTCTTGCCTCAGCCTCCTGAGTAGCTGGGATTACAGGTGTCCACCACTGCACCCGGATAATTTTTGTATTTTTAGTAGAGACGGGGTTTCACCATCTTGGCCAGGCTGGTCTCGAACTCCTGACCTTGTGATCCACCGGCCTCGGCCTCCCAAAGTGCTGGGATTACATGCGTGAGCCACCATGCCTGGCCTATTTGCATATATTCTTTGGAGAAATGTCTATTCAAGTCCTTTGCCTATTTTTCAAATAGATTATTATTTGTCCTTTTAATATTGAGTTGTAAGAGTTCCTTATATATTCTGGGTACTAGTCCTTTATCAGATATATGATCTCCACATATATTCTCCCATTCTATATTTGTCTTTTCACTTTCTTCATGATATCTTTTAAAGCACAATGCTTTAACCTTAAATAAAGTCCAATTTATCTATTTTTTTCTTTTGTTGCCTGTGCTTTTGACATCATGTCTAAGAAGGTTTTGCGTAATCCTAGGTCACTAAGTTTAAACCTATGTTCCTAAGTTTTGTTATAAGAGTTTTATAGTTTTAGCTCTTTCATTTAGGTTTATGATCCATTGTAAGTTAATTTTAGTGCATGGTGTAAGGAAAGAATCCAACTTCATCCTTTTGCATATGGATATCCAGTTGTTCTAGTGCCATTTGTTGAAAAGAATATGTTTTCCCATTGAATTGTCTTGGCATCCACCCTTTTTCATAATGTATGATTTTATTTCTGGATTCTCAATTCTCTTCCATTGATCCCTATGTCAATCTTTTTGCCAGGACTACAGTCTTAATTACTTCAGCTTTGTAGTAAGTTTTAAAATCAGGAAGTGTGAGTCCTCCAACTTTGTTCTTTTTCAAGTCTGTTTTATCTATTCTTGGTCCTTTATATTTCCATATAAATTTTAGGATCAGCTCATCAATTTCTGTAAAACAGCCAGCTGGGATTTTGATAGGGGTGGCACTGAATCTGTAAATCAATTTGGGGTGCATTTCCATCTTAATAATATTAAATTTTCCAGTCCATGAACAGAAGCAATCTTTCCATTTATTTAGGTTTCCTTTAATTTATTTCAATCATATTTTACAGTTTTAAGGGTGCAAGTGTTGCTCTTCTTTTGTTAAATGTATTCTTTAGTTTTTAAAATTATTTTTAATGCTATTGTAAGTGGAAATGTTTTTCTTAAATCCATTTTTCTCAGATTATATGTTGCTAATGTATAGAAATACAATTATCTGTATACATTGATTGTGTATCCAGCAACCTTGCTAAATTTGTTTATTAGTCTAATAGTTCTTTAGTTGATTCTTTACCATTTTCTATAGAGAGGAACATATCATCTGCAAATAAAGATAGTTTTACTTCTTTAATTTTTTTCTTGCCTAATTTCCTGGCTACAATCTCCAGTACAATGTTAAATAGAATTGGTGATAGCAGACATCCTTATCTGTTCTTGACCTTAGGAAGAATATTCTTTAGACTATCCTTTAGTGAGGTCCATTGTGGTAAACTCAGTGTTTTCTTTTTTTTTCCCTTTTGAGACAGGGTCTCAATCTGTCACTCAGGCTGGAGCGCAGTGATGATTTCCCCACCTCAGTGTCTCAAGTAGCAGGGACTACAGGCATGAGCCACCACACCCAGATAATTTTTGTATTTTTTTGTAGAGACGGCGGGGGGGGTCTCATCATGTTGCTTGGGCTGGTATCAAACTCCTGAGCTCAAGCAATCCGCCCGCCTCTGCCTCCGGAAGTGCTGGAATTACAGGCATGAGCCACCATGCCCGGCCCCTCCCAGTTATATTACATCTTTGTTCTTGAAATGTGGATTCACCAGATACAGAATTCTAGGTCAACAACTATTTTATTTCAGCAATATAAATTTAAAATACACTAAAAATATTATTCTACTGTCTTCTGAATTGAATTGTTGCTGCTGAGAAGTCAGCCACCTGTCTAAAGGCTGTTTCATGTGTGGTTTTTTTTTTTTGGGGGGGGTCCAGCTGGCTGCTTTTATGATCTTTTTCTTTAAAGTATAATTTCTCTTTAATTGACATATAATAAGTGTACATATTTATGGAGAACAATGTGATGTTGTGATACATGTAAACATTGTGTGATGATCAAATCAGGGTAATTAACAAATCCATCACCATTTATCATTTCTTTGTGGTGAGAACATTCAAAATCCTCTCTTCTAGCTATTTTGAAATATACAATACGTTATTGTTAACTATAGTCACCCTATTGTGCAACAGAACACTAGAACTTACTTCTCCTAACTGTAACTTTGTACCCATTGACCAATCTCTTCTCATTCATCCCTCCTCCCTACCCTCCCCAGCCTCTAATAACCACTATTCTACTCTACTTCTATGAGATCAACTTTTTTAGAGTTCACTTATGGATGACAACCTCTCTTTCTTAATTCTGCTGCTTCACTTTAACGTGTATAGTGGTGGATTTCCTTTTATTTTTAGTGTTTAGAAATTACTGAGTTTTCTGGGTCTAAGGTTGGATGTCTTTTGACAATTCTTAAAAACTGTCAGTTACCATCTCTTCAAATATTGCCTCTTCCCCATACTTTCCCTCTTCTCTTTCTAGTATTCTGACTGAACATGTCAGATCTCTATCCTCCACATCTTTTACTTTTCTTTTCTACTTTCCAACTCTTTTTCACTTTGAACTATATTCAGGATAATTTCTGCAGTTTCGCCTTATATTTTACTAATTCTGTCTCCACAGGTATGTACTCTTATTTGACCATACATACTTTGAATTCTGCCATTTCAATGACTGTATTTCCCAGTTCTAGAAGTTTCATTTGGCAGGGTGTGATGGCTCATGCCTGTAATCCCAGCACTTTGGGAGGCTGAGGCAGGTGGATCACCTGCGGTCAGGAATTCGAGACTAGCCTGGCCAACATGGTGAAACGCCATCTCTGCTAAAAATACAAAAAATTAGCCAGGCCTGGTGGCAGGCGCCTGTAATCCCAGCTACTCAGGAGGCTGAGGCTGGAGAATCATTTGAGCCCTGGAGGCAGAGGTTGCAGTGAGCCAAGATAGGGCCATTGCACTCCAGCCTGGACAACAAAAGCGAAACTCCATCTGAAAAAAATAAATAAATAAAAGTTTCATTTGATTAATTTCCAAATCCATTTTGTTGTACAAGCTCTGGTTACTTGTTCATATTTTCAAGCTTCTCTTATTTTTGAAACATCCTATATTTTGCATCCAATTTCAATGTCACACGTCTTTTCTGGTCTGATTCTCCTGTCTGTTGTTTATGCTGACTCTCATTCCTGGTATTTCATTTCTTTGTGTGTTTTATAATTTTTCTATTGAGACCTCTTATTTCCTGGAACATTATCTGTAGGAGTCTTTACAATTACATCCCTCCAGAGAGAGTTTATATTTGATCCTGCACATCATGTTTGAGCATTACCAACCTGGGACTACATGAAACTGAAATCTCTACTGGAAGTTTACTGATGCACATAGGTAGCACCAATTCAGGTGCAAAGGCACATCAGGGCTGGCTTATGCTTCTGCATTCTCATTGTAGACATTTTTCCTCTTCCACAGGATGTCATGCTTAAGATGGATACATTTCCTTGCTTCCCCTCTGTGCAGTGGAGTTACTTATGCTTTTTTTTTTTTTTTTTTTTAGGTGGTGTTTCGCTCTTGTCACCCAGGCTGGAGTGCAATGGCTTGATCTCGACTCTCTGCAAACTCCACCTCCCGGGCTCAAGCAATTCTCCTGCCTCAGCCTCCCGAATAGCTGGAATTACAGGCGTGTACCACCACCACACCCAGCTAATTTTTTTTTTTTGTATATTTATTAGAGACGGGGTTTCACTATGTTGATCAGGCTGGTCTCGAACTCCTGACTTCAGGTGATCCACCCACCTCAGCCTCCCAAAGTGCTGGGATTACAGGTGTGAGCCACCACACCCGGCTGGAGTTATTTATTCTTTACCCTTACACTAGGAATTGAGTTCTGTAAGATCCCAATTTCATGAGGAATTCTCTTATAGACCCTCCACCTTGAGCAAGCCACATAACTCTTACTACTATTATGTGATTTTTGGTGGTGGTGATGTGTGTAGGTGTGGGTTTTGTGAAGCACCTGGCAAGACTAATGTTCTGAGGGACACCCTTGAAGTGTTGGTTCATTGGCACCTGCTGGGGCAGCCCAGGTGATCTTCCAGAGATCAGACAGAGATCTTGGGCAGGGCAGATTACAGCAGACCCTGCTGCCTTCTGATCTCCCTGGAGGAATGGGAGGAAGGCTTTCCTCCTCCCAATGCCAAGCCAACCAACCTTCAGCATTCTGAATTCTGGGGCTCCAGACCCCAGGTGCTGGGGGATAGAGATTGATGGCCTGGTTGTATTTCAAGGTTGTTCCTGAATAAAACCTCCATTCAGGTATTTATTTGGGAAGAAGAGAGAAGAGCCAGTGCTGGGAGTTGGGATTGCGCCTTTGGCCACAATGAGGAGGAAAAATCGCTGCAATCAAAGTGAGGAGGAGTGCTTAGAATTTCCACGGGCAGCAAGGTCCAAGGCCCACTCCCACGTGGCCCCCCACACCGCGGGATGGCTGCTGTGATCCCAGGAAATGGGTGTTGACCTCACAGCTTGACAGCATTGGTGAAAAGTCCTTGTCTTTCAGCTAACCCTGACAGCAAAGGACCAGCCATTTAGTTTTGAAATGGACCTTGAGGAATTCGGAGTGAACACCCCACAGGCAACCGAGATGGACTGAAGGTCCCCTTGTAAGTGGAGCAGGGGCTTGCGGTGCATGGTGTCTTTGAAGCCTCACACCCGCTCACTCGCCCCCGGAGGCAGGTCCTATTATCATCCGAGATGAAGCTGAAAGAGATAAAGTCCCTTGTCCAGGGCCACCCTGCTGGTGAGGGGAAGAGCCTCAGTGTGCATTGGGGTACGTCTGGCTGGGTCTCCAGGACTATAACTGCTCGAGCTGAGCAGCCTCCAGCTGGGGAAGCATCAGACCAGATCCCACCCACCAGGAAGCCTGGGGTGGGGGGAGGATCTTCATGTTGGTCCCAGGGCACAGCCCCTCCCCCACCCAGGATGTGTCATTCTCACAGGGGCAGCCAGGGGTGAAGGGTAAGCCGGCCGGGGGCGGGGTGGGACCAGGGAGGGTGACGTCACCGCCGGGCTTAGTAATGCTTTGGCAGAGCCTGAAGCTCCCACCTTGGGAGGGAGGGGAAGGAGGAGGGGCATCGCTGGAGCCAGCATCCAGGAGGCTGCCAAGTCGGTGATCAGGGACGGGCACCCTGCCAGGAGCACCCCAGACCAGGCCTCCTGGGAAGGGGGGGACTCTGGGAGAGGAGAGACACTCTTGGTGTGCTGGGAGGGGACCCTGCAAAGCGGTGTCTGTATCAGATTGAGTGCAGAGTGATCCTCGGACTGTCTGTCCATCTGACTGGCAAGGCTGGCGGCCAGCCATCCCCTGATCAATGCCCAACTGTCTGACCGCCTGACCGTTGAGTCCCGTCACTGGCAGATGGACTGCCTGACTGATTTACATGACTGATGCTTGGAGGAGCCATGAAGGATGGGCCAAATCTCTGTCCACATCCGTGAGACCCTGGGCTACCCTCTGAACCTGATGCCACCTCTTATAAACACCCAGGGTCAAGCGAA
Source organism: Homo sapiens (assembly GCF_000001405.40). NCBI lineage: Eukaryota > Metazoa > Chordata > Mammalia > Primates > Hominidae > Homo > Homo sapiens. The sequence continues at coordinate 44,634,294 of NC_000011.10, read as the reverse complement.
AGAAGAGAGAAAATTAGCATCTACTGAGGTTTATCAAATACCCAGCCTTGGGCCAGATGCTGGAGGGACACAGCCAAATCTGACAGGGACCCGCCCTCAGGAGCCCACATTCTAGTAGGGGAGACAGAGTCACAGCCGTAATGACAGAAACCAGTGCATTAGATAAGCAAAATCAGGCGAAAGGGAAAACAGCTTTATTCTTGTCACCCAACATTTTTATTTTTTATTTTTTTTTACTTTTTATGATTCCTTCTCCGGTGGAAGTTCATCCCCCCATTCCTGGATGAAAACTCGGGCAGCCCCACAAGTTTTCTGCCCCCGGTTAGGTGATAAAAATTCTTAGGTCACTTTAAATTGCAAATACAGAGTCAGGTTGGCATTAAAAGTGTCTGGTCCGAGGTAGTAACTGCATCTTTGAACTTGGTTCAAAGCTAACCCTTCTTTCTGCCCTTGCTGCCCTCTGCAGGCAGCAAGCTGGAGAAGGGGCTTGGACCTACTTTGCCCCTGCACATGCCCTTGCTCCATGCCCCTCTTCCCGCATGTTGCTACAGACTGAGCACCCCTAATTCAAAAATTCAAAATCTGAAATGCTCCAAAATTCAAAACTTTTTGAGTACCCATGGCATGACACTACGAGTGTAGAATATTCCACCTAACCTCTGCTTTCTGATGGTTCAATATGCACAAACTTGGTTTCATGCACAAAGTTATTTCAAATAGTGTAGAAATTACCTCCAGACTATGTGTGGAAGATGCATATGAAACATAAATAAATTTTGTGTTTAAGGCTTGGGTCCCATTCCCAAGATATCCTATCATGTATCTGTAAATATTCCCAAATCCAAAAATATCCCAGATCTTGTCCGGGCACGGCGGCTAATGCCTGTAATCCCAGCACTTCGGGAAGCTGAGGTGGGTGGATCACTTGAGGCTAGGAGTTCGAGATCAGCCTGGCCAACATGGTGAAACCCCATCTTTACTAAAAAACACAAAAATTAGCCGAGCGTGATGGCGTATGCCTGTAATCCCAGCTACTTGGGAGGCTGAGGCTGGAGAATCACTTGAACCTGGGAGGTGGAGGTTGCAGTGAGTTGAGAATGTGCCGCTGCACGCCAGCCTGGGCAACAATAGTGAAACTCTGTCTAAAATATATATATATATATATATCCCAAATCTAAAACACTTCTGGTCCAGACATTTTGGATAAGGGACACTCACTCTGTATTTGCAGTTCCGGGGCTGCCAGGGCATAGCCCAGAAGGGAGAGGAGTCGGGAAGGAAAGGTTTTGTCTCACCGGTCCTGTTGTGGGATGGCTTCTGCTCACAGGGCCCGGCAGGGGGCAGGGCTGACTCTGTGGATTCTTCTGGACGCCTCCTTCCTGTCCCGGGAGGCTTTGGCTGCACTTCCCACACCGTGGGCCAGGGGCATCCTGTAGGTGGCTGCTGCCCGCTCTAACCCTGGCTTTCCATGCCCACCCCACACTCATGCTCTGCTGTAGCCCTTCCCAGATTTACTTGTCCACATAATTCTGAAGAGGAGGAGGAGGAAGAGCTGTGTTTTGTCAAAGTTCTTGGCAGACCAGGCCCATGTTTGAACCCCAGAAAATATACTTGTTTTCTGCACTCTGTTGAACTCTGGGGAATCCCAGCCAATCCCACCTCAGATCTATCTTCTGTTTATTCCTAGCAGATAGCAGCCCCTTGCTGGCCTTTTTAGATTTTCCTGGTGGGAGCCAACTTTGTCTAGGCTTCTGCATCCCCAACTCACTGGAGACACACGTTACCATCTTCTCATAATCCACTGGGACGCTCTAACCAAGCCATGAGAGGGGCAGGCATTTCCAAAACAGCCCCTCATAGGGGCTGGAAATCTAAGCATCCCCAGATCTCCCTCCAAAGAAATCCTTTTGACCAAACGTCTCCTTCTCTCTAGTCACTTGAGCTTCTGATACCCTCAACAGTCGGGCCATTAGCCTGTTCTCGGCCCAAGCTTCCACCATGGCTCTTATTCCATGATAGGACCCCTCATTTCCCCCCAGCTGCATTCCTTCCCCAGGGTCCCCAAGCCCAGGAAATACAGGCTTCAGCATACTCAGCGGCTCAAGCTGTATCTTGGCGTCTTTGCTGACTCTTGCAGTCTAACCCCAGTGTGCCCTTTTGCTCTGGATTTGCCCATCTCACACCTCTCAGCCTTGGCACTTGCTGTGTCCCCTGCCTTCTCTCTCCTCCAGGGCCTGGCGAATGTGGCTCACCTTTGGCTGTCCAGGGTGGCTCTCGGTCTCCTGATTGCAAATCCTTCCTGTCTCCCAAAATAGCCTGAACTCTAAGGTTGTGGAAGTGCTGCCCTCTCCGGAGCTCTGGGGAGGCTCCCTGGGTCCTACAGATCTGAGTTTCATCTGACAACACATATATGGGCACGCTGGAACTCACCCATTCATTTGCTGAGCACCTATTACATGCCAGGCACTGAGCTAGGCACTCAGGATACAGTAGTAAAGAATCAATAACATCCCTGTACACACTCAGGAGCCCCCACAGCATATATGTGGACACACACACACACACGCACACATGCACACGCACACAGACATAAACAAAGACCCCAGTTTACAACAGGTTTCCTGGGGGCTGGACTTCATAAGGCCTAAGTTCATAGTCAATATGTAACAATAAAATGTCCCTCTTGGCCAGGCGAAGTGGCTCATGCCTGTAATCCTAGCACTTTGGGAGGCCAAGGCGGGCAGATCACCTGAGGTCGGGAGTTCAAGACCAGCTTGATCAATATGGAGAAACCTCGTCTCTACTAAAAATACAAAATTAGCTTGGCATGGTGGTGCATGCCTGTAATCCCAGCTGCTCGGGAGGCTGAGGCAGGAGAATCGCTTGAACCTGGGAGGTGGAGGTTGCAGTGAGCCGAGATCGTGCCATTGCACTCCAGCCTGGGCAACAATAGTGAAACTCTGTCTCAAAAAAAAAAAAAAAAAAAAAAAAAGTCCCTCTTGCTGCCTTCTCTCCCCGCGCCTGTGCTGGGCCGAAAACAGGAAAATGGCCCGCCTGTGCTCAGGAGGTGGGAGGCAGTGAGATGGGCATTGTATGTTCCAAATGGCCTCACTGAGTTCTAGTCCTAATACCTGCCATGCGACTCCAGACTGGCCACCCCTCCTCTGGATCATGATAGAAATGGCAGATGCTGCTGACCATCATCGACCCCTCTTTCTTCTCCTTCCCCCAGCCCTTCTAGGCTGGGGCAGCTCTCCTTCCAGAGCGTAAGGTGCCACCTCCAGGCAAGGCCCACTGGGCTAATCCCAGGCCTGAGGTTTTGTCCTGACTGGGCCTCCTTTAGAAAGTGCTGCCCCCCATTTCCTCCTAAGCAGAGTGGACAGAGGACATCATGCTCAGGGTGTCCTTTCCCCCAGGGGCATCCTGATTCATAGGACCCTTGTCACACACTGGGGCTGCAGCCACCTTCCTCCAACTTCTAGAGGTGGTCATTGTGAGGTTGGAGGCTGGAGCCCCATCCTTTTGGGCCACTGGTGGCAACACCCCTCCACCTCTCCTCTTCCTTCCCTGGAAGACTGGCACCCATCCTCGACACTGCCTCCATGCCTCCTCCTTCAGGAAGCCTGCCAGGTCTCTCTTCTATCTCAGACTGGAGGAACCCCGGCCCAACCCTCTGAGACATGTAAGCAGTATATTCACTTTTCTCCTCTCCAAGCTTTGCTCTAAGCCAGCACTTCTCAAACTGCCCGTGTATCTGAATCAACCGAGGTACTTTTAAAAGCCCAGATTTCCGGCCAGGTGTGGTGGGTTACACCTGTAATCCCAGCACTTTGGGAGGCCGAGGTGGGCGGATCACCTGAGGTCGGGAGTTCAAGACCAGCCTGACCAACATGGAGAAACCCCATCTCTACTAAAAATACAAAATTAGCCTCGCGTGGTGGTGCATGCTTGTAATCCTAGCTACTCAAGAGGCTGAGGCAGGAGAATTGCTTGAACCTGGAGGTTGTGGCGGAGGTTGTGGTGAGCTGAGATGGTGCCATTGCCCTCCAGCCTGGGCAAGAACTGGGCAAGAAGAGCGAAACTCTGTCTCAAAATAAAATAAAAAAAAAGCCCTGATTTCCAGAGCACCCCCGCCCCGACCCAAAGAACAAGAATCTCCAGGGCTGGGGCCCCAGAATCTGGATTTCTAGCAGAAGGCACAGATGATTATTAGGTCAGACAAGTACGGGACTCCTCTCTAAAAGAACTCAATGTTGCCTGAGTTCTCTTCTGCATCCCATTATTTCATTCTGCTACTGACAATGGGGCCCGTTATATTCATTCATTCATTTATCCAACAAATATGCATTAAATGCTCATTATATGCCAGGCACATGCTCCAAGCTGGGGACAGGGCAAGGAATGAACCAGAAGCCCTCCCTGCCCTCGAGGAACTTAGGGTTCAGCAGAGAAGACACAGACTTCAACCAGCAATGATCATTGACTATCAGGAGAGCGCCTTTTGGGGGGAAAATGCCCATTGGGCATGGAGAGCTTGCTCCACATCCACAGAATTTCTTTCTTTTTTGTAATTACTCAAAAAGGCTTCATTTTGTTTTTCTTTAGCTTTCTGAACTAAACACGCTGTGCTTGTTGTGCCTTCAACACTTTCCCAACAATTTCCTGCTCCACCATAAGGAAAGCACATCGACTCCTTTCCCAGACACATTCAGCACGTGCGGGACCACCATGGGCCTTGCTGATGTGTGTTTTCATTTTAGACAACCTCATAAGAACTGCGGATTCTGCCTGGGCACACACCACATGCAGATTTCAGTGCCTTCCAGACCATCTTGGCATAAAAGTAAACAATTCTATTGCCAGGGACTCAGGACACCGAATTTTGTTAGAGGCTGTATCATAGGAAAGCCTACAACGGTGTGTTACACGCTGGGCCATGCTGACTGCCTAAACTCCAGACATCTTTTAAAAACCTGACAGCTTTTCTAAGCCTGAACCTGTGCTAAATCACTTAGTCCTGGAAACAACCCTATGTGGTTGGGACCATTATTATGCTCATTTCCCAGAGGAGGGACTAAAAGAGAGGGCAGAGTCTGGATTTGAACCCTTGGACCAGGCATTTGCACAGGGGAGGCCCTCCCCACAGAGAGGGCGGCAGGAGGGCAAGGCCACCTCTGTCATTGGGGCCATGGTCTGGGGAGCTCCCTGAAGGCAGATCTGAGGGAGGAGAAGGAGTTAGGTGGAAGAAAAAAGGGAGATTGTTCCAGGAACCAGAGGAGCACAGCTCATTGATGATGGAGATATGGCAGAGGAGTTTAGGGCACTAGGAGACCCCAGGGGTCAGCAACTTCATCCAGGGCATCAAGCAAGCCAGTGTGGAGCATGACCTGACCTGCAGCCCATGAATCGGGCAGGGCGTCTGTGCATTTGCGGGTATGACCCACCCTGAGAAAGGAGGCTGGTAGCCACGAGGCTGAGCCCCTGGACTGGGAGTCAGGGTTGCTGAGTCCAAACCTTTTGTGGTCACTCACTCACCCTGACCCTGGGCAAGTTACTTAACCTCGCTAAGAATTCAGGTCTTAGGGTTATTGTGGGAATAGCTAAGATCATGTGTGCAAATTGCTGAACACTTAATAAATTCATATTGGTGTCTGTGTGGTTATGTGGCTCTGAGAATATTTCTGTTCAGTTTCAAGATGAGGAGACGGAGGTCCAGAGAGGCAGGTGATTGGTCTAAGGTTTCTCAGCCAGTAAGGGCCTCCAGGGCAGGGATATTTCCAGCACCCAACTTGCCCCAGGGGAAGGCAACCATGTGTGATTGCAGGATAGTGGGTTCCCTCAGTGCCTAAAAGACCCCCAGGCCTCTCAGCCTTTCACCTCTGTATCCTCCTGCTCCCACACACCGGTGAGGGCTCCATGCAGCTAGACTCTGGTCAGGACATCTGGGTGGGGGCCTGCTTCCAGTCTGAAAGAGGAACCCTGGGTCAGGGGTGGGCTCTGGGACCCTTGAGAGACCTGTGGCTAAGCCCCAACTCCAGAGACGTGATGGCCCTGGGAGGAGAAGACAGCCTGGGTGGACTCTCCCTGAATTTCCCATTTGTAAACAGTGCAGCCGGGGAGGGGTAGGGCCCAGTGCCCAGTGCCTGGTGGTGGAAGATGGCAGAGGTCCAGCAGCTAAGCAGAGGGGCGGGTGGGGATGAGCGATGGCTGTGGCTGTCAGCTGCGGACACAAGCGAAGCAGGCTGGAGCCTGTGGCTATTTCTCCTCCCTCCAGGACATGCGACCTCCTTGGCCAGCTCACAGCATTACCCAGAGCTTGAGCCTGAGCACCATGCCCAGCCCAGGAGCCAGCCAGCTCTGAGAGTCAGAGGACATTTTCCAACAGCCCCACTAGCCTTTCTCCTCTCCACATTCCAGCCCCCTACCTGCCAGACACAGAGCCCAGGGGAAGTTTCAAAATCCCTTTTTTAAAAAAGCCACAGCTGTGGTGATAGAGCAAGAAGAGACCCTGTCTGAATTCAGCCAAACCTAGAGTTGAATCTTGTTTTGGTCACTTATAGTTAAGTGACCTCAAGGTGGCCACTTCACCTCTCTGGAACCTCAGAGTTTTTTCGGCTGTAAAGTGGGGATAATCCCAATGACCCTTGTGTTGGTGCTACATGGGCTGAGTGAGAACACACCATAGGGACCCAGAAAATGTGTCATGAAAGACAGAACACTCTGAAATTAGCACATAGCAGGCCCTCTGTAAATATTTACTGATTAAATAGCAGGTGGGATCAAAAAGAAATAAATTATCCCTTCATCTGTGTCTTTTGTCTTTCCCTCCAGAAGCCCAAGGGAATTAGAGGCATTGACTGGGGGTGAGAGAAGAACAGGGTGAGACAGGGCATAATTCTTGGGGACGGAAGGCTGAGAACATTCTTAATGATGTCAGCTCCCGTGTGCAGAATACATTACAGTCTCTCAAGTGATGCTGATTCTCTCTGACATTAAGGCTCCTCTGGAAGGGAGATTCAGACACCGAGCCCATGAAGACAGATTTTAGGTTCTCATCTGATCTCTGTCTCTTACTGTTCAGCAACCTTAGACCAGACTCATGTCTCCTCTGAGCCTCTGTTTTCTTATCTATAAAGTGTGCATCCAAATACCAACTCTCAGGGCTATTGTGAGGATTAAATGAGTCAGGGGACTCATGCAATGTATGTCAAGTGCTTAGTGCTGGGCCTGGTGTCCAATAGGCCTTCAGCAAATGGTAGCTGTCATTATGATTACCTATCCTATCAGTTAGCTATTGCTGTGTAATAAACTAACCCCAAATTTAGGGCCCGAAACAACCACCATTTGTTTAGCTCATGATTCTGTGTGTGTGTCAGCCATTTAGGTTGGGCTCAGCTAGGTGGCTCATCTGGTCTTCTCTTGCGTCTGAAGTTGGCTGCAGGTAGGGTGGTGGTTCTGCTTCTGGGGGTAAGTTGGCTGTCATCTGGGATGATGGAGTACTGACCCACTTGCCTCTCATGCTCCAGCAGGCTAATTTGGGCTTCTTCATGAGGCAGTGGCAGGTTTTGAGAGAGTGAGGCAGAGAGAGAGAAGAAGTGGGGAGAAGTGTGCAAAACTCCTTGAGACTTAGGATTATAATTGACACACTGTGTTTTCCCCCACATTCCATTAGCCAAAGAAGGTCACACGACCAGCCATCAGAGAGGTGCTAGCTGTATAGTCATGTTGCAGAGAGCATAGATACAGGGAGGGGAATACATGTGACTATTTTTGCAAACAATGACCACATGCAACTAATTAGGGGACATCTGAGACAGAACCAAGTCCCTCAATTCCCAGTGCCATGACTCCCACCCTAGATGCTCACTCTGCCCTGTGACACTGGCAGGAAAGCTGGTTGCTCTCCCACGTGGCTTTCCCACTCCATTCTCCATTCCCCAGTCCCAGCCAGGCTGCCACCTTCACATTCCTTTTCTGAAGGAGATGGAAACCAGACTCCATATGGGACCAGGCACAGGCATCCCACACATGGAGTCATGGGGGTCTGATGACCTGCATCCCCCATAGACCGATGCAGGATGGAGTCCTTGCCCTGCTCAGTCCTCAGAGGAAGGAAATACACACAGCCCACCTGGACAACCCCTCTGCCCCAGCTGTCTGTTAAATAAACTCATTAAGCAATCCCTGACGAGGCATTTTAGATCATCACAAGCTACAGATAGTTTCCGTTGGCCTCTTGGAAAAGGTTTTCCTGACCACATAGACAGGAGGCCCAGATCAGTTCCCCTTGTGGGTAGGGGGTGCCTGGTTCTCATTTGCATTCACACTGTGATTGGTTCCCGTGCATCCTCTTGAACTCTGGGCCAGTCAGCCCATGGGACTGGATTCATTCCTCCATGTCCTGGTGGAGTGGCAGCCTCCACAGTGCCCCGGGCAATGAGGACATCAAGGGACAACAGCCAGCCTGGGGACCGGCTTGTCTTACCTTGTGCACTTCCTGGCAGGTAGAGACAGGGCCTTGATCACCTTTGCTGTCCTCTCTGTCCCTGACATGGGGCGCTTTTTCTGCTGTTTTTGTGTTTTTTTCCCTGTGCCTCCCCCACAACTGGACTGTCAGCTCCACAAACTTGTTTACCTTGGTGACCCCTGATTCCTTCCACAGTGCCTGGCATAGAGTGGGTGCCTGATAAATCCTTATTGCATAGATTGATGGAGGAAAAGTTGGGTTTAGTGGACTTGTGCCTCCTTAGAAAAGGCCTACTCCTCTCCTCTTTTTATGAACCAGGGGTCTTCATTCCCATTGGCCTTGAGAACTATTGGAAAGCACACAGAGTCACAGGCCCCAGGGGCCAACCCCAGTTTCTTCAGTCACTGTGACTCTGGACCTGAAGGTGGATTTGTGAATCCAATGTGAATGACTCCTGGATTGTGTAGTTGGTCAGGGCTATGGCAAACAGCTTAGCTTTTCCAAGTTTTGGTTTCCACACTGTAAAGGGGTGGGGGGAGCAAGTGTGTCTACACTGTTGGGGTGTCAGGGTTAAAGCTTAATACTAAATCCTTGGTGGCTGCTGTGACGATGATGATGATTGGGAAGGAGACAGGGTCCCATGGCTGCTGGGGTCCACCATGCCCTCCGCAGTGGCTGCCTGCACTTTCCTCTTGCTGCCCTGCTCCCTCTTTGCCTGCTGCGAGTCCTACCTCACCCCAAAGGGTCAGCCCTGCTCATCTTCCTAGCTCCCCCAGCTGCAGTCCTGCTCATAGCATTATTCTTACTCCCACTCTGTTCCTCCCCTCTGTGGGCTCCCTTGGGTTTAGAGCCTGCCCCTCTGGGGAAGGGCCTTGATATGGTTGGGCTCTGTGTCCCCACCCAAATCTCATCTTGAATTGTACTCCCATAATTCCCATGTGTTGTGGGAGGGATCCAGTGGGAGATAAGTGAATCATGGGGCGGTTTCTCCCACACTGTTCTTGTGGTAGTGAATAAGTCACAGGAGATCTGATGGTTTTATGAGGGGTAACCCCTTTTGCTTGGCTCTCATTCTGTCTTCTCTTGTCTACCACCATGTGAGACGTGCGTTTTGCCTTCTTCCATTATTATGAGGCCTCCCCAGCTACGTGGAACTGTGAGTCCATTAAAACCCTTTCTTTTGTAAATTGCCCAGTCTTGGGTATGTCTTTATCAGCAGGGTGAAAATGGACTAATACAGGCCTCTCTCCTTCCATTTTACCAGACCCCCACTGACCCACCAAGTGGGTTCCTCGACAGCTTCCCCATGGAAAGAACTCAGACACCACCCCAAGCGCCTGAGTCCTCTATGAACCAGGACCAAGAGGATTGGGTGCTGGGATCACAGGGCCCCTGTCACCCTGGAAGCCCCAAGCTGGGCTCACCCAGGTGTGTGATGCAAGGGCAGAGGATGGACCCCTCCACTCCTATCAGCTGCCACTAACATCCCTTCCCGCCCACTCAGTCCTCCAAGAGGCTGCTGGAGACTCTCCAGCTCTCTCCTTCCACTCCCCACCTCCACACAGCCCCTCTGCACTCCCAGCTGTTCTGGCTGGCCGCCCCTCTGCCCCCAGCATCCTGCAGGAAGCCCACTCCTATCCCAGGGGCTACTGCTTAAAGCATCTGAGGTCACTTGGGGAGAGGCACTTGGCTCTGGGCCTGACATTCCCCTTGCTCAGAAGGCAGGTGCTGGGGAAATGATGTCAGATGGGACAGCTGGGGGCCGGGGTGCTCACAGCTCAGATGTCCTCTAATGGCCCTCCTACCTGCTCACCTTCCCACTAGGCAAGAGGCTGAGTACAGGTCTTACCTGCCCCAGCCCCAGCCCCTTGGGCCAATCAGCCATCCCTGCCCCGGAGGCACCAAGGCCCAAAGTCCTCCCGTGGGCCTCATTCCTACTCAGGGAAGGTATCCCCCAGAGGATGGGAAACCTCCCCTTGAAGCTGGGGCCAGTCCTGGAATGGGCTGCTTGGGGAATGAGCTCACTGTGTACGTGACCGCATTTGGCTCCCACAACAGCACTGGGAGTGAGGAATGAGAGTCCCCATTTTCCCGATAAGACTAAGAGAGGTGAAGTTGCACAGCCTGTCACGTCCAGTGGCAGCTGCTCTGATTCTATTTGATTTCAGTTGGGAAGGGGATTGCCAGGGCAATGGCTGATTCCTGCACTGTGGCAGGGGCGATGAGCACTTCCTCCTACTTTCCTGTTTGTTCGACGCGCTGTTCATTCTACTTCCTTCCACAGGAAGGGGCCTTGGATGGGCCCCAGGGATCCCACAGCAGCACTTGGCTCAGACTGTGCTGTCAGCAGTCGGCAGTGTGTGCTGGTACGTACCTGTGTACGTGTGGCAGGGTGTGCTGTGTGCATGCGTGTGCTGTGTGTGCACGTGTGTCCTGGTGCATCAGTTGTGTGCAAGAGTCTCTACACTCATCAGAATGCAGGTGCCATGTGGGCAGGGGGTTTGTGTGTGTTCACTGCTGTGTTCCTAAGATCCTAGAACTGTGCTTCACAAATAGTCTGTGCCATTAAGTATTCATGGGATGAATGAATGAATAAATGAATAAACCTTAGCCTACAGCCTCTAAAGACCCCAGAGAACAGCCAGACATTTGCCCCGAGGCAGCGTAGCAACCTGGGTCTCTGTCCTTCTGCAGGGGAGAAAGGCGATGGGAGCGCTGGCCCAGGAGATGCCTGTTGGCTAGATGCTCCAGCGTCACCAGTGTGCCCCTCCACCCGGCTGCTCTCAGCCTGGGGGACCTGCTCACCTGGAAGATCATCTGGGGCAGAGGCTGGAGGCAGCTCTGCTAGGAGACAGGATGGTGATCAGCGGCAGAGGGGGCTCTGCAGTGTAGGCCCGGGAAGGCCAGGCAGGAAGACACTTGGCTTTCCCTGTTCACTACGGGCCACCCATGGCTTAGTCTCAGGGAAGAAGAGCTAGGGTTCCTCCCAGCTGGGAATGGACTGAGCCCTCAGGGGCCTTCAGGGCCTCGAGTGTGTGCGTGTGAGAGAGTGCATGCATGTATGTGCACATGTATCAGGCTGCCATTCACCAGTACTCACCCAGCCAGCCATACCAGTTATTATGAATAAAATGGAGAAATATTTCCACACCAGTTGAAAATTCCCCCCCAGCTCAATCTCTCAGAGCTCCTGCACCTCCCGCCAATCCATACGTAAGGATCCCATTCCAGCTCAGGCCTGACTTCCATACCTATTGGTCAGTGGCCATGCCAATCAGTGCCCCCCAAAGTCCAGCTCCCTGAACACATCCTAGGCACTGTCTCTAACCTCCCACGGGAGCCCAAAGAGCAACCCTTTGCTCCAGCCATTCTTCCTGGCTGCCCCAGGGAGCTGTGGGTGGGCACTGCCAAGGAGCACCCTTGTACTCTCCTCCACATGGTACCCATGTGCCAGTCCTTTGGGCCTGTCAGGGCCCTTGGCAGGAGAGATGGCAGCCCACAGAGGGCCCAGGGAGGGCAGCTGGAAGGTGTGGAAGCCCCAGATGGGCATGGGACAGATTAGTGGCTGCAGGGACGATTCTGAGTGTTAGACATGGGTCTATGTTCCCTCCCTCCCAAAACCTCACAGGCTGGGAGTAAGTGGGTTGCTGAAACTGGGTGCTCCCCAGGAGGTTGAAATGAGGAACCCAGCAGGCTCAGAGCTCACAGTGACCAGATTTCACAAAAGCGAGGGTCAGAGCCTCACACTACACACGTCCTGGGGCTGTTCTGGGAAATCTGGAAGGGCAGGAGCCAGTGGAGCCAGGAGGATGGTCTTTGAAGTCAGATACGTGGGGTTCAAATCCTGGCTCTGGCCCCTTCCAGCTGTGAGCTCTGGGCAGGATGGACGTGTCAGAGGAAGCAGCCCACCCCTTCGCTAACTTCTGACGTTTTCTCAGTCCTCTATTTTGCAAACAGCTTTGAGCCCACCCTCAGCCTGCCAGGCCCCGTGTCGCACAGGAAGATGGAGATGCAGCTGGACTCAAACTCAGGTCCCCTTGCTCCCAGTGAGAAAGCATTTATGAAAAGACACCCAACAGCTCTCTGCTACCCTTCCTGAGGGTGGAAGCTGTGGGGGGCCAGGGAAGTCAGGCCAGGTGGAACCATCGACATTTTCCTCTCCTGCCCCCATCCCAGAGGGAGGCGACCAAGGCCACAGAGGGACCCACAGCCGACCCCACCGCTGACACCTCCTCAGCTGCCACATTCGCTGAGAGGTCATCACGTGGCTTGGGACAGACATTACTCCAGGTCTGAAAATCTTCCGGAATCAACGCAAAGGGGTGCAAATAGGCAGATTCCTTGTCCCCACCCTAGATCTGCAGCGCCAGAATCCTTGAGCCTTGGAATCTGCATTTTCACAAGTGCTTCCACTGGAGTGGGACGCTGGCAGGCCCCGCGTTGGCGAAACTGGGAGTAACCACGGAACCTTTGGGCTCTGCCGGGCTCCTAGGCTGAGGCTGCAGCGCCGCCTGGTGGTCCCTGCTGAAACACCACTCTAGCCGCCGCCCCGCCTGGCCCCACTGCAGGGAGGCAAGAGTTCCCCTCCCCACTGGCTCCAGAAATGAGAGAAGGTGGGGCAAGTGCCCTCTGGACTTCATGACGCCGGGCAAGGGGCATGCTGGGGCTCAGTCGTCAGAGCCGTGCACAAGTAAGAGCAAGCTTCTTTTTCTTTTTCTCTCTCTCTCTCTGTCGTTTTCTTTTTCTTCCTTTCTTCTTTTTTGACAGATTCTCGCTCTGTTGCCCAGGCTGAAGTGCAGTGGCACAATCTTGGCTCACTGCAACCTCCATCCCCCGGGTTCAAGCAATTCTCCTTTCTCAGCCTCCTGAGTAGCTGGCATTACAGGCGTGCACCACCACACTCGGCTAATTTCTGTATTTTTTGGAGAGATGGGGTTTCACCATGTTGGCCAGGTTGGACTCGAACTCCTGACCTCAAGTGATCCACCTGCCTCAGCCTCCCAAAGTCTCACATTTCATCTTAAAAAGTCCCCTGAATTCTGCACATCTTACTCCATCACATTTCTTTAGTATGAAAATGTTTCCTTCCACAAATCTTTGCAGAAACGGATGCTCTAGAAAGCGATGCCAAGTTTATCCTGTGGCTTCCCTGTCCCCCATCACCAGCCCACTTTTGTGCAGCTTCTGGGGGCACCCATACCCTAGTTTCAGAAGCAGGAATTGAGAGGTACAATCTATACCTCTCTTAGCACCAAATCAAACTCCAGGCACCCCGGCATGCAGGCAGGCCCATCAGAGCCTGGCCCATCACGGTCCTAAGGTTCAGGCTGCAGAAGCAGATGCCTGCGGGGAGGGCAGAGCAGTGAGGGGTCCAGCAGTCTCCAGCAGACCCAGCCACTCTGCTCACACCCTCTGCCCTGGGTCCTCCCCTGCCCCAGGAAGCAGCATCCCTACCATTCCAGACTAGACTGTTATAAATCCTCTTTAATAGTCTTAGAATCTTGAGTGTGTTTTACAGAATGGTGCACACAAAGCCCCCTCCCCTCTCCCCCTACAAGGCACAGCCTCACCCACCCCACTCCCCAGGGGCCAGAGGACCGCTTGCCAAGAAAGGCCAGCCCACCTTCTCCCAGGAGAAGCCATCCTCCTCCTCCCCGCCCCTGGCCAGCTCCGGACCCTGGAGAATACAGGACCAGCTCTGTGCCATGCCCCCAAGGACTCACCTGTCCCTAAGCAGCTCAGGGCCAAGCCAGATCCCCTTACCCAGGCAGACCCCCTCCAGCCCAGCTCCCCTAGGCCGTGTCCCTAGGGCATGGCCTAGGCTAATCTGAGCTGTCTAGATGGACCTGCATCAGGCCTGGGGAAGGGGTGCCACCCCTTAATATCAGGTAAAACCCACCCTCTCCCCTCTCCCACTGCCTTCAATATAATTGTGAAAAATAAAGATATAAATGTCATAGTGGGAAATAAGTTGACCCACCCAGTAGGCAGTCTCCTGACAGCCCAGAGTGCCTTATCTAACGCCCTTCCCTCCCCAATTTTTTTTTTTTTTTTTTTTTTTTTTGAGACGGAGTCTCTTTCTGTCCCCCAGGCTGGAGTGCAGTAGCACGATCTCAGCTCACTGCAACCTCCGCTCCCGGGTTCACACCATTCTCCTGCCTCAGCCTCCCAAGTAGCTGGGACTACAGGTGCCCGCCACCGCGCCCGGCTAAATTTTTTTTGTATTTTTAGTAGAGACGGGGTTTCACCATGTTAGCCAGGATGGTCTCGATCTCCTGACCTCGTGATCCACCCGCCTCGGCCTCCCAAAGTGCTGGGATTACAGGCGTGAGCCACCGCGCCCGGCCCCCTCCTCCCCAATTTTTCATACAGTTGCCCCTATACAATATACACACCCTTGAGGGCAGGTAGAAGTCCAGCCCACCTGCGCCAGGGACGCTGTGGGGAGCATTTTTCTCTGAGTTGCTAAGAGAACCCTGATGGGCGGTGAGCAGAGGAACCACAGAACAGCCAGGGCTCAAGGCTGGCAGCGGATAGGCCAGGAGAGATCGCTAGGCCCCAGAAAGCCCCCTACTTTCAGTCAGGATGGGCAAGAGGGTCTTCGCAGTGAAGTGGGAGGCAGGCCTGGAGGAGGGAGCCAGGGAGACCCCTGGGAGCCCTGAGGTTGGGGGCCAGGCAGGGAGATGGGGATAGCAGCTGCCTCAGTACTTGGGGACCTTGCTGTAGTCTTCGGAATGGACGTGCCGGCACAAGCAGATGGACAGGACCATCCCCAGGAGCTGTGGGGAGAGGCGGAGAGTCAGAGGGAGGCTGGGTGTCCCGGCCTCAGACGCCCCAGCCTCACCATCCAGGTTTACATGGGGATTAAGTGGATCCTCAACTTGAGCCTCACAACCACCCTGTGATGCAGGCAGCAGAGGGAGGCCCAGAGCGGGGCAGTGCCTTGTCTGAGGTCACACAGCCAGACAGTGCTCAGACCAGAGGGCCTCTGGAAGCTGATGGGGTGCTGGCCCCCTTGGCCACCACCTCCCCAAGGAGATCAGCAGAACAGAGACAACCCAGGAGGACCTGGGATGGAGAAGGGATGGGGGAGGGGGCTCAGACCTCGATGATGGCCACACCCACGCCCACGCCGAGGATGATGCCCAGGTTCTCCTGCAGCCACGCCTGCACCTTCTCCATGCAGCCCTGCAAGGGCAGAATGCGGTCACATCACCCCGCTCTGCACCATCCCACCCCGCCATGCAGAACCACCGAGAGCCCCCCAGTCCCAGCCCGGAAGCCCCTACAGAGGGCTCTGCCTGTTCCTTGAATAAATACATTAACAAAGAAGTAGATGAAGGTACAAATGACAGATGAATTAAGGGAAGGAACTAAATGCAGGAAGGAATTGCTGAGCAGTAGCCCAGATGGCCCCCAACGCCCTCGGAGCCCCGCCCCCGATCCGCAGCCCCCCGCACACCTCCTGGTACACAGGCCAGTCCTCAGGGTGGTTGCCACTCTGGGTCCTGTTGCCGGGGGCCTCGCAGAAGCCCTTCCTCACAGAAAGGCTGTTGTCCTCTTCCCCCTTGACTTCGCAGGAACAGGGGTAGGTGACCTCAGGGCGATTCATGAGCTCAGCGTTGTCTGTCCAGTTGTAGAAGCTGACCCAGCCGCAGCACTTCACCTGGGCAAGGCAGGGGACAGACTGCTTGTGCTCACGGCTCACCCTAGGCAGGCTGCCCTCCTGGCAGAGGGAGGACCTCCCCAGGACAGAGACTGAGATATGCCACTTCCAGGCCCCTGGTCCCAGCCGAACCATCATAAACTACAAGTACAGCAGAAAAATCAAAACCAGGACCAGCAAAAATACAAAGCAGAGTAGGAAGGAAGTTCAAGTTGAAGGAGCGCAGGTGTGCAGGGCACAAGGAGAATGGACGGCAGACAGTTCACAGTGCAGGGTTTAAAGTCAGGCTACTGGGTTACAATCCCAGCCCTGCCGCCTACCAGCTGAGCAACCTCCATCAAGGAACTAGCCTCAGTTTCCTCATCTGTAAATGGGGATAATTAAAATCCCCAACTCACAGGGCTATCACAAGGACTAAATGGGATGAGGCAGGCAAAGTACCAAGCATAGGTGTGGGGAGCACAATAAGCTTAGGAAAGGCCGTTCAACTTTAGTGCAGGAGTTGAGATTTGCCTCTGAGCTTCCTGGTGAAAAGGAAAAAAAGTGAAAAGTGAAAAAGGAGACGGGGTCAATTCCGCCTTTTTTTTTTTTTTTTTTTTTTCTGAGACAGAGTCTTGCTCAGTCACCCAGGCTGGAGTGCAGCAGCGTGATCTTGGCTCACTGCAACCTCCACCTCCAGGGTTCAAACGATTCTCCTGCTTCAGCCTCCTGAGTAGCTGGGATTACAGGCACTCGCCATCACGCCCGGCTAATGTTTGTATTTTTAGTAGAGACGGGGTTTCACCATGTTGGCCAGGCTGGTCTTGACCTCCTGACCTCAAGTGATCCGCCCGCCTCGGCCTCCCAAAGTGCTGGGATTACAGGTGTGAGCCACCTTGGCTAGCTGGTCAATTCTGCCATTTTAAAGGAGAAAATGCTCTAGTTCTAGAGAGAAGAAAGCCTTTCCGGGCTCTGTGTGCTAAAGGAGGTCTCTGTGTGTGAATCCCCGCAATGCTGGGGGTTCCTGGGAGGATTCAATGGGATAGCCACGGTCACAGCAGGGGTCAGTTCCTGGACCGCTTCCTTCCTAGCTCCGAGGGGTGTCGCCTGACCAGTAGCCAGTGGCCAGCAGGGGGCGTGCCAGGCACACTCAGAAATGCTCAGCTCCAGGCAGTTTCTAATCCAGGTTTACAGGTGCTTGTTCCAGCAGCCGGGCTGCCTCCTCTCTCCAAGAAAAGGCTGGCACCTCTGAGGGGTGCACAGGTCTGCAAGGCTGGGGGCACCCACAGGCCATCCTACACCAGAGCAAAATGAGGCAGGTCTCCTTGGCCCGTCTACGACAGAGCCTCCTTCCAAGCAACCCCTTGGCCTGACTCCGGCTGTACCTGGTCCCCAGCAGCACACGCCACCTCCGCCTGTGTCTCCATGGATGTGCATGGTGACTAAAACATCACCACCAACATACCACATAATAAATGCTGCCTAAGTGCTTCAGGCTTTAACAATGTATCTCACACGGCATGGGTCAGTAGCCCCATTGTATAGATGAGGAAGCAGGCTCAGCAAAGGTCTAGCGGCTGTGGCAGTGTTAGCACTCCAGGCCTTGGGAGTCTGACTTACCACCGGCCTAAGCAGCATCTGACAGCATCAGAATCATCTAGAACCAGCCAATGACTTTCCAGGGTAGGATGCTTACCACCTCCCAAGGGACCCACTTCTCCTCCCAGGTCCCTTGTCAGGTGGCACTGGTTTATGTCACTGGTGACATCCAGACTTTGCTAAAATTAGCAAAGTCTCAGCAATTGTGGGTCAAACTACATATGCGACCAAAACATTTCCTTGTGTGCACCAAGCCTTCCAGCTGCCACAACCCCCACACCTGATCTCCTCGGTCAGGGCCAGAAAACATCGCTCTCCCCTTCCTCCACTGAGAAAATGGCCATGTCCATGTCACCTAGATGGAGTGTCCTCTCTGCAAACTCTCCTGGTGCCGCTGAGTCAGGCTTTCTCCTGCTGCCCATGCCCTTTGTACTCCACATCCCTCCCCTGAGGTGTCAACAGGCCCTAAGTGACCACTGTGTCCTGCGCCCTCACAGGATTGCAGATCAGAGATGTCAGGTCCCAGCCAAGGGCACATGCAGCATCCGGGACCACAAGAAAGGAGAGCCAGGTGGTCATTGGATCACTATTGAGACAGGCTGGGAACCTGGTCAGTCTATCTGTTGGTCAGTCGGTCAGTCCGTCCGTCCATCTGTCCACCCATCCATCCATCCATCTCTCTCACTTTAATGGAGGTATAATACACATGAACTAATGGGCACACATTCAGCTTGGTGCATTTTTACGTATGTGCACATACTGGCGAAACCAGTATCAAGATTTGGCTAAAATACTCCTTTTGCCCTAGAAGGCTCCCCAACACCTCCCCAGCTAGTGCCCTTCCCCAGAGGCAGCCTTCACTGGGACTTCTCAGCATATCAGCCTTGGCTCCCAGTTTCCTAAAACCCAGAGTGGAGCTCCCAACGCTCCCCAGTGTAGCTTGAGATAAGAGGGCTGACAACTGCCCCCATGCTCTCTGGCCACAAATGGGAGCACAGAGCTGTGAAGCTGCCTCTGAGTCTCTGGGCCCCCTGAGCAGGGAGTTGTGGTGCTAACTGGGGTGCCCTGCCCCCATAGAAGCACACTCTCCTACAAACTGTCAGGCACACACGAGCACTGCAGATGCCAGTCCCAGACATGTGGGTGCACAGAGCCCCAAATGCAGGGACACCCAGGCCAGAGAGCCTCCTGCAGCCCCGCCCCACCTCACCTGAGCCTGCACGTAGTCCCAGGCATCCTGCAGGCTGTCCTCGCGACTGCTGTTGTAGTCTCGAATGAGCTCAGTCACGATGCCGCCCATCTCCTGCTTCAGCTGCAGGGGGGAGGACAAAGGTCAGGGTCAGATTTCCTGAAACCCGTGCCCACCTGTGGTCACCCCTACTTAAACTGCCTCCCCCCGTTCCCCTCAGCAACCCTGGGACACGCTCATGGCTCCAGCCACTTTCCTGGCGCTCCCAGGGTGCCCGATGCAGGCAGTGCCAACCACTCCTGCCCCACTATCTCTTCTGCGCTTGGCAGCAGCCTGGCCCTGTAAACATCAATATTCTCATGTCACTGCTGAAAACCCCGTAGGGGCCTCCCACCTCCAGGGCAGTTCCCACCGTCATTGTCCCCATAACAGCCTAGGAGGTCCTACACCACTTGTCTGCCTCCCCAGGCCTTCTGTCCTCTGTTCTTCCTCCCTCTGCTTCAACTGACTAGATTTCTGTGCTGTCTTTGTGCCAGGCACACTCCTGCCTTGGGGCCTTTGCACCTGCTGTTCCCACCGCCTGGAATGCTCTTCCCCTAGACATTAACATGGCTCACCCTCTGCTTCCTTCAGGGCTCTGCTCCAATGTCACCTCCTCAGAAAGGCCTTACCAGACCACTCTACAAAATATCAGCCCTTCCCCATCCCCTCTCCCCCAACCAATCAACCACCCCTCCCCGGCCTCCCTTATCCCACAAGGGAAAGCATGCTGTATTTCTCTTTAGAGCACTGACGTTACATGCTTGTTGGTTTTCAGGGCTTATCATCTCTCTCCACTAGCACATCAGCTCCGTGGGGGCAGGGACCACATCTGGCACGCTCACTACAGGGTCCCCCGTGGCTAGCGCCAAGCCTGGCACAGAATAGTTGTGTGGGGTACGTGAATGCTGAATGCACACCTAACCACCATGGTCTGCCAGGCACCAGAGCCAGACCCATGCAACTTCTTGGTGAATCCTTACACCTCCCACAGGGCAGCTTCAGGGAGAAGGAGGGACAGGGAGGAAAGCCCAGCTCAGTTTCCTTCTTCCAAGGACCAGAGTGCAGCCTCTCCAAACAGGGCCCCCAAGACAGCAGGGTAGATGCCTGGAGGGGGCCCCAAGACTGAGGGACCTGGAACTTCGGTATCAACTATATGGTCAAAAGATCCTCCCTCTATGTAGTCATGGTGGTGGGTGCCCGTAATCCCAGCTACTCAGGAGGCTGAGGCAGGAGAATTGCTTGAACCCAGGAGATGGAGGTTACAGTGAGTCGAGATCGCACCACTGCACTCCAGCCTGGGCGACAGAGTAAGAGTCCATCTCAAAAAACAAAAAACAAAAACAACAACAAAAACAACAACAACAAAAAACAAAACAGAAAAGATCCTCCCTCACCCCTTCCCAAGCCCCAAGCCAGCAGTGCCAGCCAGCCGGAGTGTGAGGTCAGTTGCCTTTCTGGGACCTGGCTACTTGCCCCAGAGCTCCAAAAACATCTCACTTTTTTTTTTTTGTTTTGCTTTGTTTTGTTTTTTTGAGACAGGGTCTCCCTGTCACCCAGGCTAGAGGGCAGTGGCAGGATCTCAGTTCACTGCAACTTCTGCCTCCTGGGGTTAAGCAATCCTCTCACTTCAGCCTCCCAGGTAGCTGGGGCTACAGGCATGAGTCACCATGCCCGGCTAATTTTTGTATTTTTAGCAGGGACAGGGTCTCGCCATGTTGCCCGGGCTGGTCTCGAACTCCTGACCTCAAGTGATCCACCCAGCCCAGCCTCCCAATGTGCTGGGATTACAGGCCTGAGACACCTCGCCTGGCCCAAATCTACATCTTGCCTATGCTGGTCCTCACCCTGCTCAGGAATTAAGGGTTCCTTCTTGTGGTGGAGAGCAGCACCTGCTCTCAGCTAACCCCACAGAGAAAACACTGATTTACAAAGCAGGCAGAGAAGGGGTTTCTAAATAAGTCAGTTGTGCAAAAGGAGGCAAACCCAGAGCCCGCTGAGGGCAGGGCCTCCCTCGGCGATAAGCAGGCCTGGGTGGGAGGGGAGCCTCCGAGAGCCAGCCCCTGCCTGGCTCCACCTAGCCTCTCACATGGACCTTGCCCAGAGACCTTTCAGGGCAAATGCATGGTTGGACTGGTCAAGGCAGTGGGGGCGAGGGACCCTAGAAGGCAGGGATGCCAAGGAGAAGGCCACACACCTTCCCACCTCGGTTCCTGAGAAGGAAGAATTGGGAGAAATGAGACAGGTACTTCCAGGTGGGGTTTCAGAGCCTGACTCCCAGGGAACCCTGTTGGTGGAGCTTCCAGCAGCTCCCCATGGGCAGTCCTTGAATGAACGCTGTGCTCAGAGAACCCATATCCTGCAGATGGACCTGCAGCCCTGGCTCCTCACCCAGCTCCCTTGGTTAAATTAATGCTGGGGCTGGCCATGGTGGCTCACGTATGTAATTCCAGCACTTTGGGAGGCCAAGGTGGGCAGATTACGAGCTCAGGAGATCGAGACCATCCTGGCTAACATGGTGAAACTCCATCTCTACTAAAAAAAAATACCAAAAATTAGCTGGGTGTGAATGGCAGGTGCCTGTAGTCCCAGCTACTCGCGAGACTGAGACAGAAGAATCGCTTGAACCCGAGAGGTGGAGGTTGCAGTGAGCCGAGATCACGCCACTGCACTCCAGCCTGGGCGACAGAGCCAGACTCCATCTCAAAAAAAAAAAAAAAAAAAAAAAAAAATTAATGCTGGGAAACCAGCCTCTGATGACGCTCCCTGCCCTTCTCTCAATAAAGCTCTCAGCATGATATTTAAAAAAAAAAAAAAAAAGCCCTTATACAGAGTTCTGCAATTTACAAAGCTTTCCTGTCAGTAATTAATCCCAACACTAATAGTGGCTAACTTTTATCAAATGTTTGTTATGTACCTGGTGCTGTGGTAAGCACTTTAAATGTATTATCTCAACTGAATCTTCACAGCAGACCTATGGCCTAGGTATTCACCCCATTCCCTCATTATAGAGATGCAGAAAACAAACCCAGAGAGGTTAATTAACTTGCCCAAAGTCACACAGCCAACATGCGGAAGAAGTGAGGTTTGCACACAGGCTTGGCTGATTTCAGAACCCAGGTTTTTACCTATTAAGCTTTATTGGCATTTAAACCACACGGCTATACCCAGTTTTAACCAGGGCCCAGAAAAGCTAAGTGGTTTGCCTGAGTCACATAGCTGGGGCTGTCTGCCAGGTGATCTGACATCTCGGGTCCACCTCTCAACCCCAGTGGGTGGGTGATCCCCACGGTGTGGAAAGGAGGGGCTCTCTAGAAGCATCTGTGCGGAAAGCTGCCTCTCCCACATCCTTCCCCACCCACCCAGCTTCCTCACAACATGTTGCACTGAGGCTCTGTTTAAACCCCAGCGTGGTTGTCACAGCAGCCTGGACTTCCCTGTTTCTCTCCCAGCCTCCCTGAAATGAGAAGGTGATGGAAGCTGGGTGGTTTCCACCTAGATGGGTGGTTTCCATGGAAACACCACAACATCTTTCAGTCCAGAATGTGGTTGAGGGACACACCTGGGCCACGGGGACCATGGCCACAGGGGCTGGTTCAGCTTGGAGCTGATGCTCAGGAGGCCTGTGCTGGGAGTGCAGGGAGGTCACCCTGGCAACCAGGTAGCTACTGAGACAAAAAGGACAGGGAGGTAGCAGGAGAAGACATTCATGAGCTCCCTCCATCCCCCCAGGGACCGCTCCATTGTTTCTGCCTGCCCTGCAGAAACCCACTCCTTGGATGTAACCACCCTTCTATTTCTCCATGGAGCTGAGGAGGCCCCACTCCCTCGATGCCAGAAGCAGGCAAAAGACCTGGGCTGCCACTCAGTGCCATCCACATCACAGGCACGGCGAGTGGTTCAGAGATGGGCTTGAGACCCATGCTCACATACCCGGCCCTCTTTCCATCAATGTGGTAGGATGAGGACCTGGGCTACCCTCAGGCTCCACTGGGGACAGCCTGCCCGAGAAGGGAGCCAACAGAGGAGGGTAGGGCTGAAGGGTGAATAGGGACAGCAGCAGCCTTTGGGATCCAGCTGAGCCTTCTGCTGGCTCTGGCTACTTTCAGTTGAGTCACTGTCACATGCCATAAAGAGTCCTGCCCAGGGCCAGCTGCATAATTTACACCTAGTGCAAAGCAAAAATGCAGGGCCCCTTGTTTAAAAATTATTAAGAATTTCAGCTGGGCGTGGTGGCTCACACGTGTAATCCCAACACTTTGGGAGGCCGAAATGGGCAGATCACTTGAGGTCAGGAGTTCGAGTTCAGTCTGGCCAACATGGTGAAACCCCATCTCTACTAAAAACACAAAAATTAGCTGGGCCTGGTGGTGTGTGCCTGTAGTCCCAGCTACTTGGGAGGCTGAGGCAGGAGGATCACCTGAGCCCAGAAAGTGGAGGTTGCAGTGGGCCGAGATCATCCCACTGCACTCCAGCCTGGGCAACAGAGCAAGACTCTATCTCAAAAAGAAAAGAAAAAAAAAAGAATTTCAATACAGCAACAGCAGATTATCCTGTGTGACTGCATAGGTTGAATGCCGAGGAAGCCAGCCCTGTCTTCCCTGTCTCCCTCCTCCCCATTTCTCAGAAGAGAAAAATGAGGCTCAGAGTTGGAGCAACTTCCCAAGATCACATAGATAGAAAGCAGCAGAGACATGACCAGACCTTGATCTGTGCAGCTCCAGGGACCCGGGATCTTAGCCTCGGCAAGCTGCCCAGGGCCTCCCCATGACCCTGCTGTCCTCTGCATGGCTCTACTCACGTCCCACCCAAATGCTGAGCTTTGACTTCTCTTTTAGTGTGAATTTTCACAGAGTCAGAGTTAGGAGAGACCTTTGCGTCCAGCAAATCATCCAAATGTAAGAGTCATGCTTTTTTAGGCTCTGCTTAAATGCTCCCTGCGATGGGGAAGTCAGTACCTCACACAATAGCATGTTGCGGAGTTGAGAGGCTCTGATACAATTTAAGTTCTGCTCAAATGACTTCTACCCACTTGTATTAGTTCACATCCTCCTCCTCTCTCAGCTACCCAAGTCCCAGCTAGGACCACAGGAACAAATCAAATCCCTCTCTCGAAGGACACATGTCATCCAGATACTTGAGACTAGACTACATCTCCAGGGTAACTTTTCGGGCTCCTGTGCCCGCCCCTTGGGGTGCTGTGCAGACCTCTTGCCATGCTCTTTAAGGTGTGAAATAGCCCCTTATAATAAGGTATAAATGCATGAATTGGACCCACATCTTCCTGTCCTCTCCAGGTTTCCCACATGAGATGTTGGCAAATGCTTTGCTAGAATACAGATACACCAGCTCAGAGGCTGCATCCCAGTACCCTGATAGGAAATGAGGGCGCTTCCTGCATCTTTTCTGCAAGTCCAGCTGCAATCCACGTAATTAGCTACCCCAGAATGCAGAGCCAGTGACCAGCGTGTGCTTCAGAGATTCTAGCCCAAGTGTCTTTCCATAATCCCTTTCCAGAGGGGTAGCCTGGACTCCTCCATTCCCTTCTCAACAGGGGAGAGAAAGGTCACCTCTCCCTGTCCCAGGCTCCAGCTGCTCTTCCTCCCTCTGCCCCATCGCAAGAGAACCCCAAGCCAGAGAATCAGGAAGTTCTAATTCAGCAAGCAGACAGTTCACAGAGAACCACACTGTCCCCTAGGAACCCGTCTCGCCACCTGTGTCTCACACATGAGGGTATGTGCGCACCAACAATTTGGGGCTTTCAGGGTGAGAGCAAGGAGGACAAGAAGGAAGTCACAGTTCCCCTGACCAACATCTCTGGGGAGTTGTCTGGCCAGCCACTGCCACTGTCACAGCCCCCACCTCTGGCTCCCAGCCAGGCCAAGTGAGCCCCTTCCCCTCCAATGTCTTCTGCTTGAGCGTGACAGCACTCAGAGCCTCAGGGGCCTCCCTGGCACAGGTATGGCCTGCCAAGTGCACCCAGCTCAGCACCCACACACCACAGGAAAGGGCAAACTGCATTCACTTCCTTCTCACTCCTCCCACCTCCACTCTCTAGAGAGAACAAGTCAGAATCCCTGACTGCCTGCACTGGGCATGGCCCAAGAGCTCGCCTGTGGATCAGAGAGTCTGGGTAACTTATCCGAAGCCACACAGCAATCAGCGGCAGAGCCCACACTAAAACACAGGGCCCCTGAATCCCAGGGCTGGGCTCTGCTCACCAGAGGCTGGATAAACAAGCAGATGAGGATCTTAGCACCGTGCCCAGATCCCCATTCCCGCAGCCCTTGCTCTGCTGACAACGAGGGCAGCAGGAACAGCTGCCACCTATTGAGCCCTTACCAGGCCTTCATGAAGTGAATAATGGCGGCAATAATAATAAACACTGGCAATGATGCCAGCAACATCAGCCTCCGGCTGAGTGCCGCACGACGCCCTTCCCGTTTGTTAGTGCTCTTCATCTCTGAAGTGCTGCAAGGCAGCCCCTGGGGGCTCCGGCTCGAGACAGGATCAGATTTTAGAAAGGGCCTGGAGGGACAGATCACACCCACTAGTGGGGGCTGGGGCAGCAGCCTGCAGTGAGTCTCATTTCTATTTCCCTAGGGACACCCGAATGGGGCAGGCAAAGGCCATACATAGCCTTGCTTCTGTTCAGGTTCAATTTTGCCACCAAATTAGTTGCAAATGCTACTTTTGGTTTTTAAAGTGTTTCTTTGGATTTCAGAATTGCAGAGAAGGGACAGTGGGCCTATATTGTTACTAGTTTGACAAATGTGGAAACTGAGGCACAGGGAGGCTGAGTAGCATGCCCAGAATGTCAGAGCAGTGGTTCCACAGTCAAGACCCTTGGACACCATTCTGCATTTTCACAGAAGTGTCACAGTCTGTGTTCACTTCAACCTGAGTGGTAGAGCAGGGAGAGGCAGATTTATTCTCAATTTATAGAAGCAGAACCCAAGGCTCCAGAGGTGACAGGCCATGCCAAGGTCCCCAACCTCCCCATCGCTGCCCTGAGAAGAGTGGCTGCGGGTGACAGAGGCAGGAAGGACAGAGGGCAGCCCTGGAGACCACAGCAGGGTCACTCCCACCCACCTGCACGGGAGCCCTATCTCCTTTCAAAAGGCCTTTCTTTTCCTTAGGTTCAAACAAGTCCCACCCCCACGCTGAGCCTTGTCTGCCAGAATAAACACATCAAGAGTATGTTTAGTCTTCCACTGAGATTTATGATGCGTTGCGAAAGAAAAAAATATATTGTTCATTCCAATTCGGGCGATACAGTGGCACCAGAACTTCTTCAGCAAAGCCAGAAAATTTCCCCCTGCCTTCCAGAAAAGATGGTGGTGGACTAAGGTGAGGCAGGCTGGGACTAGGGGGTGTGGACTCTGAAGGGGAAGACAGGGGCAGGGGGTGCAATGCACAGAGCTTGGCTGGGGTCGAGAAACCCAAATCTCCAAACAAGTCCTGTTCTGGGGCTGATAGGACACCTCTGAGGCTAAGCTCCTCATTATCAGCCAAGCAGAGTTACCCAGCCGGCGGGAGGGCAGCGTGGTGGATAGGGAGGCATGGGCCTTGGACTCCAAGGCATCAGGATGGAAATCCCCACTCTGATGCATCCAAGCTGTGTGTGTCAGTGGCTGAAAGTCACTTTGCTTTCCTGGGCCTCAGTTTCTTCAAATGGAAAATGTTTGTAAATTTGAACATGTATTGCAGCTCACTTTTCTAGCTCAGCTCCTGGCATGTGGTTGGTGCCAACCTGGTGGGCCATATTTATTACTGTGAGATGGTGAATCACATAGGGTGGACTGCCCAAGATCCCTGCAGAGGCGACCAGCTTCTGAGTCATAGAAACCGGCTCACTGGGGCCTGGTTCTAATCCACCCTGATTATATCACTAACTAGGTCCTAAAGAAGCTCAGTGCCATAGGACAGAAATGAAGACCTGACCCCATGACCATTTTTCTGGGAAAGGAATTTCCCTCCCTTAACTGCTGGCTTCCTGTCTCACAGCCAAACAAGCTGCTTTTCATCTACAAAATCCACTATTTTCCACTTTTGCCTTGACTGCCAGGAAGCTCAGTGCCCAAGTTAGCCCTTAGCTACCAAGAGTATCTTGTCTTGTGAAGTTCCATTAAGTTCTAAGTTCTATTAAATGTTATTTGTTGATGTTGATGTTGGTATAGTGTTTTCTCAGTTTCCTTCCAAGAGGGATCTCAGGCAACTTGACCTTCAAGTGGTGAAGGGCAGGAGCCTATCTGGCTGCCGGCTCTGCCACCCTCCCTGGTGGACAAGAACT
Source organism: Homo sapiens (assembly GCF_000001405.40). Taxonomy (NCBI): domain Eukaryota; kingdom Metazoa; phylum Chordata; class Mammalia; order Primates; family Hominidae; genus Homo; species Homo sapiens. The sequence goes on along the minus strand of NC_000011.10, from coordinate 44,607,062 downwards.
GGTGGCACTGGAAGCAGGGACCCTAAGGGTCTGCTAGGCCACAGGCCATGTGCAGCAGGGTCTGGGGACGGGTGAACTCAGGACTCGGAGTCAGGGAGCCTAGGCTGTCCTTACTCCTTCATCTGCAGGACGGGGATTCTCCCACGACCTTGAGAGGGCCTAGTGAGGATCTGCGAGAGGAGGAGTGTAACGTGGTCAACACTGTACTTGGTATATGCTGTGCATGGACTCAACTGGAGGGATGGTGGGTGTTAGAGTCACTGTTATCTATGTTGTTATTGCTCTTCATCTCAGAGCATCTGCTTCTCCATCTGTCAACATAAAACCCTGCAGAGCCATTGTGAGGACAAGACGCTGTATGGAAAGTTTCTAGAAGATCCCACGTGCACACAGTAGGTGCTTCTTACGTGATAACTGTGACTCACAATTAACTGGCTCACCCAACAGCCATTCTTGGCTCCTTTCTCTCTTGTGCCTCTGTCTTTAGAGTCTGAAAGTTGGATACTCACATTCTCAGCCTCTTTTGCAACCAGGGGTGGCTTTGTAACCCAGTCTGGGGAAGTCTGTTGGAGGACTTTTTTTTTTTTTTTTTTTTGAGACAGGGTCTCACTCTGTTGCCCCAAGCTCTGTTTCATGGCTCCCTGTAGCCTCAACCTCCTGGCCTCAAGGATCCTCCTGCCTCAGCCTCCTGAGTAGCTGGGACCACAGGTGAACACCACCATGGCTAGCATTTTTAAAAATTTGTTTGTAGAAATGGGGTCTCACCATGTTGCCCAGGCTAGTCTCAGAGCAATCCTCCCACCTCTGCCTCCCTAAGTATTGGGATTACAGTCATGAGCCACTGCGCCTTTTCTGATAAAAGGGATGGCCATGTCTGGCACTGCCCACTTCCCCATCTTCAGGCCACAGCGGCACAGACATCGTGCCTGGTGCTGTGGCAGCCATCTTGGAACCACGAGGTAAGTGTCATAATGCAGGAAAGCCATCCCAGCGAGGATGCTCAACAGCCAGAACCAGGGCCTCTGAGCTTCCAAACCAGACTTCCGGTCAAGTCAACCACAGATGTCCTTCAACTTTAAGCCGCTGTAAGTCTGATTTTCTGTTTCTGAAAGCTGAACATCTCCCCTCGGACACAAGACTGATGTTTTTATTAACGGTCTCCTTCTAAACCTCATTTGTGGGTGAGTGGCATGGATTTAATAGTTGCTAAAGTATCTTAATAATAACAAGAATAACATTTATTGAGTACTTATGGTGCCATGCGCTATGTGTTTCACTCAGATAATCTCGAATAATCTTTGCAACCACTCTGAGAGTTCAGTTTTCTTATTGTTTCCATTTTACAGATGGTGGAACAGGCACATAGAGGCAAGCAGCTTGCCCAAGGCCACACAGCTAGAAAGCAGGGGGGTCAGGCTAAGATCCAGGCCCAGCGGGGACTGCCCACACCTGCCGCCTTCTCTTCTAACGCTCCCCCATTTGATCACAAGGAATAGTGTCCAGGAGGCCGTCCCTGACACCTACTGGATCTGTCTGTGACAACTGGGGGGGTTCCTTGTCCATCCCCCACACTCAGTCAATCACCCCCATGGTTGGTCCAGCCCAGTG